>NC_000022.11:16634863-16955716 GCF_000001405.40 Homo sapiens
TTTACATAGTACACCTTTTTTAACCAAAAAAGTCTCAATTGTGTATTTACTTGGTATAGTTTCAGGGGACACTGAAACAGATTAAGGGGCTAAAGCCACCCAAGCCACTTCTTCATGCCTTCGTAATCTGTCAGACTTGGTTCTGTATGGTGACATTGTAAAGTGAGTTCAGATTTATGACATTTCCTTGATACCCAGAGATCCAGTAGACTGTGTGGGATCAGAGGTTCTTGTAGTAAGGGAATGGCAACTTGAGGAGAGAATTCACCTCTTTTGGCCAATTGATCCTCCATCTACATCAGCCTTAACTCCCCAAGCCTGGGTGGAGGTGGTGGGTCCAGGTGGAGAGGGGCAGATTAGAAGGATTGGGGATTTCCTTTATCTCAGGTTAACCTAACATCATTCATCAAAGGCCAATTTTTTTTTTTAACTTTTAGGTTTGGAGGTACATGTGAGGTTTGTTACATAGGTAAACTTGTGTCGGGGAGGTTTTTTTTTTTTTTTTTTTTTACATATTATTTCATCATCCAGGTATTAAGCTCAGTACCCAAATAGTTATCTTTTCTGCTTCCCTCTCTCCTCCTGCCCTCCCCACTTAAGTAGACCCCAGTGTCTATTTCCTTCTTTGTGTTCATAAGTCCTTAGGATTTAGCTACCACTGATAGGTGAGAACATTCAGTATTTGGTTTTCTGTTTCTGCACTAGTTTGCTAAGGATAAGAGCCTCCAGCTCCATCGATGTTCCCACAAAATACATGATCTCATTCTTTTTTCATAGCTGCATAGTATTCCATGGTATATATGTACCACATTTTCTTTATCCAATCTGTCATTGATGGGTACCTAGGTTGATTCCATGTCTTTGCTATTTGTAAATAGTGCTGCAGTGAACATTCATATGCATGTATCTTTATAGTAGAATGATTTATATTCCTCTGGGTATCTACTCAGTAATGGGATTGCTCAGTCAAATAGTTTTGCTTTTAGCTCTTCAAGGTATTGCCATACTGCTTTTTACAGTGGTTGAACTAATTTACACTCCCACCAACAATGTATAAGTGTTCCCTTTTCTCTGCAACCTTGCCCGCATCTGTTATTTTTTGACTTTTTAGTAATAGCCATTCTGACTGGTGTGAAATGGTATCTCATTGTGGTTTTGATTTGCATTTCTCTAATCTGTGATATTGAGCTTTTCTTCATATGCTTGGCCACATGCATGTCTTCTTTTGAGAAATGTCTGTTCATGTCAAAGGCCAATTGTCAGTGCCCCAGTTCTGCTCAATATCTGCCCTCTTTCTTCTCCAGTCTTAGGCACAGGCTGTGAGCATTGTCTTAGGATTCATGGCTCTTGGGGTGGAATTTGAGCCCTGTGTTAGAGGCTTCAGTATGACAGAAACTTCCTGAAGTCTTCTCCTACTGAAGCCTCCTGTGTTGGAGGCTTCTCCTCCTGAAGAGCCTCCAACACAGGAGGCTTCAGTAGGACAAAAAAAATTGTTCCTCATGAGCTACCTTGTCTCCAGCCATAAGGTAAAATGAGGCATTATTGGAGGCTCCATCAAACAGGTTCTCCTTCCTTTGATTAATGGAAGGAGCCCAGTCTTTCGGGTGTTTCTCCTTTGAAGTATATCTTACTAAAATGTCTTACCTCTGAAGTTCATTTGCAACCTCATATGCGACTCTTGCTAATGTGTGTCTGTTCACTAGGTGTCTAGTTTGAGGAGATGACAAGAGCATCATTTACTCCCTATGCTCATTCCTGAAACACCTTATTTTATTGCAGTGGAAACTGAGATCTGGCCAAAGTTTGATTTGCCCAGGCTGGCATTAAAATACAGTTCTCTTCTACCACCCTTTTCTGTCTTCATGCTATACTCCTTGAGATGGTGACCACAAGTTTAAGTTTAGTATTGCTGTAAAGTTGGGGTTGGGGCTTTGCATGCAATGGAAATGTTACTAAACATCCAAAGTTTACTGTCTTCTGGATAGCATAGTAAACAAGTAAAATACTCATGGAGCAGGAAGAATAAAATTTTAGCTATTAGTAAAAAGCATTTTGTTATACAACTTCTGAATAATTTTCTTTTAAAATTTATTTATAAGGGCCTTTGTTTTTTGGTTAAATTTACAATGTATGTTAGAAGAAATCTGATTAATTTTATTTTTACTTCTTTTTGCAGCAGCAAGATTAAGAAAATTGTGCATTCAATTATATCATCCTTTGCATTTGGGTATGTGAGACATAGAAAACACCATGTATTAAATATATCTGAGACTTGGCTGGGTGCGGTGGCTCACGCCTGTAATCCCAGCACTCTGGGAGGCCGAGGCGGGCAGATCACATGAAGTCAGGAGTTCAAGACCAGCCTGGCTAACATGGTGAAACCCCATCTCTACTAAAAATACAAAAATTAGCCAAGCATAATGGTGGGTGCCTGTAATCCCAGCTACTCAGGAGGCTGAGGCAGAAGAATTGCTTGAACCGAGGAGGCATAGGTTGCAGTGAGCTGAAATTGCACCATTGCACCGCAGCCTTGGCGACACAGCAAGACTCCATGTAAAAAAAAAAAAAAGAAAAAATATATGAGTCTTATATGTATCTATACATACATATATATATGAGACTTAATACTTCAATGAGAAACACTGAAATAAAATAACAAAAAAGCATTTCCACTGTCCATCAGTTGCTAAGTAGCCATGTGCCCCATCTAATGTAATCTAATTTATCATGGAATTTTGGTTTAAGCTGGACATTAAGAATTGCAAATAAATGGCTTTTGCCTAAGATTAATAGTAACATTAATATTGTTTTTCTTCCATCTGCAGAAGTAACATTAATGAAAATCAAATGTTAAAATTATATAATTATTAGTAAAGTGTTTTATTAGTACCTTATACATCTGGAATTACTCTTTAATTCTGGAAACAATTTACTTAGACTACATAAGAGTAAGATTTCATACTATAATATAGATTTATGCAATATAATTGTTTCCTTCTGAATTAATATTTGAATTTGAGCTGCAAGTTTTTAAAAAAGTACTTCAAAGACTAATTCACCTTCATAGATTAGGCAAATAGTCTAATCAATTTATGGAGAATGTATTTAGAATATGTAACAGCAAGTGGCAGGAGGTACTTTAGAGTTCAAGACTCATGTGCCCATCACTCTGCTAGAAGCACCCATAAATATGAAATCATGTACTTGTTGAAAATGTCACTGATGAAAAATCTTGGTCTTTTAAGAGCTTATGTTACTCATGCTTTCATTTGGTTTTTATTAATAAATTCTTTAGAATTATCCAGATTAATGAGGGTTTATTTTTTATGAGAAATTGGTATAAACTTCTTATGAAATTCTCAAATTTTAAGAAGAGTTTGTAAACAGACACAGGTGATTTTAATTCAGTTTTACTTTTCTCTCTTGAGGTGTTGGTCTGATGTGTCTACTATAAAAGGCCATGATAATATCTTGTGAAGTGGTTTGGTGAGAATTTTGTTTATTAAGAACTGCTTCTATTGGGTGAAAACAGTGATTTTTCTGAGATTCTAAGGCATTACAGTTTTTCCTGCCACTGGGCAGCTTAATACTAAATAATGACATTTTGGTACCTGATCAGTGGCTTAAATATAGTATAGCTATAGGGACAAATGCCCCTTTATCTTTGCATTTATTTATTTATTTATTTATTTATTTGTTTGTTTGTTTGTTTTAGACTATTTGGAGTTTTCCTGGTCTTACTGGATGTCACTCTCGTCCTTGCCGACCTAATTTTCACTGACAGCAAACTTTATATTCCTTCGGAGTATCGTTCTATTTCTCTAGCTATTGCCTTATTTTTTCTCATGGATGTTCTTCTTCGAGTATTTGTAGAAGGGTAAGTTTGATTATTTTTATAATGCATTAAGCTATTTTGTACTTTTATAAGAAGCACTTTGGGAGGCTGAGGTGGGAGGATCCCAAGGTCAGGAGTTCGAGACAATCCTGGCCAACATGGTGAAACCCCGTCTCTACTAAAAATACAAAAATTAGCTGGGTGTGGTGGTGGTTGCCTATAATCCCAGCTGCTTGGGATGCTGAGGCAGGAGAATCTTTTGAACCTGGGAGGCAGAAGTTGCATTGAGCCGAGATCATGCCATTGCACTCTAGCCTGGGTGACAGGGTGAGACTCCATCTCCAAAAAAAAAAAAAAAAAAAAAAATTTAAAATAATTAACAGGAGCATTCACTACAAACTGACTTAAGAGCCTTTGGGCCTTATGAGAACATTGGTGGTGGTCTGGCAGTACCCCCTCCATGGCCTGTGTTTGAGGTGGCCATGGATTGATGCTCCTCTGCCTTTGGACAGGGGTGGAAAGAGTGGGAGGGACTGCATCTTGTGGTTTGAGTGACAGCTCAGCCATAGCACAATAAAACACTAGGTAGACTTTTACAGTTTTTGATCTAGGCCCTGATTCCCAGACAGCACCTTTGGATCCACCTGGAGGCTAGGAGAACTTGCCATCCTGAAGGGAAGGACACAGGCCTGGCTGTTTTTACCATCTGATGACTGTAGAGCCCCAGGGCCTTCAGCAAACTCCTGCAATAGCTAACAAGTGGTTACAGCAGGTCTTGGGCAAGACCCCGTGCTGTGCTGGCCTCAGGTCTGACCCAATGCAGTCACAGTAGTGGTGGCCACACAGGTGCTTATGTCACTCAACCCCAAGCTTTAGGTGCCTCAGAACAGAGAGAGAGACTCTGTTTGTTTGGGAGAAAGCAAGGGAAGAAAACAAGAGTCTCTTTTTGGTAATGCAGAGAATTATCCTGGATCTTGTCCAAGACCATTAAGGCCACTATGAGTCTGCAAGAACCAGAGTTTAGGAGGCTTGGGGTGCCCCCTAAAGCAGATAGAGATTAGATCACAGTATCCAAGTTCTTTCAAATATCTGGAAAGCCTTCCCAAGAACGATGGGCACAAACAAGCCCTGACAGGGAAAACTACAATAAATACAGTGAAAACTACAACCAATACCTAACTCTTCAATGCCCAGACACCAAAGAACATATGCTAGCATCAACACTATCCAAGAAAACATGACCTCACCAAATGAACTAAATAAGACACCAGGGGCCAATCCTGTAGAAACAGAGATATGTGACCTTTCAGACAAATCAAAATAGCTGTGTTGAGGAAACTCAAAGAAATTCAAGATACAACAGAGAAGGAATTCATAATTCTATTAGATAAGTTTAACAAAGAGATTGAAATAATTTAAAAGAATCAAGCAGAAATTCTGGAGCCAAAAAATGTAATTGGCATGCCAAAGAATGCATTAGAGTCTTTTAATGCAGAATTGATAAACCAGAAGAAAGAAAGAATGAGCTTGAAGACAGGCTATTTCAAAATACATAGAGGAGACAAAGGAAAGAATAAAAAACAATGACACATGCCTACAGAATCTAGAAAATAGCCTCAAAAGGACAAATCTAAGTGGTATTGGCCTTAAAGAGGAGGTGGGGAGTGTAGAAAGTGTATTCAAAGGGATAGTAACAGAACGTCCCAAACCTACAGAAAGATATCAATATCCAAGTACAAGAAAGTTATAAAACACCGAGCAGATGTAACTCAAAGAAGACTACCTCAAGGAATTTAATAATCACAGTCCCAAAGATCAAGGATAAAGAAAGGATCTTAAAAGCAGCAAGAGAAAAGAAACCAATAATATACAATGGAGCTACAATATATCTGGCAGGAGACTCTTTAGTAGAAACGTTTCAGGCCAGGAGAGAGTGGCATGACATATTGAAAGTGCTGAAGGAAAAAAACATTTACCCTAGAACAGTGTATCCAGTGAAAATATCCTTCAAAGTGAAGGGGAAATAAAGACTTTTCCACACAAAAGCTGAGGGATTTTGTCAACACCAGACCTGTCCTAGAAGAAATGCTAAAGGGAATATTTCAATCAGGAAAGATAAGGACATTAATGAGCAATAAGTAACAACCTGAAGGTATAAAACTCACTGGTAATAGGTATACAGAAAAATGCAGAATGTTATAACACTGTAACTATGATGTATAAACTACTCTTATTCTAAGTAGAGAGACTAAACTATGAGCCAATCAAAAATACTAACTACAACTTTTCAAGACATAGATGGTATAATACGATATAAATAGAAATAACAAAAAGTTAAAAAATAGGGAGACAAAGTTAAGTTGTAGAGTTTTTATTTTCTTTTTACTTGTTTATGAACACTTAGTATAAGATTAAAATAATGGATTATAAGATAGTATTTACAAGCCTCATGGTAACCTCAAACCAAAAAACATAACAATGGATACATGAAAAATAAAAAACAAGAAACTAAATCATATCACCAGAGAAAATTACCTTCACTAATGAAAGACAGGAAGGAAAGAAGGAGGAGAAGACCCCAAAACAACCAGAAAACAAATAACAAAATGGCAGGAGTAACTCCTTACTTATCCCAACCTTATGTCCAAGGGTACTTGTTGTTTAGCTCTCATAGGTGAGAATATGTGGTATTTGGTTTTCTGGTCCTGCATTAATTTGCTTAGGATAATGGCCTCCAGCTCCATCTATGTTGCTGCAAAAGACCTGATTTCACTCATATTTATGGCTGTGTAGAATTCCATCGTGTATATGTACCACATTTTCTTTATCCAATCCACCACTGATGGGCACCTAGGTTGATTCCATATCTTTACTATTGTGAATAGCACAGCAATGAACATATCAGTGTGTGTGTCTTTTGGTAGAATGGTCTTTTTCCCATTGGGTATATATCCAATAGTGGGATTACTGGGTCGAATGGTAGCTCGTTTTAAGTTCTTTGAGACATCTCCAGACTGCTTTCCACAGTGGCTGAACTAATTTACACTCCCATCAACAATGTATAAATGTTCCCTTTTCTCTGCAGCCTTGCCAGCATCTGTTGTTTTTGACTTTTTATCAATCGCCATTCTGACTAGTGTGAGAGGGTATCTCATTGTGGTTTTGATTTGCACTTCTCTGACAATTCGTGAAGTGAAGCATTTTTCCAGATGCTCATTGGTCACTTGTATGTCTTCTTTTGAGAAGTATGTGTCATGTTCTTTCCACATTTTTAATGGGGTTATTTGGTTTCTGCATGTGGATTTGTGTAAGTTCCTTATAGATTCTGGATATTAGACCTTTGTTGGATACATAGTTTGCAAATGTTTCCTCCTGTTCTCTGGGTTATCTGTTTGCTCTGTCGATCATTTCTCTTGCTGTGCCAAAGCGCTTTAGCTTTATTAGGTCCCACTTGTCAATCTTTGTTGTTATAGCAATTGCTTTTGGGGACTTAGTTAAAAATTCTTTCCCAAGGCCAATGTCAAGAAGGGTATTTCTGAGGTTTTCTTCTAGGACTTTTATCACTGGAGGTCTAACATTTAAATCTTTAATCTATCTCCAGTTAATTTTTGTATATGATGAAAGGTATGGGTCGAGTATCATTATTCTGCATATTGCTAGCCAGTTACCCCAACACCATTTATTGAATAGGGAGTCCTTCCCCCGTTGCTTGTTTTTGTCAGCCTTGCAATATCAGGTGGTTTTAAGTGTAAGGCTTTATTCTGGGTTTTCTATTCTGTTCCTTTGGTCTATATGTCTGCTTTTGTACCAGTACCATGCTGTTTTGGATACTGTAGCCTTATAGTTTGAAGCCTCTGGCTTTGCCCTTTTGCTTAGATTTGCTTAGGCTGTTGAGGCCCTCTTTTGGTTTCATATGACTTCTAGAATACTTTTTTCTAATTCTGTGAAGAACGACATTGGTAGTTTGATAGAAATAGCACTGAATCTGTCAATTGCTTTGGGCAGTGTGGCCATTTGAATGATACTGATTCTTCCAATCCATGAGCATGGAATGTTTTTCCATTTAATTGTGTTATCTCTGATTTCTTTCCGCAGTGTTTTATAGTTCTTGTAGAGATCTTTCACATCCTTTGTTAGTTGTATTCCTAGTTATTTCATTTTCCTTGTCGCTACCATAAATGGGATTCTGTTCTTGATTTAACTCTCAGCCTGGACATTATTGGTGTATAGAAATGCTGTTGATTTTTATACATTGATTTTTTATCCTGAAACTTTGTTAAAGTTATTAGTTCTAGTAGCCTTTTGGCAGAGTCTTTGCTTTTCTGGATATAGAATCATGTCATCAGTGAAGAGAAATAATTTGACTTCTTCTTTTGCTATTTAGATGCCTATTCTTTCTTTCTCCTGCTTGAGTTCTCTAGGTAGGACTTCCAGTGCTATGTTGAATAGGAGTGATGAGAGTCAGCATCATTGTCTTGCTCCATTTCTCATGGGGATTGGTTCCAACTTGTGCCCATTCAGTAGGTTGGTGGCTGTGAGTTTGTCGTAGATGGCTCCTATTATTTTGAGGTATGTTCCCTTGATGCCGAGTCTGTTGAGGTTTTTAATGTGAAGGGATGTTGGATTTTATCAGAAGTTGTTTCTGCATCTATTCAGATGATGATATGATTTTTCTTTTAGTTCTGTTTATGTGGTGAATCACATTTAGTGATTTGGGTATGTTGAACCAGCCTTGCATCCCTGTACTGAAGCCTTGATTGTGGTGGATTAACTTACTGATGTGCTGCTGGATTCTGTTTCCTAGTATTTGGTTGAGAATTTTTGTGTCTATGTTAATCAGAGTAATTGGCCTGAAGTTTTCTTTTTGTGTGTTTCTCTGCCAGATTTTGGTATTAGGCTGATGCTGGCTTCATAGACTGAGTTAGGGAGGAGCCCCTCATCCTCAGTTCTTTGGAATAGTTTCAATAGAACTAGTACCAGTTCTTTTGTACATCTGGTAGAATTCAGCTGTTGCTTCATCTGGTCCAGGGCTTTTCCTTGTTGGTAGATTTTACATTAATGATTTGATTTTGGAACTCGGTATTTGTCTAAGGTTTCAATCTCTTTCTATTTCAATCTTGGGAGATTGTATGTTTCCAGGAATTTCTCCATTTCCTCTAGATTATCTAATTTGTGTGCATAGAGTTGTTTATAGTATTCTCTGAGGATCTTTTGTATTTCTGTGGGATTGTTTGTAATGTCATCTTTGTCATTTATGATTGTACTTATTTGGCTCTTCTCTTTTTTTCTTTGTTTAGCTATCAGGCTATCCATCTTGTTTATTTTTTGAAAAACTAATTATTGGTTTCATTGATCTTTTGTGTGGATTTTTGCATCTAGTCTAAAAAAAACAGCACTTCAAAAAGCACTTCATTCAGTGCTTCTCTAATTTTAGTTATTTCTCTTCTGCCAGCTTTGGAGTTAGTTTATTCTTTTTTTCTAGTTCCCTTAAGTGCAAAGTAGGAAAGTTAATTTGAGATATTTCTAACTTCTTGATGAAGGCATTTCGTGCTGTAAACTTTCCTCTTAACACTGCCTTAGCTGCATCCCAGAGATTCTGGTATGTTGTGTCCCTATTTTCATTAATTGCAAAGAATTTTTTTATTTCTGCCTTAATTTAGATTTTCACCCAGGAGTTATTCAGGAGCAAATTATGTAATTACCATGTATTTATGTAGTTTTGAGAGATCTTCTTGATACTGATTTCTATTTTTGTCTCACTGTGGTCAGAGTGTGTGCTTGGTATGATTTCAAACTTTTTGAATTTATTGAGGCTTGCTTTATGGCCAAGCATGTGCTTGATCTTAGAATATGTTCTGTGTGCACATAAGAATGTATCTTCTGTGTTTGTTGGTCAAAGCGTTCTGTAGATGTCTATCAGGTCCAATTGGTCAACTGTCAAGTGCAAGTACAGAGTTTGTTAGTTTTCTGCCTCAATGATCTGTCTATTGCTGTCAGTGGGTTGTTGAAGTCTCCTGCTGCTATTGTGTGTCTAAATCTTTTTGTAGGCCAAGAAAAACTTGTTTTATGAATTTGGGTGCTCCAATGTTGGGTGTGTACATATTTAGGCTAGGTCTTCTGGTTGAATTGTGTCCTTTATCATTCTATAAGGAATGCTCTTCTTTGTCCTTAATTTTTATTCGTTAAAAATATGTTTTATTTGGCCAGGCGCAGTGGCTCATGCCTGTAATCCCAGCACTTTGGGAGGCCGAGGCGGGTGGATCACGAGGTCAGGAGTTCGAGGCCAGCCTGACCAACATGGTGAAACCCTGTCTGTACTAAAAATACAAAAATTAGCCAGGTGTGGTAGAGCACCCCTGTAATCCCACTTACTCGGGAGGCTGAGGCAGGAGAATTGCTTGAACCCAGGAAGCAGAGGTTGCAGTGAGCCGAGACTGCACCACTGCACTTCAGACTGGCAAGAGACTGAGACTCCATATTAAAAAAAAAAAAATCAACCACTTAGAATAGTAACACACATTAAGCAGATCATACATCTAGAATGGGTTAAGCAACCATTTGTAAGCATCTTCATAAGAAATGATCACCTCTGGGTTTTTCTGGTAATATTTGAAATAAACATGGAACCAAACTGTATTTCCCTCAGCACATAACTGTCCAAATTGCATGTGCAAGTAGAGGTTTATGTAAAAGCCCTGACAGAACTGTACTCAGTCTTTTGAATTAGATGCATAAGGCTACTGACCACTCTCTATTTTACCAAGGGAAAGAGCAGTGACTTCTCTATTTCAGTACAATTATGGGCAGAAATGACATGATGCAAAATAGAGGTTCTTCCGTACAATTTAAGATGTAGGGTATAAGGGAAGACGAAAAAGCAAAATTCCCAAGAAATCAGAATAACTTCACACTGGTCTTGTACTACAAGAAACCCTGAGATGAACTGTAGTCCTCAAACACCTGTGCTTGGCTCAGGCCCTCCAAGACACTTCAGTGTGCTTCCAACTGGCTCATAATCAACTTCCTGGTATATTCGTAGGCCAAAAAGAGTGCTCCATTGTCAGGGAATGCTCGAATCATAGTAGGTTTCAGTCCAGAATATAAGGCCATTATTCCTAGAAGACAAAAGGGCAAGTAAAGACTGCAACAGTCCCTCCTTTGGGGACACCCACACAACTGCATAGCACAGGTATATTTACACATGCAAATCCAGACAAGTGTGCTAAAAACCAACAAGTCATGGAAGGACGCATTCCCAGCTTTCCCTAAATAGACCAACAGAAACAAGGACAAGTATCAGGTCTCCTGGCGAAACTGACTGATGCTCAGGTAACATACCCCAATTCCATGCTTGGTTAACTCTTAGTACACGGATGGGTCAGCGTTGAGGCCTGAGATGGCCAGACAGATGCAACCATGGAGACAGAGGTGGCCACAGCTTTGCAGCTTCACCTGGGCAGTGGCAAGAGCACCAACCTTGAGGTTGGAGACTGGTTTATAATATTAGTACTGCCCAGGGTGGTTATGAAGATTGAATTAGATAAGGGAGGTATAAGTACTTTGTAAAACTTCACGTTATACAAATTTAAGGGAGGATTACTATGAGTAATAGACAAGTTATCTGTGCTCTATTTGGGACACAAAGTTGCTGTGTTACTGTTCTCTTTCCTTTTACAATCAAAACAGAGCAGTTCACATCTCAGATTTTAAGATGTATACTAGATGCTGGAAAAACAGGTGTTTATTCACCTTCATTTTTCACAACATTTATAAAGGTTCTGATAAATCCTGCCGGTTTTCCAGACATGGAAAGAACTTGAATTCTGGATTTGATACAATCCACTGGATATACCGCAAGCCATAGGCAAATCCCGCCAACTCCCTCCACCACTTAACATCAAAGGGACAGGGCCTAGAGAAAAAAAAAATAGCAAATGGTATTTTATCTCAAGAACAGCTGATGTGACATTTCCAGAGGTCAATGTAGTAATGGCTGCAGGTAGGTGCAAATAGAAATGCTAATGCTGCAGAAGAGTTCTTTGTGGAAACTGTCAAAGCTCTTGTTCCCAGGCTCTAAGAACACAAGGTTTTGTTTGGTAGCCCAGGTCTACGCCTGGGTCTTGCCAAGTACAAGAAGCTCTAGTGAGGGTTGTATTTTGTTTGGTCACTGAGGTGTCGAGGGCTGGCCCACATGAACCAGCAGGCCTCCAGCTGAGTGGCAACCCCTTACGGTGGGGAGAAGACAGGCCAAACACAATCTACGTCTTTTTTTCTTTTTTCAACTTTCTCATTCTTAAGCATTTTAATAGCCCCGATTCTTCCTTTACCATGTTTTTATTAAACATAGCAGTTAAGTCTGGGAGCTTGTCTAATCCCAGAATAGATTCAAAATGCTGAGGGAGATGGTAAGAACAGGTAAATGCATTTGCATTCACAGCAGTGGGGTGTGATGGTGTTTGCTCCCTGCAGGTATGGTTTCTGTGGATTCTCTGCTCTTTGTGCTCTCCTCCCCACATTGGTGGCTCCACCTGGCACAGGGAAGCTTCTGGATTCCAGAAGGTAACATGTTGGCAGGCAGTTGATAGCACCCCACCCTCCAGGCTTGATAATTTCCTTAGGACAGGGGCTGAAGCAGTACATCCCAAACTTTCTTACTGGAATAAGGTTTGTTAATTTTTCTAGATCTATTTTAGAAGAGAAGAAATTCAGAAATGACTTTCCCAGTTGGGGAATCACCTATAAATAATCTTGAAAAAGCTTAAAACTTGGTAATCTCAGTAGCGTTTTGAGAGTAGCGAAAACCATAGTTCTTTGTAGCTTATCATGTTTAGTTGGTTGGTACCACTGCATGCGATGTTTGCCTCACATAAGTGAGTTTTTCTTCCCTGATTTTGTCCTTTGCTAAGGAAACTGAACTGAACTGAAGTCCAGGTCTTCTGTAATAGAGTGTCTCTCCTTCAACAGGGAACAACACTACAGTCGCCCGTAGTTTTGTTTCTGTTCAGTCTCCATTGTGGCATGCCACACTCTCCTGGTTTGGGCCCTGCTCATTTCTTTACTGCCTTCCTGCCTGCCCTTTTTGTGCAGGTAGGTCATCCCATTCATGCTCAGCCCTCCTCGCTGTCTACACTGTCTTCTTGGGCAATCGTATCCAGTCCCAAGCCTTTTAAAAAAACAAGCTATACCCATCCTGGTGGAATTCCTGCCTATAAAAGGGCGCACCTTCAGACCTCCAGGCATGTCCAGCGAACACTGCTATGCACACGGAACCAAATTCAGTTGTGTGGGACCTGCAGCTGCAATTGGGTTTCCAACTTCCATTGCTGATGATCAAGTTAAAATACGAATGTGCTGGATTAAATGCTTTATTCAGCTTATCTGCATCTAGGTTATCTAAATTACACACCCACTTAAAACATTCTGTCACCTCTTCTCTTGGAATAATTAATTATTTTAATGTAATTCAGATCTCATTTTATCCTAGCCCAGCAGTACCTGGGAGAGAATGACTCAATCATAGTAAAATCATATTAAATTATATTCCACTGATTCAGAATTGGAGATAATCTGGCAATTAAAGTGAGAAGTGTGTCATTCCTCTCCTGGAAGAAATGAACAGTAATGATGGGATCACAGAGATCATACATATAAGGGCCCAATACAGGTTCAAAACATGCCCATCGGCAACTGCCTTACATACCTGGCTCCCAACCATACTGTTACAATTTCTATCTTTCAAACTCACTGTAAATTACAAATGTGGTACCCAAATACCTGTATGCACATAAATATGAAAAGGTAAACTCTTTTTTTTTTTTTTTTTTTTAGGTGGATTCTTGCTCTGTCACCCAGGCTGGAGCGTAATGGCACAATCTTCGCTCACTTCAACCTCTGCCTTCTGGGTTCGAGCAATTCTCCTGCCTCAGCCTCCTGAGTAACTGGGATTACAGGCGTGTACCACCACATCTGGCTAATTTTTGTATTTTTAGTAGGGACGGTGTTTTACCATATTGGCCAGGCTGGTCTTGAGCTCCTGAACTCAAGTGATCCACTCGCCTCAGCCTCCCAAAGTGCTGAGATTACAGGCTTGAGCAACCTTGCCCAGCCAAAAGTAAACTTTTTAATTCCATCACAATATGTTCTAGATCTTTGACAGACTGAAAGACATAGAATGTCAAAAGGTGAGACTCTCTCATGTGGCTAAACACCCTCCTACTGCAGATACAGAACTGAGCCCAAGAGCATTCACATGCTGGTGAGAGGTGGTGGCCAGGGGCAGGCAGATGGTTGCACCACTCTCAGGGTCAGCATCCTCCCCAGTGTGGCATGGGGGAGGGGAGGGGAGGGGGCACGGGGCCTGGGAGGCTGTAGCCTAAAGGCACGCAGCGGGCAAGAGACTACTGGGCGGACCCCTGCCAGCCTTCAGTTCCATGAGCGTCTGGTGCCAGGACGCTCCTTGTGGGCTCTGCCCTGGGAGAAGTGCCCTTGCCCAGTGCTCCTTCTCGGTGTCTGTGACGTGCTGTCTCCAGTCCTCCTCATTAGCATACCTTGGCCGACCTTTGGCTCATGGAAAAACACTTTGCTCTTCTCGGAACAATTTCTTTTTCACAACTGAGCAAATGACTGATGAGGTGACCACACTCATGACCATACTCATCTGTTGGTGGTGGGTGGGGGGTGGACTGGATGAGGACAGCATTGGGCAACACTCTTTCTGGCCTCCCCACTGCAGGGAGCCACAATTACTGTGGGAGGCCAGGGTAGTCCAGGGTTTCCCTTTGGGCCATCAGCATTCCAACTGCTCCTCCTACTTCTGGCCTCTGGAGAACTAAATTACCACCATGCACTTCCCATTCCACCTGTGCCTCAGCCCGAGGGTCCTGCTCTTCCTGCATATTCAAGCTGATCTTTCTAGGGAGTAGCCTGCACTGTGCCAGCACTACCCCCTTGTCACAGGCAGCACCTCCCTGTGCTGGGGGAGCCTCAGTCTGCCCTTGGGCTCAGGCCCCTAGGCTCAGGTTAGCTGACATTCCCAGGAAATCCTACAACTTCTCCTTTCCTTTCATGGCTGTAAGACACAGTCCACTATCAGTCTCATTGTAAAAGACATTTCTAAAGAGTGTCCTCCTTTCTTTCCCAACACTAGCAGGGACAGTAAGTGATGTTTCCTGGGAGATGCTATGGTGTTATTTTTGCACTACAAGGGCTCTGAAGACTGCCAGGCTTGAAATGAAGAACGATGTCACCTGCCTATCACAGCCAGGTGACAATGGACAAGGGGCTTCACCTCTGAGCTGTTTTCCAGCTGCACTGGGCACATTCCTCCCCTCACCCTGACTCACAAGGTGTTAGCAATAATGGACACTTCTCTACCTTCTGCCACACTCTGAACAATGCCACACTTCCATCAAATGGATTCATCCCAAAGGTAAAGCCCATCACTTCTAGAGGGAGAAAGGTAATGTTTTCCTACCACTTTTATTTGATCTCATTTAGAAGGTACTTGAGGAATAGAGAAGACTGGGTTTTCTCTGGGATTATACTTAGGCATTTCTTAACGACTGGGACATGTTCTGAAAAATCTGTCATTACACAATTTCATCATTGTGCTATCATAGAGCATACACACCCGACCCTAGATGGCATAGCCTACTCCACACCTAGGCTGTACAGTATGGCCTGTTGCTCAAGGCTACACACCTGTACAGCATGTTACTGTACTGGATACTGTAGGCAACTGTAACACAGTGGTATTTGTGTATCTAAACGTATATAAACACAGAAAAGGTATAGTAAAAGATGGTATAATTTCATGGGACCACCATCCGATACACCATCCATCACCAACAGAAACATGGTTATGAGGCACAGGACTGTAACTGCAGCCCCTGCCATGAGGTCAATGGCAGCCTGGATAGGGGGATTGGACTTCATGTTTGCCCACTCTTCTGGTCTCATGGAAGGCAGCTCTCTGGAGCTTATGACAGGCACCACATATCCCTGGGGGGAGGCAAGAGTTCACCATTAGTCCAAGTCTGCAGCCTCCCATTCTCTAGGCCTGCAGCCAAATTACTGGACCTAAACTTCTGGGAGCCATGAACTGGGCTCTACATTGTTCCAAAGGAAAGGGGCTCAAGGAATCAGTGCAGCTTAGCAATTGTCCCTTAGAAAGCTCACAGATCAAAAACCTCCCCTGCGTATCAATTCTACAGCCACCAGCAGCACTTCAACTGACCTTTCTGAAAACTGAAAAAATGAACACCAAATAAGTCAACCACAGATGTACTAACCCACATCAGGCTTGCTTTTTTAGAGGCCTGCGCTGAGCCATCAACTGAACAGGCTCACTTCTAAATCAGAAAGCAGCCTGTGCTGCGTGCCTAAGGGAACGTCACAAGACAGTAGGTCTGGAAAGAAGCACCCAGGCAGCCAAGGGTGGGAGCTGCACCCCAGGATCACAAACGCCTTGGTGAATGCCTGCTCTACCTGCAGTGTGGCCCCTTTGGCCTCTACAGCTGGAAGTCTTCATCTGTACAAAGTGAATAATAAAAATATTATAAAACAAAGGCAGTCACAAATAGCCACATTGGTGTTGAGGTGATCAAACCCAACACCAGGCCATGGGGGCTACAAAGTCCGGCAGAGTCAAAGGAATGAGACAAGCTAATAGTACACAAAGTGGGTCCAGGGGGCCAATGCTAGTATAGAGGCTGTGAAGGCCCTGAACTCTGGGAGCCCACACCATTTATTGGAGATTAAACAAAGAAGCAGGTGGTGAGGACGTGCTGGTCAAAAGGAAGCAGTCACATCAAGTGTTTAGTTTATAGCTGTGTCGGTCTAGCATTTTCTTTGAAGCATATGGAACATGTTCTGCTACTCGAGATAATGAACATTTCCTTCTGCCTCAAGGTACAATCAGTTTATGATCCTGGGAGAGCAAGAAGCAAGGAGCCAGCAAGTCTGGACACATTCCAGAGGCCACGAGGGGTTTTATGTCCTGAGTCCTGGATTCCATCCAAGCCATGAGGGGTTTTATGCCCTAGGCTTAGGTTGTAGTGCGGCGGGGCAGCCTTCCACCCTTAAGCACAGAACCTGGTGTTCCATAGGCCACAAGAAGTTTTAAACTCTGGACCCAGGACATGTTCCAAGGCTCTTTTCATATTATGTCAGACTAGCAAGTCTTGCCTCAGCTTTTCTCCCAACAATTGGACTGATGGGTTGCTCCACTGGGCACAAGCATCATGGGTTCTTAAAACAAGGCCCTGAACAAGCACCAAATATGTTCCTGTCACCACACTCCACTAGCCCTTCAACTATAAACATGCATAGGAGTCACCTGGGGGCCTTGCTAAATAAAATGCAGCTTCTGATTCAATAGTCTCAAACAGGACCAGAGATTCTGCGTCTCTTGTTGAGTTCCCGAGTGAGGCAGACAATGCCAGTCCACAGACTCACATTTTGAGATACAGCACCTGGGCCATTGTGTTCCAATGTGCTTGATAACCTGGAGCACCTATTAAATATCCAAGTTGCCAGGACTTTCTTCTGGAAATCTTAATTCAGTATGTTTTGTTTGGAGCCTTGGACGTTTGGGAAAACTAGAATTTCTTTCTCTCCCTTTAGACAAAAGTCAACTACTGCTGAGGCATGGGCTTAATAAATGTTGACTAAAATATCCAACTCAACAACCAATCCTGTATAATTTTCAAACTCTGTCAATAACTTGCTGGGTCCAACCTGCAGACCCTGGCTGCGTGATGGATGAAGAAATGCACTCAGACACAGGTATCCTGTGAAAGAATGGGGTAGGGGACTGGGCAGCTCCCAGACACTGAGGAGGGTGCTATAAAGAGTCAGCAGGTGCTATAAAGAGTCACCAGGCACAGCCCTGTCAGGCTGGGGCTCCAGGCATTTATTCAGTACAGATTTAATGACAAAGTTCTCAAGTAAACACCACACCACTAGAGGGTAATTAACATTGCTGACCTCCTGAGTAGAGAGCAGTCATGCGCCCGCAAATGATCAAAGGTCTGTTTTAGGACCACATGAGTAAACAAGCTATTTAGATAAACTTCTCTACATTCCTATGTATCTACGCCCTAAGCTTTTAAGAGAATTCAGCTGCCTTCAGCCAAATCTTTTACTGAAGGTATGCAAACCTCCCAGCCTTCCAAGAAGTTTTGTGTCTATCTCCTACAACTTAATTTTTATAATTTCTCCCACCACCCTGACAGATCCCCTACAAAAGACCATGTTTCTTCTCAGCTTGCTCAGTCCAGCTGAGCCAGCTTTCCACTGGACTCCTGAATGTGAGAAGGACACAGGCTCCCAGGACCATCCAGAAGCATCTCTCATCACCTTAAAGCTCTGAAACACTGGCTGGGTGCAGAGGCTCACACAAGTAATCCCAACACATTAAGAGGCTGAGGTGGGAGGATTGCTTGAGGCCAGGAATTCAAGACCAGCCTAGGCAGCATAGCAAGACCCCATCTCTACAAAAAGTACACCCCAAAATTACCTGGGTGTGGTGGCACATGCCTATAGTCTCAATTAGGAGGCTGAGGTGGGACTATTCTTTGATCCCAGGAGTTTGAGGCTGCAGTGGGGTATGATCGCACCACCGCACTCCAGCCTGGGAGACAGATTGAGACCATCTCTAAAACAACAACAGGCCAGGTGCTGTGGCTTATGCCTGTAATCCCAGCAATTTGGGAGGCCGAGGCAGGTGGATCACCTGAGATCAGGAGTTCGAGACCAGCCTGGGCAACCTGGTGAAATCCTGTCTCTACTAAAAATACAAAAATTTAGCAGGGCATGGTGGCACACACCTGTAATCCCAGCTACTCGGGAGGCCGAGGCAGGAGCATTGCTTGTACCCAGGAGGCAGAGATTGCAGTGAGCTGAGATCACGCCATTGCACTCCAGTCTGAGCAACAAGAGCAAAACTTCGTCTCAAAAAAATAAAAAATTAAAAAATAACAAAAAATGAGACAGAAAACAAATATTTTGTTTCATTATTGCTTGTTAGTTGATTAAAGTAATTCTGCTTCCACTTTATTTTCAAAGACACTAATTGCTACACTGAATAAAACCTTAATGGAGTTTCATTATAAGTATCTATTATCATTTGATTATTTTCTACATAGAAGCATGCAAAAAGTTTAAAATTCAGTTTCATTTGACTTAGTCTTGACTGTAATGAAGGACTCTACGAAGAGGGGACACAGTGTTTATGAGCTGGAGTCCTAGTAACTGCTTGGTGGCAGAGTCCCAGTCATTCCCCAGTTCAAGCCATGGGCAGATAGATGGGTACTGTCCTTCAGTTCTTCTTACCCATTCACTTGCTTTCTTTATTGCTTCAAAAGCCCAGGGAATATTCTTAGGTTAAAAAAAAATAAATGTTTCAGATTTCAGAATATAACATGTGAAATGTAATGTGGTACTAAACCCATCACATTATATCACACAAAATGATTCTGCCAAAAGTTAAGATATTTAATAAAAGCAGTTTTCCTTGACATCTTCCGGAAGTTCTTCTAACCATCTGAACTTGAGCTTATGCACTGCATTGTCAAGTGTCCTGTGCCCCCCACCTCCTGGCTTCCACGTGCCTCCAGGCATCCCTGCTGCCTACAGGACAGCTCAGGTTCCAGCCTCTCTACAGTTGTTTGTGGTTGTCCCCTTTCCAAGCTTCTCAGTCTAAATCCTATCCATTCTTCATGCACAAACTCAAGTAGTATTTCACAAACGAGGCTTCTGTTTCTCTCTCCTTCCCACTGTACTGACTTGATTAGGTCCCTTCAGAATATCTGACAGTCCCCCATGAAACTGGCATCTGTTCAGCTGTGTCACATAAACCAGGAACAACTTGGTAGAATAAGCTTATCGAGTCAAGTGTGTGTCCACTGAATGGTGTCAAATATTTGAGACTGTTGAATATTCAAGTCTATTCAACACTCAGAAAAATTCTGGGGTTGTTCATTAATATTAATTAGCTACTTCCTCATTTGTTCTGTCATCTGTTAGAACTTGTTAGTGAACAAGTGGCAACATACACCAAAGTTCTTCAGAAAATTCTATGGGAAAACCTAATATTTTGAAAATTCTCTCCCTGTTCCTCATTTCTCCCTGTGAACTGGGAAAGGGCCATCAGTATAGCATGATGGTGAAGAGCTGGGTTTGAGTCCTGACTCTGCAATCACATGATACTGGCCATGTGATACTGTGTGGCTTTCATTCAACACTGGGAATCTCAGTTTCCTCAATTGTGAGAATAACATGAGGTCCCATGGGTTTGTGGTGGAAATCAACAAAGCTTATAAATTTAACGTGCATACTAATCCCTGGTACACAGTGGGCACTCAATAAATGTTCACTGAATGTCATGATAGAATGAACATACTAAATAAGAACCATGCCCGAAGTTTAAAAGACCGACATTTCCTGGTAAATGTTCGTCTACTGACAGTTACTGACTGCTGAAAACAACAAAACTGGCTTTGAATATTTTCACTAATTCAGCCGGCCTCCTTTAGCCCTGTGGCCTCTACACTTTTTGGTTCACATTCCACTAGTAAGAAAACCTTGTGCCTACACCCCCAGGTAATGTACTCCTGCATCAATGTTACGTACATCCCGAAATAGAAAATACAGAAAAAAGTTTCAAACATGCAATAAACAGGAAATAAAAAATATTTAATTTTTTTTTTTTTGAGACAAGAGTCTCGCTTTGTTGCCAGGCTGGAGTGCAGGAGCACAATCTCAGCTCACTGCAAGCTTGTGATCCGCCCGCCTCAGCCTTCCAAAGTGCTGGGATTATAGGCGTGAGCCACCGCGCCTGGCCTAACATCGTATTGTCTTATGTACTCAAGTGCCAGCAAACCATTTTGCTAGCACCATAGCAGTAATGTAGTAAGAGCTATATGCTGCAATATACTTGATCAGTTCTGAACATCTTGCTTTAATACTTTGTGGTATTACAGTTCAAAAGCACGTTCAAAGTTTATACTTGTTCTAACAGCTATAATATTACTAATTAGGAACAATATAAATAGAATAATTACCTCTTTGGATGTGCCTATTAAGTCAAATACTAATTTTTTAGTCCCATCTCCTAGCTGTTCAAAGTGTTTTTTCTTTGATATTTATTTAATTAATTCTCTTGGCAAGTGGCACTGGTTTATTTTCACTTGAGGCCAGGAGTTTGAGACCAGCCTGGCCACCATGGCGAAACCTCATCTCTACTAAAAATATAAAAATTAGCTGGGCACGGTGGTGCGCACCTGTAATCCCAGCTACTTGGAAGGCTGAGGCACGAGAATTGCTGATCTTAAACTCCTGGACTTGGTCTTGCTGGGCTCAAGTGATCAACCTGGGAGGCAGAGGTTGCAGTGAGCCGAGATTATGCCACTGCACTCCAGCCTGGGCAACAGAATGAGACCCTGCCTCAGTAAATAAATAAATAAATAAATAAATAAATAAATAAATAAATAAATACAAAAAAAAAAGAAAACCCCCCAAATAGAAAAAAGAATAAATTCTCATCTTTCTTGGCAAACTAATGAGAAGGTATTGCTTTTCAAAAAATGGAAGTATAAATTACATATAGTAAATTATGATTCTTTTTTTTTTTTAGACAGGGTCTAGCTTTGTTGCCCCGGCTGGAGTGCAGTGGCATGATCACAACTCACTGCAGCCTTGGCCTCCTGGGCTCAAGCAATCCCCCCCCCTCCCCCAGCTTCTTGAGTAGTCACACACTACAACACTCAGGTAATTCTTAATTTTTTTGTAGAGACAGGGTCTTGCTATGTGGTCAAGGCTGGTCTTGAACTCCTGGAAGCAAGCAATCCTCCTGCCTTGGCCTCCCAAAGTGCTGGGATTCCAGGTGTGAGCCACTGTGCCCAGCAATGCCTGGGTAATTTAAAAAAGTTTTTTTGTAGAGATGGGGGTCTCATTGGTTACCTAGGCTGGTCTTAAACTCCTGGGCTTGATCTTGCTGGGCTCAACTGGTCCTCCTGTCTCAGCCTCCCAAAGTGCATGGATTACAGGCATGAGCCAATGTGCCTAGTCCAGAAATTCCTGAACACCTGTTTTGTGTTCAAGAACTTTTTCTTAATCGTTACACTTAAAAAATAGTTATCAGGCCAGGCGCAGTGGCTCATGCCTGTAATCCTGGCACTTTGGGAGGCCGAGGCGAGCGGATCACGAGGTCAGGCGATCGAGACCATCCTGGCTAACACGGTGAAACCCCGTCTCTACTAAAAATATAAAAAAATTAGGCATGGTGGCGGGTGCCTGTAGTCCCGGCTACTTGGGAGGCTAAGGCAGGAGAATGGTGTGAACCCGGGAGGCAGAGCTTGCAGTGAGCCAAAACTGCACCACTGCACTCCAGCCTGGGTATCAAAGCGAGACTCCATCTCAAAAAAAAAAAAAATAGTTATCAATATTTCTTTAAATATCATAAAATATCCAGGTAGTGTTTTAATTTTCCCTGTCTCATTTTTTAAAATGCAGTGGGTTTTGTTCAAACTAGGATCTAAACAAGGTCTACTCTTGCTTTTGGTTGACATGTCTCTAAAGGTTTATTTATAGGTTCGCTCCTCAACCCTTTTTTTCTCTTGCCATTTATTTCCCCACATTCCAGACTTTGCTGACTGCATTTGCATGGTGTCACATAACATGTTCCTCTAATCTAATTCAAGTTTAGAAATCAAGGGTTTTCATTTAACTTGTTTGATTTTATACATATTAGTTTCTAACAATATTAGTATCTACCTTCCAAAATAACAAATCAAAAGTGTTATTAACACCATGGCTACTCCCAGTGAGATTTCTTTGTAATATTTTTTAATCCTTAGGCACTATCCCACTAGGGGATTTGACATAATTTGACACAGTCAAATTATTTACTATGTTTTAAAGTCATCTTAAATTAATTCCCAGGCTGGGCATGGTGGCTCACGTCTGTAATCCTAGCACTTTGGGAGGCTGAGGCAGGAGGATTGCTTGAGTTCAGGAGTTCGAGACCAGCCTGGGTAACATGGTGAAGCCCTGTCTTTACAAAAAATACAAAAATTAGCAGGGCATGGTGGTGCATGCCTGTAGTCCCAGTTACTTAGGAGGCCAAGGTGGGAGGATGGCTTGAGCCCAGGAGGCGGAGGTTGCAGTGAGCTGAGATTGCACCACTGCACTCCAGCCTGGGTGATACAGCCAGACTTTGTCTCAACAAATAAATAAATATCAATCTTATCCATTATTACATAAAATATTTACATAGTTCCAAAGTCAAAACTGCAAAACAAATCACACTAGGAGAAACCTAGCTTCCATCCTTGTCCTCTCTACCAAACCTCCCTTGCAACAGTATTTTTATTAGTTTGATTAGTTTTCCCCTTATCTTGCCTTTAAATGAACATAAGCCAATTACATGTGTATGTATATGTGTATATGTGTATGTATGTGCATATGTGTATGTATATATATATCTACATGTGTATGTATGTATGTGCATATGTGTATGTATATACTTATATATACATGTGTATGTATGTGCATGTGTGTATATACTTATACATACATGTGTATATGTGTATGCATGTGCATATGTGTATGTGTATGCATGTGCATATGTGTATGTGTATATGTGTATGCATGTGCATGTGTATGTATATGTGTATGTATGTGCATATGTGTATGTATATATCTACATGTGTATGTATGTGCATGTGTATGTATATAGTTATGTATACATGTGTATGTGTGTATGTATGTGCATATGTGTATGTATATACTTATATATATGTGTGTATATGTGTATGCATGTGCACATGTATGTGTATGCATGTATGTGTATGCATGTGCATATGTGTATGTATATGTGTATATGTGTATGTATGTGCATATGTGTATGCATATACATATACATATATACGTATGTCAGAGGGATCCTACTCTGGTCATGCCCCTCTCGCCATGGGGTGGAGGGTCTGTAGGGACAAGAGAATGTGCCCACCCCGGAACCCACATCCTCCTTTTTAGACCCTGCAACTCTAGCGTTCCTGACCACATGGCCCTGAGTCCACTTCCAGGGTCTTCCCTGGTCTGTCATCCTGAGTTTGAACAGTGCTGCCATCTCACTGGTGCTGCAAGGTGGCTGGGGTGAGGGGGCACTGGCATGGGGTCTGGATGGCATTTTGATGGGTGGGGTGGGGTATTCATGTGTGCAGGCAAGGCCTCTTAGGGTGCTAGGGGTCAGCCAAGGGCTGAATTTGAACCTGGCCTTCCAGGTGGTTATGAAGTTGTATTTGCCAAGGGAGGAGATTAGGACACACTTCTTAATCTAATAGTTTGCTAGTTTGATTTATAACTTTTTAAATACTTGTATTGTTATAAACTATAAAGTTATAAACTTTAAATACTTGTATTTTTGTCCCAGGCCCTGCCATTGTTGGGAACAGGGCTGGGCCCAACAGTCACATTGTGGGTCTTCTGGAGGCACCCAGAATCAGCACACTGCAGTGAAAAGTACCATATCCAGAGCCAGAAGTGCCGGGCTCCAGGGGGAGCTGCACTGAAACTCTTTGAGCCCATTTCCTGTGCAGCCCAAGGCACAAATACCACATAAGCCCTGCCCGCCACAGGAGACTGGGGCAAGCTGTCACCTGCAAACAAATTATCTTCCTACATACTTATAAAGTAGTCTACACATGTAAGATAATTCCCTATAGCTTGTTTGTAAGGTTTATTAAATAAATAGTTGAAAATATAAATAAGTTGCGTAATACTATAGTTAAAGCCACCTGGAAATAGAAGCGTCATCCAGTTCCATCAGTGATTTGAACACTATTCCCTTTTTTTCCACCCTGGTGCGAATAAACTGTAGTATCTCATTGTGGCAATTAGGTCCAGGAGACATTCTCTTCATTTTATACCTAAAGGGGAAAAAACTCCGTTAAGTCTGTTGGAAACTCTGCATCTCAAACTGCCTGTTTATAAAATTCCCATTGAAGAATTATAATACAATTAAATCACAGGACATGAGCAGATCGTGAAACTCTCTAATACTCTTCAAGGTCCTTAATTAGCTTGCTATTTAAATAAATGAGGACGGTTGGAAACGTGTGCCTATCATACTATCCTGATGGTTGTCAGGAAACTGACCTGTATCCAGAGTGCCCCTCGCTTGCCATCTTCAATAACCAGAGAGGCATGAAGTTCAATGAAGGAAACCCAGTTTTTAGGCTCTTGTTACAAATAGCTTAGAAGAGTAAACCTAAATATTCAACAGATAAACAACAGTTATAACCAGTTACACTGGTGTATCAAGTTATTTCTAGTGGTTAGTACCTACAGGTATCCTAATCAAGATATTTTACTATATTATGAAATATCAAAATTGAAAAATGAATGTTTACATGTGTTGAACTCAGAATTAACAACCATTTTTATTTAAAAATGCAAGCTTCATTTTTTTTTTTGAGAGACGGGCTCACTCTGTCACGTTGGAGTGCAGTGGGTGTGATCAGAGCTTACTGTAGCCTCCAACTCCTGGACTCAAGTGATCCTCCTACTTTGGCCTCCCAAAGTCTTGAGATTATAGACATGAGCCACAGCACACAGCCAAAAAGTGGTTTTAGGGAAGGAAAAAAAAAAAAAACCCAAATCTTTGTCTTATAATTAAGAATATATGGGGTGAGGAGACAAGATGGCCGAATAGGAACAGCTCCGGTCTACAGCTCCCAGTGTGAGCAACGCAGAAGACGGGTGATTTCTGCATTTCCATCTGAGGTACCGGGTTCATCTCACTAGGGAGTGCCAGACAGTGGGTGCAGGACAGTGGGTGCATGAGCCGAAGCAGGGCAAGGCATTGCCTCATTCAGGAAGCACAAGGGGTCAGGGAGTTCCCTTTCCTGGTCAAGGAAAGGGCTGACAGACGGCACCTGGAAAATCAGGTCACTCCCACCCAAATACTGCGCTTTTCCGATGGGCTTAGGAAACGGCGCACCAGGAGATTATATCCCACACATGGCTCGGAGGGTTCTACGCCCACGGAGTCTCACTGATTGCTAGCACAGCAGTCTGAGATCAAACTGCAAGGCGGCAGCGAGGCTGGGGGAGGGGCCGGGCTAGCTTAGGTAAACAAAGCAGCCGGGAAGCTCGAACTGGGTGGAGCCCACCACAGCTCAAGGAGGCCTGCCTGCCTCTGTAGGCTCCACCTCTGGGGGCAGGGCACAGACAAACAAAAAGACAGCAGTAACCTCTGCAGACATAAATGTCCCTGTCTGACAGCTTTGAAGAGAGCAGTGGTTCTCCCAGCACGCAGCTGAAGATCTGAGAACGGGCAGACTGCCTCCTCAAGTGGGTCCCTGACCCCTGACCTCCGAGCAGCCTAACAGGGAGGCATCCCCCAGTAGGGGCAGACTGACACCTCACACAGCCGGGTACTCCTCTGAGACAAAACTTCCAGAGGAACAATCAGCAGCATTTGCGGTTCACGAAAATCCGTGGTTCTGCAGACACCGCTGCTGATACCCAGGAAAACAGGGTCTGGACTGGACCTCTAGCAAACTCCAACAGACCTGCAGCTGAGGGTCCTGTCTGTTAGAAGAAAAACTAACAAACAGAAAGAACATCCACACCAAAATCCCATCTGTACATCACCATCATCAAAGACCAAAAGTAGATAAAACCACAAAGATGGGGAAAAAACAGAGCAGAAAACCTGGAAACTCTAAAAAGCAGAGCGCCTCTCCTCCTCCAAAGTAATGCAGTTCCTCACCAGCAACGGAACAAAGCTGGGCGGAGAATGACTTTGACGAGTTGAGAGAAGAAGCCTTCAGACGATCAAACAACTTCGAGCTACAGGAGGAAATTCAAACCAAAGGCAAAGAAGTTGAAAACTTTGAAAAAAATTTAGACAAATGTATAACTAGAATAACCAATACAGAGAAGTGCTTAAAAGAGCTGATGGAGCTGAAAACCAAGGCTCGAGAACTACATGAAGAATGCAGAAGCCTCAGGAGCTGATGCGATCAACTGGAAGAAACGGTATCAGCGATGGAAGATGAAATGAATGAAATGAAGCGAGAAGGGAAGTTTAGAGAAAAAAAATAAAAAGAAATGAATAAAGCCTCCAAGAAATATGGGACTATGTGAAAAACCAAGTCTACGTCTGATTGGTGTACCTGAAAGTGACGGGGAGAATGGAACCAAGTTGCAAAACACTCTGCAGGATATTATCCAGGAGAACTTCTCCAATCTAGGAAGGCAGGCCAACATTCAGATTCAGGAAATACAGAGAATGCCACAAAGATACTCCTCGAGAAGAGCAACTCCAAGACACATAATTGTCAGATTCACCAAAGTTGAAATGAAGGAAAAAATGTTAAGGGCAGCCAGAGAGAAACGTCGGGTTACCCACAAAGGGAAGCACATCAGACTAACAGCGGATCTCTTGGCAGAAACTCTACAAGCCAGAAGAGAGTGGGGGCCAATATTCAACATTCTTAAAGAAAACAATTTTCAACCCAGAATTTCATATCCAGCCAAACTAAGCTTCATAAGTGAAGGAGAAATAAAATACTTTACAGACAAGCAAATGCTGAGAGATTTTGTCACCACCAGGCCTGCCCTAAAAGAGCTCCTGAAGGAAGCACTAAACATGGAAAGGAACAAGCGGTACCAGCCACTGCAAAAACATGCCAAATTGTAAAGACCATCAAGGCTAGGAAGAAACTGCATCAACTAACGAGCAAAATAACCAGCTAACATCATCATGACAGGATCAAATTCACACATCACAATACTAACCTTAAATGTAAATGGGCTAAATGCTCCAATTAAAAGGCACAGACTGGCAAATTGGATAAAGAGTCAAACCCATCAGTGTGCTGTATTCAGGAAACCCATTTCATGTGCAGAGACACACATTGGCTCAAAATAAAGGGATGGAGGAAGATCTACCAAGCAAATGGAAAACAAGAAAAGGCAGAGGTTGCAATTCTAGTCTCTGATAAAACAGACTTTAAACCAACAAAGATCAAAAGAGACAAAGAAGGCCATTACATAATGGTAAAGGGATCAATTCAACAATAAGAACTTACTCTCCTAAATATGTATGCACCCAATACAGCAACACCCAGATTCATAAAGCAAGTCCTTAGAGACCTACAAAGAGACTTAGACTTGCACACAATAATAATGGGATACTTTAACACCCCACTGTCAACATTAGACAGATCAATGAGACAGAAAGTTAACAAGGATATCCAGGAATTGAACTCAGCTCTGCACCAAGTGGACCTAATAGACATCTACAGAACTCTCCACCCCAAATCAACAGAATATACATTCTTTTCAGCACCACACCACACCTATTCCAAAATTGACCACATAGTTGGAAGTAAAACACTCCTCAGCAAATGTAAAAGAACAGAAATATAACAAACTGTCTCTCAGACCACAGTGCAATCAAACTAGAACTCAGGATTGAGAAACTCACTCAAAACCGCTCAACTACATGGAAACTGAACAACCTGCTCCTGAATGACTACTGGGTGCATAACGGAAATGAAGACAGAAATAAAGATGTTCTTTGAATCCAACGAGAACAAAGACAAAACATACCAGAATCTCTGGGACACATTTAAAGCAGTGTGTAGAGGGAAATTTATAGCACTAAATGCCCACAAGAGAAAGCAGGAAAGATCTAAAATTGACACCCTGACATCACAATTAAAAGAACTAGAGAAGCAAGAGCAAACACATTCAAAAGCTAGCAGAAGGCAAGAAATAACTAAGATCAGAGCAGAACTGAAGGAAATATAGACACAAAAAACCCTTCAAAAAATCAATGAATCCAGGAGCTGGTTTTTTAAAAAGATCAACAAAATTGATAGACCGCTAGCAAGACTAATTAAGAAGAAAAGAGAGAAGAATCAAATAGACGCAATAAAAAATGACAAAGGGGATATCACCAATGAGCCCACAGAAATACAAACTACCATCAGAGAATACTATAAACACCTGTACGCAAATAAACTAGAAAATCTAGAAGAAATGGATAAATTCCTCGACACATACGCTCTCCCAAGACTAAACCAGGAAGAAGTTGAATCTCTGAATAGACCAATAACAGGATCTGAAATTGAGGCAATAATTAATAGCTTACCAACCAAAAAAAGTCCAGGACAAGATGGATTCACAGCCAAATTCTACCAGAGGTACAAGGAGGAGCTGGTACCATTCCTTCTGAAACTATTCCAATCAATAGAAAAAGAGGGAATCCTCCCTAACTCATTTTATGAGGCCAGCATCATCCTGATACCAAAGCCTGGCAGAGACACCACAAAAAAAGAGAATTTTAGACCAATATCCTTGAGGAACACTGATGCAAAAATCCTCAATAAAATACTGGGAAACCAAATCCAGCAGCACATCAAAAAGCTTATCCACCATGATCAAGTGGGCTTCATCCCTGGGATGCAAGTCTGGTTCAACATATGAAAATCAATAAACATAATCCAGCATATAAACAGAACCAAAGACAAAAACCACATGATTATCTCAATAGATGCAGAAAAGGCTTTTGACAAAATTCAACAACCCTTCATGCTAAAAACTCTCAATAAGTTAGGTATTAATGGGACATATCTCAAAATAATAAGAGCTATCTATGACAAACCCACAGTCAATATCATACTGAATGGGCAAAAACTGGAAACATTCTCTTTGAAAACTGGCACAAGACAGGGATGCCCTCTCTCACCACTCCTATTCAACGTAGTGTTGGAAATTCTGGCCAGGGCAATCAGGCAGGAGAAGGAAATAAAGGGTATTCAATTAGGAAAGAGGAAGTCAAATTGTCTCTGTTTGCAGATGACATGATTGTATAACTAGAAAACCTCATTGTCTCAGCCCAAAATCTCCTTAAGCTGATAAGCAACTTCAGCAATGTCTCAGGATACAAAATCAATGTGCAGAAATCACAAGCATTCTTATACACCAATAACAGACAAACAGAGAGCCAAATCATGACTGAACTCCCATTCACAATTGCTTCAAAGAGAATAAAATACCTAGGAATACAACTTACAAGGGATGTGAAGGACCTCTTCAAGGAGAACTACAAACCACTGCTCAGCAAAATAGAAGAGGATACAAACAAATGGAAGAACATTCCATGCTCATGGGTAGGAAGAATCAATATCGTGAAAATGGCCATACTGCCCAAGGTAATTTATAGATTCAATGCCATCCCCATCAAGCTACCAATGACTTTCTTCACAGAATTGGAAAAAACTACTTTAAAGTTCATATGGAACCAAAAAAGAGCCCACATCGCCAAGTCAATCCTAAGCCAAAAGAACAAAGCTGGAGGCATTATGCCCCCGACTTCAAACTATACTACAAGGCTACAGTAACCAAAACAGCATGGTACTGGTACCAAAACAGAGATATAGACCAATGGAACAGAACAGAGCCCTCAGAAATAATGCCACATATCTACAACTATCTGATCTTTGACAAACCTGACAAAAACAAGCAATGGGGAAAGGATTCCCTATTTAATAAATGGTGCTGGGAAAACTGGCTAGCCATATGTAGAAAGTTGAAACTGGATCCCTTCCTTACACCTTATACAAAAATTAATTCAAGATGGATTAAAGACTTAAACGTTAGACCTAAAACCATAAAAACCCTAGAAGAAAACCTAGGCAATACCATTCAGGACATAGGCATGGGCAAGGACTTCATGACTAAAACACCAAAAGCAATGGCAACAAAAGCCAAACTTGACAAATGGGATCTAATTAAACTAAAGAGCTTCTGCACAGCAAAAGAAACTACCATCAGAGTGAACAGGCCACCTACAGAATGGGAGAAAATTTTTGCAATCTACTCATCTGACAAAAGGCTAATATCCAGAATCTACAAAGAACTCAAACAAATTTACAAGAAAAAAACAAACAACCCCATCAAAAAGTGGGCAAAGGATATGAACAGACACTTCTCAAAAGAAGACATTTATGCAGCCAAAAAACACACGAAAAAATGCTCATCATCACTGGCTATCAGTGAAATGCAAATCAAAACCACAATGAGATACCAGCTCACACCAGTTAATGGCAATCATTAAAAAGTCAGGAAACAACAGGTGCTGGAGAGGATGTGGAAAAATAGGAACACTTTTACATTGTTGGTGGGACTGTAAACTAGTTCAATCATTGTGGAAGTCAGTGTGGCGATTCCTCAGGGATCTAGAACTAGAAATACCATTTGATCCAGCCATCCCATTACTGGGTATATACCCAAAGGATTATAAATCATGCTGCTATAAAGACATATGCACACGTATGTTTATTGTGGCACTATTCACAATAGCAAAGACTTGGAACAAACCCAAGTGTCCAACAATGATAGACTGGATTAAGAAAATGTGGCACATATACACCATGGAATACTATGCAGCCATAAAAAATGATGAGTTCATGTCCTTTGTAGGGACATGGATGAAGCTGGAAACCATCATTCTCAGCAAACTATTGCAAGGATGAAAAACCAAACACCGCATGTTCTCACTCATAAGTGGGAATTGAACAATGAGAACACATGGACACAGGAAGGGGAACATCACACACTGGGGCCTGTTGTGGGGTGGAGCAAGGGGGGAGGGATAGCATTAGGAGATACACCTAATGTTAAATGACGAGTTAATGGTTGCAGCACACCAACATGGCACATGTATACATATGTAACAAACCTGCACGTTGTGCACATGTACCCTAAAACTTAAAGTATAAAAAAAAAAAGTCAGGAAACAACAGGTGCTGGAGAGGATGTGGAGAAATTGAACATTTTTACACTGTTGGTGGGACTGTAAACTAGTTCAACCATTGTGGAAGTCAGTGTGGTGATTCCTGAGGGATCTAGAACTAGAAATACCATTTGACCCAGCCATCCTATTACTGGGTATATACCCAAAGGATTATAAATCATGCTGCTATAAAGACACATGCACACGTATGTTTATTGTGGCACTATTCACAGTAGCAAAGACTTGGAACAAACCCAAATGTCTATCAATGATAGACTGGATTAGGAAAATGTGGCACATATACACCATGGAATACTATGCAGCCATAAAAAAGGATGAGTTCATGTCCTTTGTAGGGACATGGATGAAGCTGGAAACCATCATTCTCAGCAAACAATTGCAAGGACAAAAAACCAAATACCGCATGTTCTCACTCATAGGTGGGAATTGAACAATGAGAACACTTGGACACAGGAAGGGGAACATCACACACTGGGGCCTGTTGTGAGGTGGGGGTAGGGGGGAGGGATAGCATTAGGAGATATGCCTAATATAAATGACGAGTTAATGGGTGCAGCACACCAACATGGCGCATGTATACATATGTAACAAACCTGCACGTTGTGCACATGTACCCTAAAACTTAAAGTATAATAATAAAAAAAAAAGGGAAAACATGAGAAAGGCAGGGACTATAGTTATGTCAACAGGGACAAACACTGCAGTTTTAGTCAAATACATGCCATCTTTGTAGTAGATTTTGACAGGTAAATTCTAAATTATTTTCTTCTTGATAAGTAAATGTGATGCTTAATGACATGGCAGCTGTTAGTATCTTACGCCATTTATTAAAGGTCTACTAAATCCTTTCAAGGCATGTGAGCCAGTGCTCCTGAGAAAAGCAGTGACATACATGCTTTCTCCTGATGTCTCCAAGTATGTAAAATTCATTAAAGCTATTCCTGAACAATATAAAGGAAGTTCCCTCAGTAAGATAAATCTTCCCAATCTTTTGCCCCAGGAGAGAATGTGGATTATAGAAAAATAGTGGGTGTGAGTAAAGTGGGAAATTATTTGGGTAATGAGAATATATTTTTTTCTTTGGGGCAAGGAAGCAAATCATGAAAAGAAGATTGGAATACAGAAATATGATACTAGTATACATGGTAAATTCTTGAGAAAGAGGCTGATGAAACAAAATTTTAAAACGCAGAAACAAGAATACAAGATTTAGAACAAAGTTTATGAAAAAAGTGTAAAAAAATACATTCTTGTTCAGAATATATAAAGAACTCTTACAAATCAACAACAAAAAGGCAATCAATTAAAACATGGTCAAAGGATAACGACCAGGTTTTTCATCTAAGAACATAGACAATGGCCAGTAACCACATGAAAAGATGGTCAACATCAAAGGGAAAGGCAAATCAAAACCACAAAGAGGTACCACTTCACACCACTAGAATGCCTATAATAAAAAAGATGAAAAATAAATACTGGAAAAGATGTGAAGAAATTGGAACCCTCATACACTGCCAGTGGAAATGTAAAATTGTACAGCTGTGTTGAATAACAGCCTGATAGTTCCTTGAGATTAAACACAGTTACTATTTGATCTCGATTCCCACTTGAGTATTTACCCAAGAGGAACATATGTCCACATATGTGTCCACAGTACATCATTCATAATAGTTAAAACCTGGAAACAATACAAATGTCCATCAACTATTAAATAAAATGTGGTATTTCTCAGCAATAGCAAATTAATTGCAAATAAGAGGAAATAAACTACTGATACATGCTGTACGATATAGATGAGCCTTGAAAACATTATGCTAAGTGAAATAACCCAGACACAAAAAGCCAATGTTTTATGATTTCACTTATATAATATACCCGGCATAGATAAATTCACAGAGACAGAAAGTAGAATACAGGTTACTAGGGATGAAGAGAAGGATTATGGGAAGATATTTAATGGGTACAGAGTTTCTATTAGGGATGATGAAAAAATTCTAGAAATGGATAGTAGTGATTGTTGTATGACATTGTAAATGTACTTAATGCCACTGAACTATGGAGTTAAAAATTGTTAAAATGCTAAATTTTATGTTATGTATATTTCACCAGAACTTTTAAAAAGAATTGACAAAGTTTAGAGCATTTTAAACATAATACAAGATTTGAACTAAAAAATTCAAGAAAAAACTACATTTAAAAATTATTTTAAATTAAATACCAACTTAACCTTCTCCCCCAAATCAATTAATCTTATAATTATATTAACAACATAAAAACCATATGATTATGTATTAGATGCAGAAAAAGCATTTGAGAAAATTGAACACTTTTCATTAACAAAATAATCTCAGCAAACTGGAGATACAAGAGAATCTCCTCGACATGTCAAAGGGCATCTTTAAAATACCTAATGCTAACATTCTATGTAATGATGAAAGACTGAATGCTTTCCCCTAAGATCGAGAAGGCATGTCAGCTCTTACCACTTCTATTCAACACTGTACTGCAATTTCGAGCCACTGTAATCACTTTTTAAAAGGGAGTTGGGAGAAGGAAGAAAGGAAGGAAGAAAAAAGGAAGAAAGAAGGGAGGAAGGAAGAAATGGAGGAAAACGAAAGGCATCTAGACTGAAAAGAAATAGGTGAAACTATCTTTATTCACAGACATAATCATCTATGTGGAAAACCAAGTGAAACCAATTACAACGTTACTGGCACCAATGAGTTTTGCCACATTGTAGGATACATGATCAATATATAAAAACCAATTGTAATTCTATATGTTAGAAATAAACTGCTAGGAATTGAAATTTTAAAAATAATACTATTTATAATAGCATTAAAATATAAAATTCTTGGGAATATATCTGACACTATGCAAAATATCTGTACAATGATAACTAAAAAGTAAGAAGATCTAAGAAAATACCTTATTCATGAGTTGAGAGACTCATCATTGTTAAGATGTTCATTCTTTCTCATGACATAATGCAATCACAGTTCAAATCCAAGCGGGTATTTTGTAGAAATTGACAATTGATTTTAAGACTTTCATGGCATGTAGATGACACAGAAATGCGCAGTAACTCTGAAAAAAACAAAAGAATAAATTTAGAGGAAAAATACAACCCAGTTTGAAGAATTATTACAAAGCTACAAAAATCATAACAGTGTGATTTTGGCATAAAGATATAGAGATCAGTAGAACAGAACAGAGTCCAGAAACCAAGTATACATAAAACACATACACACTCTCTCTCTCTCTCTTAAAATATGACTGGTCAAGTGACTGCTTATGAACTGTAATTGCTTGATACATGAGTCTAGCATCTCTTGGCCTTAAATCACTACCATAACCTTGAGAAGCTGATGATGCCTTTGTTTTCTGAGAACAGTTTCAGTGTGGAAGCTGACAGTTCCGTAGAGATGGAACAAGTGTAGAGCCAGAAAAAAAAGGGATACACATAGACTTCTTAAGACTTTTTTTAAAGCTATGGAAGATGATAAACTAATGAGGCATAAGTATACTTTTCATTATGAATGTTTATGTTTTCACATCTTTCAGTAATGTGTACAAGAAAAAGTATTTAATGTGGTATTTGTTAACCAAGCAACCCACTCACTATTTATATTTATTTCAGAAATCCATGATTTAAATTTAATTCATAATTTTTGGCAACATACCTTCAGCTACTTCTACAGTTATGTTTCCTTGTACACCTGCTGCATCTGAAACAGTCAAATATTATTAATAATGTTTAAGTTAAACAAGAGACATTATCATGTCGCCCTATTGTATGTTAAGGAGGGTTGATCAACACTAACTTGAAAATCTGAAATCCAAAATGCTGTACAATTTGAAACTTTTTGAGCACACGCATGATACCACAACAGGAAAGGTCCACACCTGACCTCATGTGACAGGCTGTGGTGGAAACACAGTTAAAACTTTGTTACATGCAAAACATTTTTGTAAATCATTGTACAGGCCAGATGTGATGACTCATGCCTGTAACCCCAGCACTTTGGGAGGCTGAGGCAAGTGGATCACCTGAGGTCAGGAGTTCAAGACCAGCCTGGCCAGCATGGTGAAACCATCTCTACTAAAAATACAAAAATTAGCCTGGTGTGGCTGCACGCACCTGTAGTCCCAGCTACTTGGGAGGCTGGGGCAGGAGGATTGCTTGAACCTGGGAGGCAGAGGTTGCAGTGAGCTGAGATCACACCACTTCACTCCAGTCTGGGTGACAGATCAAGACTCTGTGCCCCACTGCACCCCCCAACCCTGGGCAAAAAAACAAAAACAAAAACAAAAAAAGGTAAAACATTGTGTAGAATTATCTTCAGGCTATATGCATAAGGTATATATGAAACATAAATGTATTTCACGTTTACTCTTGGGTACCATCCCTAAGGTATTTCATTAGGTGTATACAAATATTCCAAAATCTGAAAAAATCCACTTTTGGTCCTCCCAAACATTTTGGACAAGGGATATTCTAGAAAAATAAAATTCCTTTTCAGTGTGACAGAAAATAAGAGATTGACTTACTGAACTTGAACCTACCAAAATTTTCTGAAGCTGCTCAATTTTGTCCACTCGGTTTTTCATTCTAATTTTTAACATGGCATTTTCTATTTTAAGCCTAAAATATATATTTTAAAATAATTATTCTCAGATATAATTTTTTTAAATCATATAAATTCTGAACAAACATCTGAAGGAATAATTATATAAATTCTGAGACATTTGAAAAGTAGAAAATTGAGAAACCATTGTTATTTTTCTACCTTTGTTTTGTGGATGATGTATAAAATTAAAAATAATGTAGAAAATTTATGCATTTCAAAATAGCCTAAAGCTGAATTTTTTCCTTGGCTTCACATAGACATACTTATTATCTTAACTGATACAATTCTCCTACTACACTACTCATGTGCTTTGTAAATACTCAAGATATTTTGTATGTTGCTTTAAATTGTACTTTTGCATGTGGTCTGGCATCTCCTCAGCACATCTTAGAGTCTCTGTGCGTTGATCCTGCATTTCTTGCAACTAAAACAAAGAATTAAAAACAACCTTTAGGTGTGGAAATAACCCAAATGCCCATCAATAGGTGAATGAATGAACAAAATATGGTTATATATAAAATACTGGTTTTAGACTATCACAATCTATTTTATTAAAAAATGATAATCTAGGACAAATCGACCTATTACCTTTTTTTTTTATTTTTGAGACAGAGTCTTGCTCTGTCGCCCAGGCTGGAGTGCAGTGGCACCATCTCGGCTCACCGCAAGCTCCGCCTCCCGGGTTCACACCATTCTGCCTCAGCCTCCCGAGTAGCTGGGACTACAGGCGCCTGCCACCACGCCTGGCTAATTTTTTGTGTTTTTAGTAGAGACGGGGTTTCACCGTGTTACCCAGGATGGCCTCGATCTCCTGACCTCGTGATCCGTCCATCTTGGCCTCCCAAAGTGTTGGGATTACAGGCGTGAGCCACCGCTCCCGGCCCCTATACTGTTTTTTAACTAAATTTTACTGGAATGCAGCCACACCCCTTCAGTCTGCATATTGTTTACGGCTACTTTTGTGCTGTAACTGTAGTGTTGAGTTGTTGCAACAGGGATCTTATGGCTCACAAAGTCTCACATACTACTACTTGGCCCTTTACAGAAATGTTTACTGCCTATGCTCTAGGATTAAAACACAATATTTTTCTTTTTTAATTTATATTTTATCAGATACTCAAATTTACAAAATTGGTAAAATGGGGAAACATAGGAAATTATAGTAAGCATTTATATTTTTCAATTCCAAACACCACTATATCAACTATAATTTCATTTATTTTTTGTCTGTATGCATTTAATTTTTGTTGTAGCAAGAAAACTTGCACTTTTTTTTTTAAGACGGAGTCTTGCTCAGCCACCCAGGCTGGAGGGCAGTGGCACCATCTTGGCTCACTGCAACCTCCAACCCCCAGGTTCAAGTGATTCTCCTGCCTCAGCCTCCCGAGTAGCTGGGACTACAGGCGTGTGCCACCACCATGCCCAGCTAATTTTTGTATCTTTTTTAGTAGAGATGGGGTTTCACCATGTTGGCCAGGATGTTCTCAAACTCCTAACCTCAGGTGATCCACCCGCTTCAGCCTCCCAAAGTGCTTGGATTACAGGCATGAGCCACCGCACCCGACCCATTTTTAACATTTGAAACTAAGCATCATCTTTCCTTTCCAGGTAAACCACAAGAACATTTTAAAATACACAGAAAAATAATTAAAATAGATAGATTCTCCTATAGAGTGGCAGGGCTCACGTCATCATTAGGAGAGAATTTATTTAAAAGTGTCATCTTAAAATGCAGGGATGTCCATTGACATGCCAGAGGAGAAGCCACGTGATCAAAATGCCCACTTGACCCACCCAAACATCTCAAACCTAGCCTTTGCTGACCTTCTATAACCCCATTTGTAAAGTTTTTTGTTTTTGTTTTAAACAAGAGAAAGTAGACACATACATGTTGGCAAATGCTAACTGTCCATAGTCATATGACTATGACTATAGCCCGATATAAAGTCAGAGTAAGGATTTTCATCAAAATATTAATTCTGCAGAATGGCCTTTCTGTACCAGTTAACCAGAAACCCATGAAATAAGTAAGCATAAGTCTTTATTCACACAGAAAAGTAGAGATTAAAAAAAGAAAATTTTCTGAAACATTCCATTAGACATTATCCTCTGAATTAATCTGGCTTGTCTCCACGTGGCAATGAAAGAAATCACTAAAAATATACTGTAAAAAGAAAAAAGAATTCTCTAATCTTCTGTGAGAAATGATGTGTAATTCTCAACTTTCATAAGGGGAAATAGTGTAAGAAAAATATTTATAATTATAAAACATGGCAGAGATTGAGAAATGGGTGTATTATAAAGATAATCAAATTTTAATAAAATTATAATGAAAATACAAAAGAAAGCTCTCCACTGAAACTAGTGTCCTGAAACACTTGATATTATTTAACCAGCTACAGAGTAACTGTTGACATGCTAAGTTTCATACATACTTGACTTCTCCTCTGGCCTAATTTCTTTTTTGAACTTCGTGTCTCATCTTCTAAATTAACACGACGTTGTGATGAAATCTCTAGCCTAGCTTCTGACAGCAAATGTTTGTTCAGGGCATCACCCACTTCTCGTTGAAGCTATCTCACGACTACCTGGTAAGATGTTATTTTTGTTACTGATTTTACATATAACCTTATTATTAAATTTTGTTAATAATATTTAACTCTAATATATACACTTTGAAAAATACCACCACACACTGATTCTTCTCCTCCTCCTCATGTGTACACATTCCTGTTTATTACTGAATCCAGTTAAGGATAAAGAAGGCGTTATCTTTGTGCCACACTGGTGCTGTGTTACTCATACAACACATTCAGTGCACTGATGAATGTGCAATGCTTAAAAACCTTCTGAAGTCTCAAAAAGAAACAGGTATGTGGGTGGGACTGGTGGCAGTGAATTTTACACTGCAATGTTTTCCCTCTTTTTTATAAGAAGAAGCTCAAATCAACCTCAGAGTTCCTCACATATTCAGTCACCAGCTCAAATCCTTCCAATAGATTTCCATCTCAGAAGAAAACTAACATTCCAATGGCCTTAGAGGCTCTAGTTAACCTGGCTTCCACTTCCCTCCCTGACCCCAGCTGCTATGTCTCTCTTCCCTACTCCCACCGTTCCTACCACCCCTCATTAGTCTAAAAATGAGGATCCGATGTGAAACTAATAAATCACAGACAGCTAAGCTGATCTTTGTACTGGACAACCTTATATCCAAATGAGTCATTGAGCCTTGAAATAAAAATTATGACCATATTTTTGACTGAAAAATTGAAAGTAAGTTATAAATGCCAGTGGGAAGATTAAATCAAATATGGTTTGGGTAACATTTACCACATTTTCCCCATATTATAATGTAAGAAAGATGTCTTTAAAGAATGGAATGGTTGTATCAATATATAATTTGAGACTGAATTATTTTCAGATTTAAGTCAAATTGACATGAATTAAAAAAAATTATACCAACTAAGATACATTAAAAGCTATTGAGGAAGAATAATTATAAAATAGGAAATACACTTTAGTTCATCTGTTCATCTGGGAAATCTGGAATTAACTGTCAAAGTAATCTAATTAATTGAATCTATTTCAAAATAACACTTTAGGTATGAATATTTCTTTATATCTGCTTTATCATAATCCTAAAATGTGGCAACATACAGACATTAAAATTATTTCAGCACTGTAAGACTACATTATAAATGTTAGTCTATATTAACATTTTGTAACTGAAACGTTTAAAATTTCCTAAGTGTCACATTGTCTTTACTCAAAGGAAAGCATCTCCTAGCTCTAACTTTTATTTGCTGGAAACAAATTCAGTTTCTAAGGTGATATAGCAGAACCGTTTATCATGTATATATTTTGATATTCAACTAGATTCAGTGTTTAGCCATAACCAAATATACTTTAAATTTTACTTCAGGAAGTTTGAAAAATACTTATTTTTCTTGATACTTACTTCTCCTTTTTCTTTCTCTTTTTCATATTGGCATTGTCTTTCTTTTAAAAGAGTGCATTCCTTCATCAACCCCTTATTGTTCTCTTCTAGCTTTCTACACTCAGCTTGAAGTTTTTCTACAGTATCTTCACATTTGACTTGGATATTAATTATTGTTTTTTCCTGATTGTCAGCTTTCTTGTGAGCATCATTACATTGCTGTTGATACAACAGATTTTGGCTTTGTAGTTGAAATAGTCCATCCTCTATAGACTGCTGCTTTCTCACATATTTTTCCAAAATAGGTTGGTCATTTTGGTACATGTGTTCAATGTCCTTCAATGGACACTGTGTTCGGCTTAGGACTCCTTGCATGTGTTCTATACCCAACGTCTTTTCTTTGAGAGCCTCTCTTTCATAACGGAGCTCAGTTTCCAGGCCACTGGATGTACTCTCAGCTTTAGAAAGTTGCTGAGAAAGAATCTGAATGTGAGAATTAGTATTTTCTTGTAAATGACACCATTCATTCACTGTGCTCTGGAAAGCAAGCTGTAGGTCTCTTTTCAATGACTGACATTGATCATGATCACATAGGGCAGCAGCCAGTCTACAACGGTATGATTCCATTTCTGTTTCCAGTCTTGGGGTGCTTTGTTTTTCCTTCTCTAGCTCAAAATTGAGCATTGTATTCTCATCCATCAGAACATTAAGCTCTTTACTATACCAGGTTATTGTTTTTGTTAATGTTTCCTCATTCAGCTTTAGAGTCTTTTCAAGGTCTTCATTGTTTTCCTTTATAATTTCAATATCTTTGAAATATTTATTTTCAGTTTCCCGGTTCTGATGTTTTATTGTGTCTATTTCCAGCCTGAGTCTGGCAATTTCATCCCGCATCAAGTGATTTTCCTGCCACAGGTCTCTTTCTTTTTCATGAGTATGAGAAGTCTAAATAAAACAAAGAAAACTTTCAAGTAGCACCCAATAAAATGACATACTATGATTTCTTCTGAAACTAAATAAGTAATAACCTGTACATTTATATAATGAAAGAGTTGCTATCTGGATATCCAACTGGAAAAAAAAAGTTGAATCAAAACCTCAAACCTTTTAGAGCATAAATTCTCAAAAGTTCAAAAACGTATTTGAAGACAATGAATCTATGAAAGCCAAAAAAAAAAAAAAAAAAGAAACCACTAGAAATTCTTTAAGAATCTGATTTTTTTAAAAAAGGCTTTTACTGAATTTCAACAAACCCAAAAACATAAATGATTAATAACTATGACTACATTTAGAAACTGGGCTTACACACTAACATCTAACCTTTACTTTCCCTATAGTAAGAGCCTTAGCTCTGCAGATATCTGGACAGATAAAATTTTCCAAATTCCTTAAGTTTCTTTTTCCTGTGAATATTTTATAGATAATTCTACTTTTCTTACATTTTTAGAGGCAGTTTTAACAATGACATGTATTGATAAATGACAGATCTAGGCATTGTACTAAGCACTTTGGTATGCATACATCAATAAATTCATTTAGTTATCACAATTCTGCAGGGAAAGGTTAAAAATAGAAGCAAGCTGCTGGGTTTTTCCTAGGTCCTCTGACTGCTTCTAGTGCTCCTCCACCAGATCACAGTTACTTCCATGGGGTAGATATACCAATACAATAGAAAACTTTTCTTTCAAAACACCAAAGAAGATAAAATTTATAAAGCTCTTCTTAGGAAATCCTGAGATTATGTACTATTATGATAACTTTTATTTCCTTTTCACAATGTTTGAGACCATAATTAATGCAAAATAGGGAAAACTACACTGAACTATATCACTAGGAACAAATTACTTACCGACAAAATATCACTAAGTATATATATTATGGGATATCATTGTTTTCCAAAGGTCTTTGAGCTGAAATAAAATATAACTTTGAAGCCAAGATTTATAATAAATAATTGTAGCTATAAGTATCATTTATTTTTAAGATGAAATAAAATTTGTGGTTTGTTTTAGAACTAAGTCAAAGGGATATTCTAAGTAATATTAATAAAATAAAATTAGAAATGTAAAATTTTACCAAACATTAATTTACCTGATTTGAGTTACTTCTTACAGTCTTCAATTCCACTTCCAATGATTTGAGAGTCAGTTTAGATTGTTTTTTCACTTCAGTTTGTGTCCTATATTGCTCTTCCATTATTTTTAACTCTTCTGTATCTTTTTCATACAACTCTTCAGCCTTTATTCTTTCTTCTTCTTGTTGTTGTAAGATAAATCTGTAGTTAAATATACTTATCTTAAAATCCTTTAAAAACAAAACACTCATATGCTGGTTTATTATCCTAATAAAGTGCCCATGTTCTTGAATATTTTTTCTTTCTAGTTTTCATATTAATTTGTCACTTCGGTGTCTTCCAAAGAAGACATATAAATTGAAAGGTAGTAAGGAATGAACATCCTGCTAATTGATTAGCTTCTGTTACTAGTAATTCTAGTAAATATTATGGAAAAGGATGTTGAAAATTATTAGGTAAAGTTACAAGTTAAAAATTACCTTTTCTTTTTTTTTTTTTTTTTTTTTTTTTTGAGACGGAGTCTCGCTCTGTCGCCCAGGCTGGAGTGCAGTGGCGCAATCTCGGCTCACTGCAAGCTCCGCCTCCCGGGTTCACGCCATTCTCCTGCCTCAGCCTCCCAAGTAGCTGGGACTACAGGCGCCCGCCACTACGCCCGGCTAATTTTTTGTATTTTTAGTAGAGACGGGGTTTCACCGTTTTAGCCGGGATGGTCTCGATCTCCTGACCTCGTGATCCGCCCGCCTCGGCCTCCCAAAGTGCTGGGATTACAGGCGTGAGCCACCACGCCCGGCCAAAAATTACCTTTTCTTCACACAGTAATAATTACTCCTCAGTCAGGATGAATCATTTAGAGTTAGCTAATTTTAAAAAAGTTATTTTTTATAAACAAGTTGATACCTTCACTAGAAATAAATTTTCATCTTCATGAAATACTGCAGGTATCCCTAAACATGATTTACATTGTAAGATAGCACCTTCAGATGCTCTCCAGATGACGATAATCCAAGACTAAGCTAAGGAATCTAAGATGTTACCCCATACGTTTTATGTTTCTTTTTCTGGTAACACTTTTGACTTATTCTGTTGATTAGTATGTATTTTACAAACAATTTTAAAATCCATTCTCAAACAAGACAAGATCTAATATTTAAACAATAAAGAATAATATCTGCCTTCCGCATAGAAGTTTGAATTAAACTCTGTAGCAGAGACAGATGTTCACTAATCAGTAATCACTTTCCATTTTACTTTTCATTCGCTGCATATTAAGAGTAAAACTGGGCCAGGCGTGATTGCTCACACTGTAATCCCAGAACTACGGGAGGCCAAAGCCAGCAGATAACTTGCGGTCAGGAGTTTGAGACCAGTCTGGCCAAAATGGCAAAACCTCATCTCTACTTAAAAAAAAAAAAAAGAAATTAGAAAGGCATGGGGACATGTGCCTGTAATCCCAGCTACTTGGGAGGCTGAGGCACAAGAATCGCTTGAACCCGGAAGCAGAGGCTGCAGTGAGCCGAGATTTCGCTGCTGCACTCCAACCTGGGTGACAGCGCAAGACTGTCTCAAAAGGACAAAAAAAAAAAACAAAAACTGGTTAATTTTAACAATAATCACTCTGGGTGGAGAAAAGTATACATTTCATACTCAAATTATAAATTATAAACTTTCTTAAGAACAACTTAGTAATATTAATCAAAGATCTCTTTTAAAAAGCTCCTATACTCTAACCAGATAGCTCTATTTTGAAAAATTTATCCAAAGAAAAGAAATAGAAATGTAGACAACTATGGATATACAAGATGTTTCTTACAGCATTAATACAAAAAATTAAAACCCGCAATTTCAATTTATTAAATAATGAAATTTCCATAGGGTGGAATTCTATATAGCCATTAAAATAATGATTTAAAGGAATATGCAATTAATTATTAGAGAAGTATTCACCATTAACTTGTGATTTTTTTATCCAAAAATTTCACATTCCACAATTTTAAGAGGTTTTCTTCTCTATTAAACCCTAGAAGGTAAGTCAGCTATTACAAAAATTATCCTATATATCCTTAGTATAAACAGTTCAAATATTTCTTTAAAACTAGAATGTGATACCTCAACTTACAGAGCTTTTTTTTTCCTTTCAAGATTCTGATGCTCTGTGATTTGGTTTTGTCTGTTTCAGATAGTACCTTTTGTAGTATGCTAATATTATTTTTCATTTTTTGAAATTTTACTTTTAAGTCGTTCACAGTAACACTTTTTATCCTCTATTGATCTTTCACATGCAGCTGTTGCATTCTTGATTTTCGATAGGTTAACAAAATCTGTAACCGGGAGAAGACAAAATAGAGATAAAATACATGAGTAGGTTTTTAAATATAAAGGACTATGCATTTCAACATGGCACTCATTCATACACTGAATGAATATGTACATATTAAGTGCTTGCAATGTGGAAAATATTTTAGAAAGCTCTTCATATAAAACAGACAACACATCTGATCTTGTTTAGCTTCAAGTGTAGTAAAGAACACAGACAAAAATGTGACAATTACAAATTCGGATAGATGCTATAAGAATACATAGTTGTTTTAGTCACGTAAGAGAATCTGACCTATATTTGGCTGAGGGAAGATTTCCCTGAGGAAGAGAAGGATACACTGAGAAATAAAAAATGAGAAGGAAGCAGTTGAGCAAAGGAGGAAGCAAAGCACTCTGGCTAGTCTGCTGCACGTGCTGGAGCTCTGCGGCAATCTGCTTCCAGCCAAGAGGGAGCAACGGGTGCTGATTTTCCTCCTTACCTGAAACTACCAAAAACAACACAGACAAAATATATTCAACAATGATTTTCAACACAGTGGACTTCACACAATGAAGATGGTCATCACTAAAAGACAGGAAACAAATGTAGGCCTTTTTGTTGACAGAGCTTCTTTGGTTGACAGAGCTCCCAGGCCATGACAAAGAGAGAAAATCTGACATAGATTCCCTGAGCTGGGGCGGTGACACTAAGAATCCGGTAAAACAAAAGCAGAGAGAAATCACAGGACAGAACACTGGAGAGGAGAAAGCAGCAGAGGAAACAAACTCTGGAGATCTGCAGAGGTCCCCTCTAAAGTATTTAGTGGAATAATGAAAAAAATGGATGTGTGCTAGGAAACTTCCTAAGACCAAGGGGTGGCGAGCGGTGGGGGGGCACGATAGAAAAAGATGAGGAGAAACCAAGTCTGCTGTTCACAAGTGCCCAGAAGAGGGTCCAATCCCAAGAGCCAGGCCCAAAACACTCATACTTCACAGGACAATAAATAATCCGAAAACTCAACTATAATTTTTAAACAATTATTGTTTAAAAAGATCTTTACACTTGGAAATTTTTTTAATTTATGATATAAATCCTGGGTGAAAGGGGCAATAAAAACAGATAGTACAGAATTTCTTTTGAAAATAATGATAATAAATATACTACATATCAGACTCATTGGGATATATATAAAGTGATCCTAGAAAAATTCATAACAGTAAACATTTCTGTCAATAAAAATAAAACAATGAAAATGAATGAAATTCCCAGTTCCAGTTAAATAGAAAAGCACAAAAGGTAAACTAAAAGAAAATTCAAGGAAAGAAGTCATAAAATAGCAAGGATAAAAGCAGAAATCAATAAAGTAGAGAATATAAAAACAGTAAACATAATTAATAAATTGAAATCCTGATTTTTAAAAAAAATCCAGAAAGACAAATCATGAGTTAATTTGATCAAGAAAAAAGATAATAGACATGTATATAAATTAACAAATGACAAAAGAAAATCACTATTTAAAAAGAATTTTTAATATTATAAAAGATTACTGTGAAAATTTTACTTGTACCCTAGAGTATATACAAACAATAAACAAAATTTTAATTTAAAAAAAGACTACTTTGAAGACCTCTATACTATAAATGTGAAAATCTAGATGAAATAGATAAATTTCTAGGAAAATGGAGATTAACAAAATTAACTCCTGTAAATAAAAGACAAATCTTAAGCACACCAATTTACATGGAAGAATTAGAGTAAGTTAGTAGGAATTAAAGAAAGTTACTCCACCAAAAAAAAGAAACAAAAAACAAAATACCAACCCCAAATGATTTCACAAGGAAATTTTCCTAAACTTCCAAAGACCTGATAGTCCCAATGCTCCATAAATTGTTCCAGAGTACTGAAAAGGAGAGAAAACTTCTTAAAGCTTTTAATGAAACCAGTTTTAACACCAATATCTAAACCAGCTCAAGACAGTATTCCCCCGCCACAAAACAAACAAACAAAAAAACAAAACCTACATGGTGGGAGATGGGGAAGATGGTGGAGTAAGAAGCACCAAGTATCTGTCTCCCCACCTAGACAACAATAGCATTGGCAGAATCTGTCTCATGTAGTAAATCAACAGAAACTATCCCTGAGAAAGACCAGATGGTAGCTTTACTAAAGAAAGACTTTAAAACAACTGTCTTAAAAATTCTCAAAGAGCTAAAAGAAGCTGTAGACAAAATCAAGAAAATGATGTATGAACAGAATGGAAATTTCAATAAAGAAATTGAAATCATAAAAAGGAACCAAAAAAGTTCTGGATATTATTGTAATCTTAGTTTGTGGCTTCACTTTTTGTTTTCTACATGATTTAAGAGACTAATGCATTAAAATTTATATATGTCTATGTTTTTGAATACACAATGTATAAAGATGTGATTTTTATGACATCAATAACTGAAAGAGTGTGGGGATAGAGTTGTATAAGAGCAGAGTTTTGTCTGTTACCGAAGTTGAGCTGGTATAAATTCAAAGTAGAGAGTTATAACTTTACGATGTTAAATGTAATCCCCATGGTAACCATAAAGAAAATAGCTATAGAATATACACAAAAGAATGGAAAAGGGAGTTAAAATGTTTCACTACAAAAAAAAAAAAAAATCAACCAAACACAAAGGGTGACAACATGGATGAACCTTGAAGACATTATGCTAAGCAGAATAAGCCAGTCCCAATACGAAAAATGTATAATTCCACTCAAAAGAGGTGCTTAGAGTAGTCTCATCCACAGAGACAGAAAGCAAAATGGCGGTTTCCAGGGGCTGGAGGAAGGGGGAAATGGCGTATCATTGTCTAATGAATAAAGCTTTTCAGTTTTACAAGATGAAAGAAGTTCTGGCAATAGACGGAGTCTCGCTCTGTCGCCCAGGCTGGAGTGCAGTGGCGTGATCTCGGCTCACTGCAAGCTCCGCCTCCCGGGTTCACGCCATTCTCCTGCCTCAGCCTCCCAAGTAGCTGGGACTACAGGCACCTGCCACCACGCCCGGCTAATTTTTTGTATCTTTAGTAGAGACGGGGTTTCACCGTGTGTTAGCCATGCTGGTCTCGATCTCCCGACCTCGTGATAATGTCACTGGATATATACTTAAAAATAGTTAAAAGGATAAATGTTATATGTATATTACTGAAAATTTAAATAAGTAGTGTTAAAATTGCAGACCAAAAATACTTATGAATGTCAAAACCAACGTACTAAATAAAATATAACCAAACAGAATCCAACACCACATTATGAAAATAACAAACCATAGCCAAGTGGGATCAACATTAGGAAATTCCTTCAAATAATATACCGTATCAATATATTTAAAGAAAAAAAAATCAAGAGATTATCTCCATAGATGCTGAAAAAGCCTTCACCAACACCAAAATTCTACAATCACTCTTTACAAAAAAACACTCAAAAATGAGAATCGAGGGATACTTTCATAATATGATAAAATATATGATAATGTGTGTGCATGTGTGTGTGCGTGTGTGTGTGTGCAAGATACTCCACTGCTATTCAACATTGTACTAAAAAGTTTATTAATGGAATTATACAAGAGAAATTAATTGGAGGCACAAAAATTGACAAAGAAGAAAAACAATTCTATTTGCAAATGATACACCATCATACCCAGAAAACCCTAGAGAATCCATGATAAAACTAACTCAATAATAAAAGAATTCAGTAAAGCTATAGGATATGGAATTAACATATACAGATATATATATGTTAGATATATAGATATACGTTATATATATTGATACCAATACCCTTTATATACACAAACAATAAGTAGTTAAAGAACATAATGGAGAAGAAAAAAGTCTCATTTACAATAGCAACAAGGAAGATTCAATACTTGGAATAAACTTAGCAAGAAATATGCAAAACCCAAATGAATAAACCTTAAAACACTTCTAGAAGACAGACAAGTCAGCTTGAATAAGTGGACAAACTTGTTCTTGGATAGGATCATTTAACACCATAAAAATGCTAGTTCTCCCAAAGTTAATGTATAAATTTAATGCAATTCCAATAAAAATACCAACAAACTTCTTATGGAGGTAAACAAGTTGACACTAAAGTCTATACGGAAAAAACAAACATAAATAATAGCCAGGAAAACATTTTAGAATAAAGCTATGCGGAGGTACTAGTCCTACCAGACAATAAAACATACTATAAAGCCTTTAATGACAAAATATTAGAGGTATTTCCTCTAATTAAGACAGTGTGGTAATTAAGACAATGTGGCTTTGGTATATGAATAGCTTACAACAAGTGGAATCAGAAAAAAATTCAGAAATAAGCCCATGCACACATGAAAATTTGATTTATGATTATTATTAAGTTATCTCACATCACTGGGGCAAACATTGACATGTCAATAAATAGTACTGCAACCTATATCACGGATAATGAGCTAATAGTTCCAATATTTAAAATAAAGAATAAGATTAAAACCCAATGGAAAGTAGAAATAATGAACAAATTTAGGGAAGAAAATAGACATCCAGCTTCAAGAAGTCCAAAAGACTCCAACTAGAATTAATTTAAAGAAGTCCACTACAAGATATATTATAATAATTTGTCAGAAGTCAAAGACAAAAACAGAATTTTGAAAGCAGCAAGAGAAAAGCAACTTTTCATATAAAAGGGGGCCACGATGAGACTATTAACAAATTTCTTAGCAGAAACCTTACAAGCCAGAAGGGAGATGGATGATATATTCAAAAGAAAACAATGGGCAGTCAAGAATACTCTCTCTAGCAAAACTGTCTTTCAAAAATGGAAGGGAAATAAAGACTTTCTCATGTGCACAAAAGCTGAAAGAGTTCATCGCCACTATACCTGCCTTATAAGAAATGCTAAAGGGAGTCCATCATGTTGAAATAAAAGAATGCTAGGCAGCAACATCAAAACATATGAAAGGTAAAATTCCTTGTAAAGGTAAATATATAAACAAATATAGGATATTTTAATACTATAATGACAATGTGTAAATCTTGGAATTCTGGTATAGTACTTAAAAGACAAAGTTATAAAAATAACTCACTATAAAAATCAGTTAATGAATACACAACATTAAAAAATATAATTTGTGACATGAATAACATAAAGTGGGGGAGAGGCAGTAAAAAAGTAGAGTTTTTGTGTGCAATTGAAATTAAGTTGTTATAAGCTTAGAATAGACTGTTATAAGTATAGGCTGTTTTAAGTAAGCTTCATGGTAACCACAAAGAAAATATCTATAGAAGATACACAAAAGGAAATGAGAAAGGAATCAAATCTCATCATTACCCAAAAAACATCAATGAAACACAAAGAAGGGCAGTAAGAGTAGAAAAGAGGGACAAAAAAGCTACAAGACTGACTGAAAATAATTACCAAAATGGCAACAGTAAGTCCTTCCCTATCAGTAGTTACTTTAAGTATAAATAGAATAAACTCTCCAATCAAAAGCTATGAAGTGGCTGAAATGAATTTTTAAAAATAAAATAAAACAGCCAGGTGTGGTGGCTCACGTCTGTAATCCCAGCACTTTGGGACGCTGAGGTAGGCAGATCATGAGAGATCAGGAGATCAAGACCATCCTGGCTAACACAGTGAAACCCCGTCTCTACTAAAAATACAAAAAATTAGCCAGGAGTGGTGGCATGCGCTTCTAGTTCCAGCTACTTAGGAGGCTGAGGGAGGAGAATCACTTGAACCCGGGAGGCATAGATTGCAGTGAGCCGAGATCGAGCCATTGCACTCCAGCCTGGGCAACAGAGCCAGACTCCATCTAAATAAATTAAATAAATAAATAAATAAATAAATAAATATAAAACAAGATCCAACTATGTGCTGTCTACAAGAGAGAGACTCACTTTGGATTTAAGAATGCACATAGGTTGAAAGTGAGAAGATGGAAAAAGATATTTCATGCCAATGTTAACTAAAAGAGGTAGCCATACTTAGACAAATTAAACTTTAAGTCAAAGATGGTCACAAGAGACAAAAAAACGGACATTATATAGTGATAAATGCATCAATTCATCAGGAAGATATAATTATAAATACATTGCACCCAACATTAAAGCACACAAATATAAGAAGCAAATGTTGACAGAAGTGATGATAAATATAGAACAACATAATAGTGAGAAATTGTAATATCTCACTTTCAATAATGGATAAAAAATCCAGACAGAAGATCAATAAGGAAACAGATAACTCAAACAACACTATGGCCCAAGTGGACCTATCAAACAAATACAGAATATTCTACCCAACAACAGCAAATTATACATTCTCCTCAAACACACATAGAACAGTCTCCAGAATAGTTCACATGCTAGCCCACAAAACAAATCTTAACAAATTTAAGGAGACTAAAATCATACCAAGTATCTTTTCTGACCACAACGGAATGAGACATTGCTAATAGAAATAATTTCAGAAAGTTCTCAAATATGTGGAAATTAAAAAACACTCTTGAACAACCAATGGGTCAAAGAAGAAATCAAAAGAAAAATCAGAAAATATTTTGAGAAAAACAAAAACTAAAGCACAACATAGCAAAGCTTATGGGAAACAGCAAAAGCAATAAAAGGAAAGTTTACAGCAGTAAATGTCTACAGTAAGAAAGATCTCAAACAACCTAATTTTACAACATAAGGAACTAGAAAATGAATAAACTAAGCCCTAAGTTAGCAGAAGGAAGGAAATTAAGATTTGAGGAAAAATAAATGAAATATAGAATACAAAATATCAATAAAACTTAGAATTGGTTTTTTAAAGGTCAACAAAATTAACAAATCTTTAGCTAGATTAACCAAGACAAAAAAAGACTCAAATAAATAAAATCAGAAATAGAAGAGGTTATATTACAATTGATAGCACAGAAATAAAAAGGCTAGTAAGAGACTACTATGAACAACTACACACTAACAAATTGGATAACCTAAAGAAATGAATAAATCCCTGAAACATACAACCTACCAAGACTGAATGATGAATAAACAGAAAATCTGAACAGCCCCACAATTAGTAAGGAGATCAAATTAATAATCATAATCTCCCAACAAAGAAGAGCTCAGATGCTTTCACTGGATAATTCTACCAAAGATTTAAAGAAGAATTAATGCCAGTCTTTCTCAAACTCTTCCAAAACATTGAAGTGGGAAACCTGAAGCCAGAATTACCCTGATACCAAAGCCAAAGACTTTACGTTAAAGAAAACTACAAGTCAATATTCCTGATGAACATAGATGCAAAAATTCTCAACAAAATGATAGCAAACTGAATTCAACAGCACAATCAAAGGATCATACACTCTGAGTGGGATTTATCCCTCAGATGGGAGAATGGCTCAGCATCTAAAAATCAGTAAATGTGATACACAGCATTAACAGGACAAAGGATAAAAATCATACTGTCATGTCAATAGATGCAGATAAAGCATTTGTCAAAATTCAAACACCATTTCATGATTAAAACATTCAACAAACTAAGAATAGAAGAAAATTACCTCAACAAAATTAAGGCCATTAATGAAAATACCACAGCTAACATCACCTGAATAGTGCAAAACTAAAAGCTTTTCCTCTAATCAGGAAGACAGCAAGGATGCCCACTCTCACCACTTCTATTCAACATAGTACCAGAAGTCTTAGCTAGAGCAATGAATCAAGAAGATATAAACATCACCCAAATCAAAAAAGAAGTAAAATTATCTCAATTTGCAGATGACATAATCTTATGTGTAGAAAACTCTAAAGATTTCACCAAAAATTTGTTAGCAAATTCAGCAAAGTTGAAACAAATTCAGTTGCAGAATACAAAATCAACATAGAAAACCATTTGTTTTTATACACTAACAATGACCTGTCCACATGAAAAAGAATGAAGTTGGACCCTTATCTTATATCATACACAAAGTTAACCCAAAATCAAACTTAAACACTGATACGTAAAACCTGAAATTATAAAACTCCTAAAAGAAAACACAAGAACTTTGCAACATTGGTCTTGGCGACGATTTCTTGGATATCGTTACCAAAAACAAGGCAACAAAAGCAAAAATAGACAAGTGGGACTACATCAAACCAAAAAGCTTCTGTGCAGCCAAAGAAACAATCAACAGAATAAAAAGGCAGCCTACAGAATGGAAGAAAATATTTGCAAACCGTACATTTGATAAAAGGTTAATATCCAAAATATATTAGGAACTCACACAACTCAATAGCAAAAAAAAAAAAAATGCAAATAACCCAATTTAAAAATGAGCAAAGGACTTGAAAAGACATTCCTCCAAAGAGACATCTAAAAAGTCAATTATATGAAAAAATATCCAACATTACTGATCATCAGGGAAATGCAAATCAAAACCATAATGAGGTATTACCTCATACGTGCTAGAATGGCCATTATCAAACACACACACACACACACACACACACACACACACCAGGAAATACCAAGTGTTAACAAGAATGTGAAGAAACTGAAACCCTTGTGCATTGATGGTAGGAATGTAAAGTGGTGTAGCCACTACAGAAAACGGTAAGAAGGTTCCTCAGAAAATTAAAACTGGTATTAGCATATGACCCCGCAATCCCACTTCTGGGTATTCATCCAAAAGCATTGAAATCAGGATCTCAAAAAGATACTTACACTTCCACGTTCACTGCAACATTATTCACAATAGCCAAGAGTTAGAAACAATCCAAATGCACATCAGTGGACAAATGGATAAAGAAAATGTGGTATATACATGCAATGGAATACTATTCAGTCTTTAGAAAGAAGGAAATCCTTTCATATGCCACAACATAGATGAACTTGGAGGACATTAAGCTAAGTGAAATGAGCCAGTCACAGAAGGATAACTACTGCATGAATCCACTTACAGGAGGTATCTAAAATCGTCAAATTCATAGAAGCAAAAAGCAGAATGGTGGTTGTGGGGGCTAGGGGAAGGGGAAAATGGGAAGTTGCTGTTCAGTGGGCATAGTTTCAGTCACACAAAACAAAAACTTCTAAAGGTCTGCTGTACAACAACTTGCAAATAGCTAACAATATTGTATTGTACACTGGAAAATTTATTAATAGGGTAGATCTCATGTGTTTTTTATCACAGCTCTTCTAATGGGAAAATGGGGAAAGGCATGAGCAGAAAATTCATAAAATTAGACCAAAAAATGGCAATTAAACATATGAAAAATGTTTACCCTCACTCATCATTACAGAAATGAATTTCAAGTACACTCAGATACTATTTCTTTCCTGAAAAGTAAGAAATTTGAAAAAAAAAAAAAACACTGTAACAACGCACTGAGCAAGGCCGTGGAGAAGCTTGCACTCTCATACCTCGCTGATCGAAAAGCAAACTGATGGACATTCCAGTTTTGCACAACCACATCTCACCTGTTAGAGGAGAATCTGGGAATATCTAAGGGGAACTTCATATGCACTTATCTTTTGACCCAAGAATCTCACTTCTAGGAATCTACCCTGAAGACACACCTCCAACCATATGACAATTCGTATGTGCAGGTTTACTCATTGCAGCATTGCTTGTCATTACAAGACACTGGAAACAGCCTAAATGCACATCCATAGAAGAACAGTTGGGTAACCTATGGTACACAGTGAAGTATTAGGAAGCTCTCTTTGAAATGACATCGGGTAATTTCCAGGATATGCTTTTAATCACAAAAGGCAATGCTCTTTGTACAGAGGAAAGCTGACCATACCCTCCTTCCCAGAGGCAGGCAGCGCAAATTGGAACTGGGAGGTGTTTTAACTCTAATCAAATTCAAAGTTTTGATTATTACACAAGAGTGGGTATCTAATTATCAACTGAGACTTTGTCTTCTGACAAAGTAACTATAGAATTCTTTATGAATAAACAGAAGAAACCTAAAGTCTGGTGGAGTTTTCACCTAGACCAAGAGGGAAATTTATCTCACTAAATAAATTCTAAAGGGGGAATGAGCTATAACATACAGTTTTGATTGCATCCCACCAGTTATGCCTGTTCAGCATAAAGTTACAATCCACTGCTGAGTCATGGTCACCATAAGCAGTCATTGCTCCCAAACATGAGACAGAAGGCTAACCCAGCCCATGGATGAAATGCTCTCCACAAGTGTACGTGAGATGGACTTTAAATATTTCCTCCTCTTAATTCAGGCCACCTTGGTGATGTACTCTTGCTATAGGTGTGGTTGGAGAGTTTTCTGGAAGCATCTCTCTCACTGCTATACTTCCACTGCTATACCCTGAATACATAGATTCCTAAAGGTTGACTTGCCAACAGCCAAGCTGAGCACTGACCTCAGAAAAGCAATTCTTCCTTCCGGTTATGCATAATCTGGGGAAGTGCCTTCCAAAGACAGAGAAAGAGGGCAGTGATCCCTGAGACTGGCTGCATGCATGTCCAAAGAGCACAGGAGGAAAGGAAGGTGAGTGAAGGTAGCACTGTGCATGTGGTGATGAGGGAAAGGGTACTTCTGGGCTGGTGGGTGCCTGCTCTACTTTTCTGCACAGCCAAGCTAAAAGCACTGCCCCTTTGACGCTGCCCTGGCTGGAGAAGCAAAGGACTCACAGGGGCAGGTCCAGCGGCAGCCACAGGTGTCTTCCACTTTAACAGGGGACTGGCTGTTAGGGCATGAAGGCCTCGGCCCCCGGTCACAGTTGACCCGATGACTCTTCAGCAAGGTCTGGCCATCTGGCTGGCAAGTCACGGTGTGGCACTGGTCTGGCAAGGTCCAGACGTCCCCGGGCTGCAGAAGAAAACAGCAGATTCAGGCAGGGAATAAGATGAGGTACTCCAACTCTAAGCCCATCTGCCAGACAACTGACCCCTAGAATTGAACACGGGCCTACACAGCAAGGAGGCCTCCTGTACATGAGACAGGAAGCAAAACACAAGATGTACAGATGGACCCTCAAAAACAAGATAATAGTAAGAGGAAGCGCTGGACTAAGACCAAAGGAGGAAAAATTAAACAGTGGGAACAAGAGCCCCAAACACATCTCTAATCTTTCTTTCAAAGTCAACAGAAAGGAACTTACCCTCTTCTCATTCCCATCCTCATCCATGCGAATCCTAACAAATCCTGCAACAGACACAAATAAGACCTTAGTTCCCATCTTTCACCCAGAAATTCTGAACCATTCACAATGTCTGCTTAAGCAACCTGGTCTAGTTTTTGAAGTCAACTCAACTCTGAAAAGAATCTGAACAAGGTTAACAGTGGAGACCTAGGGACATGTGGCTGAGGTGGTCATCCTGTGGTTCTTCAGACATGCTCTGCGGTTGTTAATAATTATGATGCCAACAACAGCGATAATATGGCAATAACTACAGCTTACGCTGTCATTATCTTGGTTCACATGTAGATCACGCCAGGGATGGGGAAGGTGGGGAGATGAAGCAAGATCCTGGAAACCTGAAAGAGATCTACTTGAAGATTCCTACCAGGAGAGCTGCCATCTCTCTGTACAGCTAATGTGATTTGCTATAAGTCAAAACTTGTGTAGAGTTATTGCCCTTTAAGGGCAAACTTGCACTGACTTATTCCCCTGAAAGACAGTAGCTTTATGCAGGTTTTGACTTACATCTAGTAACGGGAAAATATATAAACCCAGGCCTCCCCCCAAAAAAAGCATGTGTGTGTGTGTGTGTGTGTGTGTGTGTGTGTGTGTGTGTGTGTGTGTTTTGAGACAGAGTCTTGCTCTGTCGCCCAGGCTGGAGTGCAGTGACGCGATCTCGGCTCACTGCAAGCTCCGCCTCCTGGGTTCACGCCATTCTCCTGCCTCAGCCTCCCAAGTAGCTGGTACTACAGGTGCCCGCCACCATGCCCGGCTAATTTTTTGTATCTTTAGTAGAGGCGGGGATTCACTGTGTTAGCCAAGACGGTCTCGATCTCCTGACCTCGTGATCCACCCGCCTCGGCCTCCCAAAGTGCTGGGATTACAGACATGAGCCACCGTGCCTGGCCAAAAGCGTATTTTTTAAGTTTCTAACCTAAAATCAACTTAAACTATGGTACTTTGATATGAGTCTCCATGTTATTGTATTTCTAAAGCCCTTTATACCCATGTTGAGAGTGAGTCTAGGCCCATGGGGAAGAAGACTCTATGGAACTCTGGGGTTCCTTGCTTATGTCTTCTGATTCCTTTGTCCAAGATCCCTCTACACAAATAAGCTTAGGCTCTCTGCCAAGTTCACATGGCCAATTAGAGTGGAAATAGGACCATACACAGAAAGCTTTCTGCTGGCCCCACGGGGGCTTGTGGTATACACCTCCCATGAGCAGAAACTTGAATGTCCTGGTCTATATAATAATCTTCTTTCAAGGCCAAATCTTATGCATGGGCACCCTGGGGTCTCTTGAATAGTATTTTTGTTTCTTTGGCGGGTTTGTTTTGGAACTTTTTTTGAGGGAAGTAAGAAAGGTATTATAAGACTCACGAGAGCACAGTTTGTGGAGGAAGGAATTGCCCAAGGTGACCATGGTAGGGAGGTCTTCGATTTGCTGGAGCTTCACCATGTTGGAGTCGCCTGCTGGGCCGGCCAAGATCCGTAGCTGGGCTGCATCGTAGCGATCTCCAATTCCAACAGGGAACACTGTCACTCCTAGAGTCAGCAAAGAGACAAGAAAGGATCTGTGGGCAAGAAGGTTCAAAATGGACTGGCCTGACGTTATATCCAGCATCTGAATACAGCCTCGTGTTTTCCAGGCTGGTCACATACACCAGCCCTATGAGGAAGATGTTCAGTCAACAGATATTAATGAGCTCCTACTCTGTGTCAGGTACTATTGTCAGCAATAGGGGTACAGCAGTGAACCAAGCACATAAAGTCCCTCCCTGTCCCCCGTCCTCATGGAGAGATAGACAACAAACACACAAAGTAAATATATAGAATTTCAGATGTGGATAAATGCTTAGGAAAAAAACAAAATGAGATAAGGGGGATGAGAATGCCCAGGGCTGAGGTGTGGGTTATCGTTGTATATATGGCAGTTGGAGAAGCATTTGGTGAAAAGATGGCATCTGAGCAGAGACCTGATGTAAGGAGGGAAGGAGCCAAGAGGATGTCTGAGGGAGGGACATCCCAAGCAGAGAGAAGAGTGAGTGCAAAGGCCCCAGAGTAGAAGTGTGACTGCATGCTCCCGGGGGCTGGGGAGAGAGGGACAAGCAAGAGAGGGAAAGGGCATGGATCAGGCAATGCTCCATTGGCCACAGTAAGGGCTCACCATGTTCTGTGAATGAAACAAACCAGCCAAGACTACAGAGCAGAGGGACAGGGGCTGACTTTGATAGTAAAGGGCCACTGCAGCTGCTGTGCTGAGAATGAGCTGCAGGGGACAAAGGTGGAAGCTGGGATTCCAGTTAGACAGCTATTTCAATAGTCCAGGTGAGAGATGCTGGGGACTCAGATTGAGGTGACCCTGGTGGACATGGTGTGGAGAGGTGCAACTCTCAAAGTATTTTGAAGATGGAGCTATAGTTTGTTCATGGCTTGCATGGAGGTATCAGGAAAAAGGAAGAAGAATCAAGGATGCTGGGCTTTTTGAACTGAACAACTGGAAGGTTGGAATCGCCATTTTCTAAGATAAGAAAGACGGATGTGAAAATCAGGAGTTTAGTTTTGCCTGTTAGAGCATGCAAGCTGAGTTGAGGTGAGGCTGGAGATACGAATTTCAAAGTCAGAGATGTATAAATATATTCAGACCCATGACACTGAACTAGACCACCAACAGGGTATATGTAAGAAGAGAAGAGAAAATATCACAGGGCTGAGCCCAGAGAATGTGCATGCTCATTTACACATGAGAAACCGAGGCTTTAGATGGTTAAATGACGTGCTCTGGATCATATCTGCTTCCTCAAGACCACAACTGCTTCCTTTCCCAGTGAAAATCTTTCTTTGGATTCTTGATACTAAAGGAGAAAAAATCTCCATCCTGAAATTCCTCAATTCAGCTCTCCAGAAAGTTCTAGGAATTTGCAATGTGCTTCAGGTTGGAATGGATTTTCTACTAGCAGCTTTTCAGCCCTTGTAAGTTCGTTATATCATCCAAATATATATCCTTTCCCTTTTAGTGTCCTTTACCCTAAAATTATAGATTTCATAAACATGTCACATTCATTCACTCAACAAACATTAAATGGTCACCTATTTTGTGCATCATACACAGATGATACAAAAATAAGCAAGATCTTCCCTTGCCTTCAAAGAACTCCCAGTTTTTTGCAAGGAATAGATATGTTACAAATACAATACAATACGATTTGCACATTTTTAGTAGCTCATATGTGACATAGAGAACGGAGCAAATAACTTCCTCAGGAAGAACATCAGGAAGACAGCAGAGAAAAGACAGGGTTCTGACAGCACTCCTAGGCAGGGTTCTGAAAGATGAACAGTTCTCCAGGTGGCCACGAGGGGACTCAATGTCACTCCACTCACCCAGACCTCCTTCAGCTGGGAGGTGGTCCCTCAGACTCTACCACCTGTCCCAGCTCACATCCTGTTGATATTAAGAACATGATAAGCACATGTTCTTATGGAGCACAAGGCTGGACATCTGGATCCTTCCCTTTCCTACAGCATGATCCTTTGTCTCTCATCCATCAACCCTGCCAAGCCCATTACCTGGTACCAGGAAAGGACTCTAAATACATGAAAGTCCCCATTGGTTCTCAAGGCCCCACAATGAATCACTCTGGCCTCAGACATGACATTTTAGTAAGAGACCACGAATCCTACTTTAGAAAGAAAGGGCATAGAGGTATGATCACTCCTGGACACAAAGGGAAAATGTGGAGAAATTAAAGGGTTATAATTAGTTATAAAGATATAGGATCAACACACACTTATTATTGTTTGGTTTCCTAATCACATCGTGATTGGATAATTTCCTGCTGTTTGAAACCAGGACAGAGGTTGGTACTGAGCATATTTAATATCAGCCACAACATCCAAAAGTAACCCCAGGCCACTTTTAATCCTCTATCATTTCTGAAGTCTCGCTCTCCTGAATTGAGGACTGTACACCAGATTCTTACTGTTGGACCTGGCGGCATCAGCTGCTGCATCCACTGAATCCACAGAGACATCCGTGACCAGGATGACCACCGCCTTCGAGGCTCCCGGCCTGGCACCATGCATTTCTGAAGTCAAGTGTCGCACAGCAAAGCCCAAGGCATCCCCTGAGGATGGAGAACAGATCACACCAAGTCAGTACTGACTGCGGCTGGACACCCTGTCTCACGGTGGATCCTTAAGTCACTTAAAAGCTGAATGATTCAGAGACTCCAAGGAACACCCAGTTGAGATCTGGAGAGACGTGGAAGAGCATCTAGCCCCTCACTTTCCAGGAGAAGAAACTAAGGCCAAGGAGCAAAGTGACTGGCCGAGGTCACACAGTCACTTATGCCAAAAATAAGAACCAGAATGCAGCTTCTGCATCCAGCCTGTGGCACCAACGTTACCGATTTGGCTGGGGCCTCCCTCCCGCTGCATGACGTCCACAAGGCTCAGCAAATGGGCTTTCTCCGGGGCCACGTTCCATGGCACGTCAATGGTGGTGATGCTTCCATACTGGAGCACTGACCCCTGAGTGAGAGGAGGCCCTAAACGGAACAAGAAAATGGGGATTATTCTGAATCAAGTGGAGCCCCAAAAAGAGCCTCTTCGTCACCTGCTGCTTCAGGTGCCTCACTCACTCACCTATATTGGCTTTTGAAATGAAAGCCTTAGCAAAACTCTTCATTTCATCAAAAGAAGAAGCTGGGAAACTGGAGGAGCCATCCAGGAGAAGGATCACGTCCAGGGGCTGGCTGCAGTCTGCAAAGATAACCAGGAAGGTGAGCACACAGGTGCCAGCAGGGGCACTGGCCGCCAGGCCTACAACCTGACATCCCATAGGATCTGCAGGGCGTGCTGACCACGTGGCACCACCAAGGGGGGCGGGGGCTGCCTTTGTGAGTGCAAGGGCAACGTGGGCCAGGGAGGAGGGGATAGGGGAGATGGAGTTCCTGGGGCTGGACTACCTCAGGTTTGGAGACACTGAGAAGCCTCCAGTTCTACCCAAAGGAAGCTTAAATGTCTACAAATAAAAGCAGTAGGCATGGGCTTCCTCGGTAAGAAGGGGCCGCCACTCTTCTAGAAATGAGTAAAATACTGGCCTGGCAATACAAGACTGCAAAAGGAAATGGAGCGGCAGCCCCTCCCTGGACAATGAGCTGCTGTGTCCTCAGATCTTGCAAGGCAGGTGAACGTACTGTGATTCTTCCAGCTATAAATGCCTAGTGCTCCTGTTAGTGTCTGAGCACATCTGAGATTTGATGAAATGATGTAATTGTTGTTTTCCTCAGCAGAAATATTACAAGAATTTAAATAAATCTATGGCCATGAATAAAAACAAAAACAAAGAAACAAAAGTACTGACAAGTGTGAGACTCAAAAGATACTAAAAGAAGGCTTATTATTCTGAGATGGTCCCAAACACACCGAATAAAGATGTTCAGGAACTAGGAATGGATTAGACACCAGTGTCAGTAAAAGGTAGTAATAACAGCAGTGGGAGCAAGCATTTTTTTTGAGCACTGTCATGTGCCAGATACTATTTTAAGCAAGTAGGTGCTATTATTATCCCCATTTTATAGATGAGGAGACTGATATACAAAGAGGTTAAGTATTTGCCCAAAATTACCCAGCTAGCAAGTGGCAGAGATAAGATTCAAACTAAGGCAGACACTGACTCCAGTGTCTGAAGACTGCACCTGCTACCTGGCACCTGACATCCTGGTCTCGCCCTGAAGAATGTCAGCTACTCAGAATAATTTCACCCACCCAGTGTGGTCAAAACGAAGCTTATCATCATCACCTTTAACAGAGGTTACCTTGAAGGTGGAGGGTGGAATTGGGTGGGGAAGAGGCCGTGTGATAAAGTAAGACTTGCATATTTTTTTTTTTACTCCTTAGTGGCATTGTTTAAATGTTAACAATAGGCTTCCATTACCTTTGAATTTACAGAAGCACACACAATAAGAAAAGATCTTCCCCCGCAAAAGGATCACAGTTTGTCTCCCTGCCAGGGAGGTGAGGAAACACAGGCCCTTTGAAGGCAAGTTTCAACCAAGGGCACACAGACCAGGGAAGCCAGGATTAGAACCCAAGTCATATCTTGGCAGATGCATGTAGTACCAAGGCCATGCCAGCCCTCGCCCAGCCCTCCCACCTGCACACAAGGTGCCAGCATACCAGGGGCAGGGGAGCGGGTGGGGATCTGCAGCCCCTCTCCGGAGCAGCACCTCTGCAGCACCAGGTCAGGAGCCTCTCAGGGGAGCGTCTCAAAGTCCTGGATGAGGATGGGGGCATTGGGCCAGCCGATCCTCTCCAGCTCCTGAACGTTGGCATTAGGGCCCACTCCAATGGGCACCACCTGGATGTCTCCAGGCAACCTCTTGATCTTATCAGAGGCAGGATTTCTGGTGACCATGGAGACCAGGTTGGGCACCTGCTCCCGGTCACCCTGGCTGACCAAGAAGCTGTGGTCGGAGGGGTACAGCAGGGCCACCCCAGTGTTGGTCCTGTTGCCACCCTGGTAGCGGATCTCTCGCACCCGCTGCAGGATGTCCCCTTTGGACTGTGCCTCGCTGAAGGGGTACTCCACGGTCACCATGTAGGAGTACTGCAGCACCGTGACGTGGATGCTGTCCTGGCCCACATCCATCCGCTGAATCACCTCCTCCATGAACTCCTTGCTCCTGTTGAAGTTGGCTTCACCAATTTTGTCCGATCCTTCCAGGACAAATGCCACATCCAGAACCATGGAGTTCCTCTTGGGCCCCAGGGTCGAAAGCCCCAAGAGCCCCGGGCCCACAGTGACTTGTGCCATGTGGGGGGGCAGAGTAGGAGGAGGGGCGTCAGGGGCAAGGTCACAGAGGTAGCTAACGATCTCTTCCCTTTGCTGCTCCAGCTCATCCACACCGCTCAGCACGAAGGCCTTGTTCTCAGGGGCCTGCTTCTCAATGAGGCGGATCTGCTTGAGGTTGGCATGGGGCCCAATGCCCACCGGGATCACGATGACCTTCTTCTTCTTCAGGCCCTGGACGTAGCGGACAAAGTTCCGGGACATCCGTTGGGGCTCCTGGCTGGCCATCAGGAGCAGGGCGATGCGGAAGGCTTCAGGGCGGTCGATCTTGCTGATGATTTGGAACAGTGTGTATTTCAAGGCCTCGCTGGTGGAGGCCACCTGGCTGCCCGCATACTTCACCTGGCTGGCAACGCGCCGCAGCTCTGACGGTCGCTTCCGGTCCTTGAGCCCGATGTAGGCGTGGGAGCCGTCGTGGTACTCCACCACAGCCACGCGGACCCACTTCTAGGAGATGCGCAGCCGCTCCATCATGTCCACCACAAAGGCCTTCAGCACTTCAAACTCAGCCTCGGACAGCCTGGAGGAGCCATCCAGCAGGAAGATCAGGTCCAGTAGCCTGCTGCAGTAGAAATCGTGCAACAGCGGTTCTGAGATGTCCTCCACATACAGAGTGGTGGGGCTCACCGGGGCATCTGTGGGAGGTACCACCAGGCCTCCCGGCTCCTGGCAGGCTTCACAGGTGAGGGTGACACCATCACAGTGGCTGCAGAAAAGAGCGAAGAAATTAAAATGGTTCAGAAAGAACCTATGGACACTTCTGAGCCCTACAGTGTATGACTACTTCCATATTCCCACAGAATCTCCTCTGTTCCACCTGAACTTGAGATCCCACGGACCATTCCACACCCAAGTGAGATGTCACTGTTTAACATCTGTCCCCAAATAGCATGCCCCCCCACTTCAAAACACACACATAGCCGACTTCCTTTGATTCTAGAAACCAAAGCTTTAGCCCATCCTAGGATATGAAAAAATATACTCGTTGTTCTAGGCCATCCACACAGCCACTCAAAGCTGATTTCTTTTCAACCTACATCTTTAGCAACATGAATACTTAATTATAATCTAAGCCTTCTTACAAGTGTCTCCAAGAACAAATGTTACTAAAATGTAGACGCTAACCTGTGCTTGTACATGTTCTGTTGAAGATAAATGCTTTACAGTACATATTCTAACAGAATGTAAATTGCATGAGTTTTAAAACATGTTTAATACGTTGGGCCCTAACGAAGAGAGAAAAAATTGGAGCAAAAACATTGTGGAAAGATGAATAAAGATTCAAAACCCCAGCTTTATCTAGCAGAACAAATTATTTGGGAGTAGCAGACAGGGGTCCCCAAGGTGTTAGGCCTAAGAAAAGACATTCACTCATTCCTCCAGCAGACATAGGGTGAGCACCTCTCATGTGCCAGGTATTGGCCAGGCTCTGTGCCCAGCCCCAAGCACACACCACAAGTCTGTAGTAGAGCAGTGGCCCCACACACACAAATTCCTACACTACTATGCCAAATTTCGAGGCTCTGCTGGTAACATCACCTTTTTGCCAGTGTCCCGGAAAGTGGCACGGCCTGCCAGCCCACAGGTGAAATCAAGTGGCCATGTGGTGGAGACCAATATGGGCCAGGACCATCTCCTCTTTGGACTCTCAGCCTTGGAGGCACCTGGCCTTCAGCACTCCCAGTAAAGCTGACAAGGCGGCAGTGCCCTGAGCCTGGGAAGTGTCCCCCTGTGGCTTGATACCAGGTGATGCCCCCAGCCTGCTGTGGGACTTCTGTCCACACACTGCTTGCAGCTTCAGCGTGCACCGTGGCAGCTGCCCCTGCCCGTGTGCCAGCAAAGGAGGTGGGGAGAGGGCTCGAAGCTCTCATGCCCTTTTGGCACAGAACCCCAAGCCAGCATCAGAATCACCCAATCCTTTGCTCCCTACAGTCCCTGTTTCAGCATAAAGAGTGTGCGCAGGTAGAGTCTTACTAGGAAGTTAATTCCTCCTTCCCATGATCCATGAGATTTATTGCTTCAATCCTTGGTTAACGGTGCGTGAGTGACATACTTTCTAGTTTCCTGTGTTTGCTAGAAAACTCACCCCAGGCAGTGTTCGTTCTTGTTTGTGCAGATGGTGGTGGCAGGATCTGACTCTGGCAGCTGTGACCATAGCCCCTCCCCAGCGAATTTACATTCTCAAGTTTAAGCTCCCAGAAGGCCTGATCAGTGTCAGGGAGTGGTGTTGAATAGATGTGGATTTTAATAAATGTTCCCTACTTATGAGCAGGACTTCAGAGGGCTCAGAGCTCACCCTGAGGACTCCTTCTCACCTCCCCAAAGGCCAGTTTCCCAGAGGCAAGTCCAGTGAGAACCCAGGGTGAGAGCAACGAGCACCTTCCCTCCCCATTATGACAGCCACACCCTGCCACCTTGACTATGGCCCCCACGACGTTCATGTTACCCTGAGGGCCCCGCGTTCCATCTCACTTTCCTCTCCTGAGTCGCCACCTCCAGTATATGGACACCTGTGCTCAGACTAGTCATGACCTACAAGGACAATAAGTGACCATACCCTCACCTTCAGTGAGAAAAGCAAAAACCTGTTAGGACTTAAAAACCTATTAAGAGCAAAAACATTGTAGAGGAATATATGTGGAGGAAGCAGTCTAGTCCATCCCTAAAGAAAAAGAAGCAAACCCTAGGAACAAACAAAACAATAAACTACACTAAATAATGAATTAAATAAATAAACAAATAAAATAAACTCAGTCTCTCAACTCATGTGGCTAGGACTTTTTACCCAAAACCTAGTCTCTGAGCTGGCCCCTGGAGAAGCAATAAGATTCGTCACTTCAAACAATCCAGGCATCTGTTTTACCAAATCTGGCAGTGCTCAGGGTCACTGGGATTCAAGGTGACTTTCTTTCTTGAGGCAAAACGCCAGCCAGCCACCTCACACACCGGGCAGTCTTCAGGGTCAACGCAGGTCTGCAAAAGCTCATCCAGGATTTTCCCTGCAAAAGAAAGCTCTCATTAGGAACCAAAACGCTCCCCTTTCCCACAAGGAAGTCTCATTTTTAACTAAAAGGGAGGAGCCAACTCCTCCTCCTGCCCTAGAAGCCAACTCCTCCTGCCTGCACCCCTAGGGGTCACCCTGCCACTCAAGGAGCATCTCTCCTCCTTGTGCCTTGATTGATCCCTCTGCAAAACTGGGAGCGGGGATTCCTTCATCCTACCTCACCTCCCCAAGCCTCAGGACAAATGAAATCTTATCTCCAGGGCTCTTTCTGCTCTTCTGAATAACACCTTCAGTAACTCTCGAGCTGTGCTGTACCATAGGATAGTCATAAACTGCATGTGGCTATTTAAGTTAAATTAAGTAAAATTCAATAAAATTCAAAAATTCAGTTCCTCAGACACACTCGTCACAGTTACATTCAATACAACATTCCCCCACTGCAGAAAGTTCTATCGGCAGGGGCTGCTTTAGGTGAGAATCCCATAAATAGGCACAGAAAAGCATTTTGGAGGAGCTCGACTTGAGAAAAATCACGACTGTCCTGACTCTGATGAAAGAACCCACGGAACCTGCAGCAGCCTTGCAGGTCAGAGATAGGACGTGGCAGGTGGAGGCTGAGATGAAGCAAGACCTAGAAGCACCTTTCCATCCATCCCTATCCCATCCCACCAGCCTGACCCCCAGGGATAGAGGCCTCACCTGGAGGGCAGTGGGCATGGCAGCCCTCCACACACTGCACAGGGCAGGCCAGTGGCTCAGGGTGCTGACACGTGACTTGACAGGCAGGTGCACAGCTGTTATAGCGCCACTCACACTCATACCCGTTCTCCCGGAGATTCCTCTCCTCGCAGCTCTGGGCTGTGTAGACAGGAGACAAGGCTGTGGCCACAACAGGCAAAGCCTCCAGGACTGCAGACCCATGTGGTGATGGCCTGCGCCATCTGGAGATAATGTTGGGGAACTAGGGGACTATGGGCGTCACCAATATTAGAGACTTCTGGATTGTTGAAGCACCTAAACCAGAATCTATTGGTTCTGAATTCATTTCTTTTTTTAATTTTTGTAGAGATGGGGTCTTGCTATGTTGCCCAGGCTGGTCTTGAACTCCTGGGCTCAAGGAATCCTCTGGCCTCAGCCTCCCAAAACACAGGTATCACAGGTGTGAGTCACTGTGCCTGGCCCAGTTTTCTACATAAAAGCATTAAGTTGCTTATGTCCAAAGAAGGAAGATTCTATAGACATGAATGTATGAGTTGATCACTCATATTGGCAAATATAATCACGCCTAATTAAAGACATAAATCAACTTCCTTCTTTTCATCAGTATTCCCTCTTCTCCTCTGCCAGAATCTCTCCAGAAGAAAAGTATCCACATGTTCATGCCTTGAATCCATGTCCCGCCTCAAAGTCCATAATATAAACTTCTTACTCAGCCAACGTCTTAACCCTCGTTAGCCCTTGGCCATCCAGTCCCATACTAGCACTGTCTTCTCTCGCCCATGAAGATATCCCCCTGCACTCACAAGGTCTTCAAGCATAGACACATGGGAAGAAGGGAGGGCATCTGAGAACATGAGGGTGTCAGGACTCATGGCACAATGTGGCCGTCCTCCAGGTCACCACCTTGCCATGCTGGGCACACACGTGGGCATAGGCAGCAATGGTGTCGCAGAAGCAGGCGCAGTCCCCAATGGACTCACAGGAGCAGGTGTCGTAAATGCAGACATCCAGGTATGGCTCGGGGTCCACCTGCAAAGGCAGCCTCAGGTGGCCCAGGCCTATGGCCAGGTGTCAGAAACTCTGGCTCTTAGTCTGGGTGCAAATGTTCTGATGGTCAATTTAAGGATAAGGGGGGTCCAGGTAGAAGGAGAAATGTAGCTCAATGGTCTCAAAGAGGGAATGAGTGGGAAGGCAAGATTCTTAGTTTCTAATCTGCATTCCAGCAAGAAGAGTTGAATAATGCAGTGCTGCTGGCCTTCTGCAGAACACAATGAGCCTGAGGATATTCCAGAAGAACATTCCCTCTGTCCCTCTGCCTGCCTCCCTGCTCAGCCACCCATCTGTCCTCACAACCCACTCTTGGCCTCATGAGCATGTGGGTGTTTTTACAAAAACACAAACACACATATGTGCTGGTCACTGTCTTTCTTTGCCTCAATTCAGCAAGCAGAATGGGGAAATACATCAAGCCCTGCAGCTGCCTCACTGCAGTGCTATGGGGCAGGTATGCAGAACAATAGGGCCTAGACTCTGATTCCAAATCCAGTTCAACCAGTTCCCACCCTTCCTCATCCCAAAACACGCCTCTAAACACACTGGACTTTTTCAGGGCAGTTATGACAGAAAATGAATTCAGACACTGAGTGGGTCATTGTTTCCAAGACGTTCCAACAGTCCCAATGTCCCCAGCTCCTCCCCTGTCCTCACTCTTCCAACTCAGATGCCCAGGATTTCCACCAAACCGGGAATGTAAGTATCCTTTGGAGTCCTCAGAGACTGAAAATCACTGCATAGATAGAAAGAGAATTGAGATCCATGTTTTCAACCAGTCTCTCCCACATTGGTGGTGCTACACAGCAACATGTATGTGTGCATGGCTGTGTGTGTGTACATAGACTTCTGTAGTCACATATGTCCATGTACAAGCCCATGTCCACATGTGTGTACACACATACATGCAGCAGATAAGAGACAACCGCACTATGGTCGGGCATGGTGGCTTACACCTGTAATCCCAGCACTTTGGGAGGCTCAGGTGGGTAGATCACCTGAGGTCAGGAGTTCGAGGCCAGCCTGACCAACGTGGTGAAACCTCGTCTCTACTAAAAATACAAAAATTAGCTGGGTGTGGTGGCGGGTACCTGTAATCCCAGCTACTCGGGAGGTTGAGGCAGGAGAATCGCTTGAACCCGGGAAGCAGAGGCTGCACTAAGCCAAGATCATGCCATTGCACTCCAGCCTGAGTGACAGAGCGAGACTCTGTCTCAAAAAAAAAGAAGAGAGACAACTGCACTTAACCCTGGGGAGTTCCTCCTTGTCATTAGAGATGAAGACACAAAAATAAGTCATAATACGAGGACTCAAAATCACCAAAAGTAAGGCCAGAAAAGAATTTCTGTGAGACAAGAAATGGGCACCAAGGGGTTTTGAGGAGTGGGAGAGGACGGTCTTTTGGTCTGGACAAATGCAGCAGTGACAGGAAAAGGAAATCTCTGGCTCTGGTGTTGAAAACAAGATACTTCCATAAGAGAACAAATCCTAAGACTGGGGCCGAAAGAGAAACGTTGGCACATGCCAAGGGGAGTTACTTCTCATGCAGAAGGAAATGTTTTGCCAGGCATTGCTTCCCCTAGAAACTGTTGATTTTACTTTTTGTTTCCCAGATTGAAAGCCAAGAAAAAAAAGCTAAAGTGGTGTCTTGGTGCAGATCATGTCAAGACACAAGGGTAGTGTCCACGTTAGAAGGTCACACTCTGTGTCCATACCACTGGGCCAAGCCTTGGGACCATCTGCTTCCCACTACCCTCAAGGTCCTCACCAGCTTGTTGCAGTCCTGGAAGACGTCACTGGTAAGGATTCTACAGGAGGAATCCACCATCGTCTGCTTCATGATGTTGTTATGGCAGGTGGCAGGGGATGAGTCCAGAGGCACCTGGGAACCAGGCAAGAGATAGGCCAGCCGTCAGCTGGTCAAACTGGGGTTATTCAGCCCAGAAGGATCCAAGAGACCCTCCTTCCCACCCTGCAGCCACCTGAAGGTCATACCACCCACAACCCCCCTTCCAGCCCCCATAAGAATGGGGACAGAGGGACATTCCAGGAAGCAAGCTCTCGGGCTCTGTCCACACAGAGACCCAGACGTAGTTTTCTGGTGTCAGCAGACTGCGAGCTCACTTTCCAGGAGTTCCCAAAGTCCACAGGGTCTTCCTCCACTTGGAGGTTGCTGCTGGTGAGGTCACTGTTCTGGATGCCATCAAAATTCCCACACAGGCCACACACTTTCTCCTTGAGAGACAAGTTGAGGGATGAGCACCGTCAAGCCCAGGGGCATGCTCTCTGGCTCAGGGGAAAGGGGAACGTTCCTGGCGGCAATGGAGGCAGAGGGCATTCGAGGGAGAGGAGGAGGAGCGGGACAGAGACTCAGAGGAGGCCCGAGGTGAGCAGCAAAGCCTTGCCATTGCCAAGCCCTATTCCTGAGCTTCCTTGCTGGCCCCATTTTATTTGAAGCTATGGAAACAAAGAGAGGCAACATGCCCATGTCACATAGTCAGCCAAGGGCAGAAGTGGGAATCAGGCAGCCTTGGCCCTGAGATCACTGGTGGGAACTATCGCTGTCCCCAACAAGCGTAGAAGCAGAGAGAGGAGCCAGGTACACTGCTCCACCAATGGAGGTGTAGGGGTCCAAGGAGGGAACGTTATAGAACTGCCTGCCTCTGGGCAGGTGAGTCCCCTTGCCTGGAGAACCGCAGCCTGTTCAGACCAGGCTGGGCAGAATTCTGCTCTATCATAAATGTAACCAGGAAGATATGTCTCACCTGTCTCCATGTTCACCCATCATGGAGTGCAACATGCAACAAGTTCTGAAAAAGTAGTTATGAATGAGTGAGAAACAAGTGAAAACTACACAAAGAGGAGGGATAAGTTCTAGTGTTCTGTAGCACCACAGGGTGACTATAATTATCAACAGTTTATTGTATATTTTCAAGTAGCTGGAAGAGCAGACTTTGAATGTTCCCAACACAAAGAAATGGTAAATGTTTGAGGGAAGAGATATACTAACTACCCTGATTTGATCATTACACACTGTATACATGTATTGAAATATCACACTGTCACCAGTAAATACATACAGTTAAATGTCAACTAAAAATAATAATAAAACAAAAAAAAAACTACAGAAAAAACTGGAAATATTTGGCCTGGAGAAGAAAAGGTGCTATACTTTTACAATATACTTAGAGCCCTGATGTTGAGACAAAGAGAAAAAATGTATTCTATCTTGCTCCAGTTTCCCCAAGCTCTTCTACTCACTCTGGTCTTTCGGCCTTCCTGTTTGAAGGTTCTTTGTGACTACAGTGGGCCCACCTAGATAATTCAGGATAATCTCTCCATTTTAAGGTCAGGTGATTAGCAATCTTAATTCCACCTGCAACCATAATGCTCCCATGCTGCCTAACAACATATTCAAAAGGTCATCCTACTAAGGGTCATTATTCTACCTACACACTAAGTAACTGAGAAAAAAGTAAAGTTATGTATCATGCCTTACCTATGGCAAGGAAATAATAAATTATAATGACTTATCTAAAAAAAAAACTATTTTTAAAAGCTTTGGTCCTAGTCTATTGATTAAAGTTTTGGTATATTCCAGATAAATTTCATGTCCTTGATGCTAACACACTGTGCACAGTAGATGGCCTTTTAAGATATTACTTTATAAGGGAATATTTAAGGTTATCTGGACGATAGAAAAGGAACTTTAGTTGCTATGCCACAAAAGGCCGGATTTCTGCACATTACACCTCCTACCAGTGCATACATGTGCCAAACTCCTTCCTGAAAGCCTGGTTTGTGTTTCCTATGTGCTTAGCAATAGTCTTTACTCTCATGACTGTTTATATGAAGTCCTACTTTTTAAAGCATATCCTCATTTATTTGTTTTCCTGAGCCTACCCTTATTTCCTCCTCTGAACTGGATTTCATCTGGTATATATTGCACAGGTTTGCACACTTGATTGTACGCTACTTTACAGCATCCTCTTGGGTTCTGGACACAGTTATTTTTCTCCATGGTAAGGTGATAAGTGACTTCTCTGAGGACTTGCCACCTTAGTATGCAGTGGTGACATCACCTGCTCAGGCTCTGTCTGCAATGTGGAATTTAGTATTTTCCAACTTCTGGTCTAACTTGAACTTCATAATTAAGCAGAGTCGCCTTTTGAGGGAATAGTAGGGTGTCTGCCCCTAAATGTCTGTGTAAATGCAGAAACACATTTGGGAACATAACTGACTTTTATGTACAGAAGCCAGATGCATTTCATGCCCATGCATGCTTGGGGAAGCAAGTTCATCTCATCTATCACAATAAGCATCTGTTCCACTAAATTCCACTGCAGGATACTTTTCACACTTAGACAACAAAACATTTAAGGAAATAAAAGCTCTTTCCAATAAAAATGTGCATCAAAAACTGTGTGTATTTTTTTTAAAAAAAAAAAACCTTCCTCTATAAGATAAGCCACAGGAACTACTAAAAAAGCATTCTTGAAATACATTTTCTGATAGGCATCTACGCCCTTGCCTTATATAAGATTTAAGGAAAGTGATGTGTGTGTCTTTATGCTCGAAAGGCTGCTTTCAACAACAAAGGGTACGCTTTGAGGGATCAATATAGTTTTGAGAATGCAAAAGTTTAAAAGAACTAATGGAATGCATATTATCCAGGTATGAACATGCATTTGTCATTATTTTCCTACCATCTACTATATTAGAAACAGAAGAAAAATTATGGAAATGTCTGTTTTCCCTCAATAGGAATACCTATTTATTAAAGTTAATTAATTACTATTCTTTAAACATTTTCAAAATAGACTCATAAGTGACAACTTTCAGAGAAAATAAGGGTTTTTGGATGTATATATTTACTTATAACATGGATAAAATTAATAATTTTGTTAAAATATTAACTCCATATCAATAATGCTCTCTATTGTTTTTGCATTTTTTTAACAATAGAGAATCTAATACATTTAGTGTTCATGAGTTTCATACAGTTTCCTGTCAATGTACTTTGTCTTTTTTTATTGGACTACTAATCATTTATTTATGATTTGTTGGAACTACTCATATGTTAAATATGTCAAGTGAATTGCAAACACTTGCTGCTGACTTGATATTTGCTTTTTACACATATTCATGGTATCCTCTGAAATAGAAAAGTTTTATATTTTAACAAATTCCAATCCATGAATATTTTTTTTTAAATTTTCTGTTATTGGTTAGTGCTATGTTTAGATATTTAATTTTAACTGTCACGTTGCAAATGATATTTGTCTATGGTATTTTTTCTTTATATTTTGAAAAAAGTGTATTTGACATCCACTCTGGAATTAGTATTATGAATGACATATTATACCTTTGTGCAACTATAAAATACATATAGCCAATTATCTGAACACCATTTTATGAACCATTTATCACTTACCAACTGATTTGAAACACTACCTTTATCATATATTGGATTTTAGGTTTATTGAGATTATGTAACATGAAATTATTTAATTATGAAATTATGTGAATTCAAGCATGACAGTCAGCTCTTCTTCCCCACCACTACCCTGTAAAAGGGTGGATGGAAGAATTGCTTCCTTATGGCTTAAGTGTATGAGTAGTATATAACATGGTCTTGATGAAGTGGGAACTATACAGAAACTGTTTTTGGTCCTGAAATGTACTCCAGCTTTACCAATTTGTTCTGCACATATACCATTGAGGGTAGAAGCTGAATTTTGCTTACGATTATGTTTATACTACTTAACATTGTGCCAGATACTGAGTAGATACTTAGAAACATGTTTAATGATTTGTTTTATTGCTAGATACCTAATTATCTGCTGTAGTGGTGCTACCTCATTCAGAATAATTTTGACCAGTCTTTCTCCATCATGAATAAAACACTTATTTACACACTTGTGTACATGCACATGTGCATACAAACACACCCTTTGCAGAGACAAACTGCATTGAAAGCATGTACAAACATTATCGTATATTTGTTGATTCTGACCCGATTCTGATTCTATAGTATACTTTTTCATTCTGATCACAATAACAATAAAAATAGAAAACTGTAAGTGTGAAGCTGGAAGATGCAGAACATGAAAGATCAAATTACCAATTTTTTTTCTATTTTCTTTAGTTGGCTGATGATGAAATCAGAAAAGTAATGGACATAAAAATGAAAGTATGCAGTGTGTGTGTGTGTATGTACGTATGTATATCACATGCACTCATTTTCATGATGTACATATGGAATTTCACAACCAGCCAAACTAAGCTTCATAAGTGAATGAGAAATAAAATCCTTTACAGACAAACGGATGCTGAGAGATTTGGTCACCATCAGGCCTGCCTTACAAGAGCTCCTAAAGGAAGCACTAAATATGGAAAGGAAAAACCATTACCAGCCACTGCAAAAACACACCAAAATATAAAAACCAATGAAACTAGGAAGAAACTGCTTCAACTAATGTGCAAAATAACCAGCTAGCATCATGATGACAGGATCAAATTCACACATAACAATATTAACTGTAAATATAAATGGGCTAAATGCCCCAATTAAAAGACATAGACTGCCAAATTGGATAAGACTCAATACCCATACGTGTGCTGTATTCAAGGAGACCCATCTCACTTGCAAGGACACACATAGGCTCAAAATAAAGGGATGGAGGAATATTTACCAAGCAAATGGAAAGAAAGAAAAGCTAGTCTCTAATAAAAAAGACTTTAAACCAACAAAGATAAAAAAGGACAAAGAAGGGCATTACATAGTAGTAAAGGGATCGATGCAACAAGAAGAGCTAACTATCCTAAATATATATGCGCCAAATACAGGAGCACCAGGATTCATAAAATGAGTTCTTAGAGACCTACAAGGAGACTTAGACTCCCACACAATAATAGTGGGAAACTTTAACAACCCACTATCAATATTAGACAGATCAACAAGACAGGAAATTAACAAGGATATTCAGACTTGAACTCGGCTCTGGTCCAAGCAGACCTAATAGATATCTACAGAACTCTCCACCGTAAATCAACAGAATATACATTCTTCTCAGCACCACATAGCACTTATTCTAAAATCAACCACATAATTGGAAGTAAAACACTCCTCAGCAAATGAAAAGAATGAAAATCATAACAATCTCTCAAACCACAGTGTAATCAAATTAGAACTCAGAATTAAGAAACTCACTCAAAACTGCACAACTACATGGAAACTGAACAACCTGCTTCTGAATGACTACTGGGTAAATAGCAAAATCAAGGCAGAAATAAATAAGTTCTTTGAAACCAATGAGAACAAAGACACAACATACCAGAATCTCTGGGACACAGGTTAAACAGTGTTTAGAGGGAAATTTATAGCATTAAATGCCCACATCAGAAAGTGGGAGAGATCTAAAATCGACACCCTAACATCACAATCAAAAGAAGCAATGGCAAACACATTCAAAACCTAGCATAAGACAAGAAATAACTAAGATCACAGCAGAACTGAATGGGAGAGAAACACGAAAAAACCTTCAAAAAAATCAATTAATCTAGGAGTGGGTTTTTTGAAAAGATTAACAAAATAGTTAGAACGGTAGCTAGATTAATAAGGAAGAAGAGAGAGAAAAATCAAATAGACACATTAAAAAATGATAAAGGGGATATCACCACTGATGCCACAGAAATACAAACTATTATCAGAGAATACTGTAAACACCTCTACACAAATAAACTAGAAAATCTAGAAGAAATAGATAAATTCCTGGACACATACACCCTCCCAAGACTAAACCAGGAAGAAGTCAAATCCCTGAATAGACCAATAACAAGTTCTGAAATTGAGTCAGTAATTACAGCCTACCAACCAAAAAAAGCCCGGGACCAGACGTACTCACAGCTGAGTTCTGCCAGAGGTACAAAGAGGAGCTGGTACCATTCCTTCTAAAACTATTCTGAACAATAGAAAAAGAGGGACTAACTCATTTTATGAGGCCAGCATCATTCTGATTCCAAAACCTGGCAGAGACCCAATAAAAAAAGAAAATTTCAGGCCAATATTGCTGATGAACATCAATGCGAAAATCCTGAATAAAATATTGGCAAGTGAATCCAGCAGCACAGCAAAAAGCTTATCCACCACGATCAAGTTGGCTTCATGCCTGGCATGCAAGGCTGGTTCAACATACACAAATAAATAAATGTAATCCATCACATAAACAGAACCAATGACAAAAACCGCATGATTATCTCAATAGATGCAGGAAAGGCCTTCAATAAAATTCAACACCCCTCATACTAAAAACTCTCAATAAACTAGGTATTGATGAAACATATCTCAAAATAATAAGAGCTATTTATGACAAATGCATAGCTAATATCATGCTAAATGGCCAAAAGCTGGAAGCATTCCCTTTGAAAACTGGCACAAGAGAAGGATGCCCTCTCTCCCCACTCTTATTCAACATAGTATTGGAAGTTCTGGCCAGGGCAATCAAGCAAGAGAAAGAAATAAAAGGTATGCAAATAGGAAGAGAGGAAATCAAATTGTCTCTGTTTGCAGACGACATGATTGTATATTTACAAAATGCCACCACCTCAGCCCAAAAATTCCTTAACCTGATAAGCAACTTTAGCAAAGTCTCAGGATTTAAAATTAATGTGCAAAAATCACAATCATTCTTATACACCAATAATAGACAAGCAGAGAGCCAAATCATTAGTAAACTCCCATTCACAATTGCTATAAAGAAAACAAAATACCTAGGAATACAACCTACAAGGGATGTGAAGGACCTCTTCAAGGAGAACTACAAACCAGAGCTCAAGGAAATGACAGGACACAAACATATAGAGAAACATTCCATCCTCATGGGTAGGAAGACTCAATATCATGAAAATGGCCATATTGCCCAAAGTAATTTATAGATTCAATGCTATTCCCATCAAGCTACCATTGACTTTCTTCACAGAACTAGAAAAAAACTACGTTAAATTTCATATGGAAGCAAAAAAGAGCCTGTGGAGCCAAGACTAACCTAAGCAAAAAGAACAAAGCTGGAGGCACGATGCTGCCTGACTTCAAACTGTATTACAAAGCTACAGTAACCAAAACAGCATGGTGCTAATACCAAAACAGATATATAGACCAATGAAACAGAACAGAGGCCTCAGAAATAACACCACACATCTACAACCATCTGATCTTCAACAAACCTGACAAAAGCAAGCAATGGGGAAAGGATTCCCTATTTAATAAATGGCGCTGGGAAAACTGGCTAGCCATATGCAGAAAAGAAAAACTGGACCCTTTCGTTACAGCTTATAAAAGAATTAACTCAAGGTGGATTAAAAACATAAATGTAAAACCTAAAACTATAAAAACCCTAGAAGAAAACCTAGGCAATACGATTCAGGACATAGGTGTGGGCAAAGACTTCATGACTAAAACACCAACAGCACTGGAAACAACAGCCAAAATTGACAGATGGAATCTAATTAAACTAAAGAGCTTCTGCTCAGTAAAATAAACTATCACCAGAGTGAACAGGCAACCTACAAAATATGAGAAAATTTTTGCAATCTATCCATCTGACACAAGGTCTAATATCCAGAATCTAGAAGGAACTTAAACAAATTTACAAGAAAAAAACAAACAACCCCATAAAAAAGTGAGCAAAGGATATGAACAGACACTTCTCAAAAGAAGGCATGTATGTGGCCAATAAACATATGAAAAAAAGCTCATTATCACTGGTCATTAGAGAAATGCAAATCAAAACCACAATGACATACCATCTCACACCAGTTAGAATGGTGATCATTAAAAATTCTGGAAACAGCAGATGCTGGAGAAGATGCAGAGAAATAGGAACACTTTTACACTGTTGGTGGGCTTGTAAAATAGTTCAACCATTGTGGAAGACAATGTGGGGATTCCTCAAGGATATAAAACCAGAAATACCATTTGACCCAGCAATCCCACTACTGGGTATATACCCAAAGGATTATAAATCGTTCTACTATAAAGACACATGTACACGTATGTTTATCGTGGCACTATTTACAATAGCAAAGACTTGGAACCAACATAATGCCCATCAATGATAGACTGCATGAAGAAAATGAGGTACATATTCACCATGGAATACTACGCAGCCATAAAAAACGGTGAATTCATGTCCTTTGCAGGGATATGGATGAAGCTGGAAACCATCATCCTCAGCAAACTAACACAGGAACAGAAAACCAAACACTGCATGTTCTCACTCATAAGTGGGAGCTGAACAATGAGAACATGTGGACACAGGGAGAGGAACATCACACACTGGGGCCTGTCAGTGGGTGGGGGGAAAGGGGAGGGAGAGCATTAGGACAAATAGCTAATGCATGTGGAGCTTGAAACCTAGATGACGGGTTGGTAGATGCAGCAAATTACCATGGCACATGTATACCTATGTAACAAACCTGCATGTTCAGCACATGTATCCCAGAACTTAAAGTTTTAAAAAATGAAAGTATGCAATATGTGTATGTGTGTATATATGTATATAAAACAAGCACTCATTTTCATTATGTACATATATGCACATTATGAGTGTGAATATATGTTAAATAATATCCCATCAGTTTTGTATTTGTAACACATATATGTACATGCATATACAACAAATAGAGGTGTTTTGCATAATAATTTCATTTATATTCATTTCATCAGCTAAGAACTAAAGAGAATTTAAATCAAAATCAATTATTCATTTACAGGTGTTTTTAACCATTATCTCCCCCTTTATCTTCACTTTTATGCCTCCTTATATTGCCATTTTGTGACTTTTTTTGCCATAAATTATACATATTTGGAACAGTCACTTTAAGAAATTCAATCTTTGGGTAAGATCTCTAAGACTGATTTAGTATGAATATGTGTGTGGGCACACACTTGACAAAGAAAGGTCATTTATAAATATATGTGTACACTTATCAAAATAATTCACATAAAATCTCTGAATAAAATTATCTGTACGCTTTTTCTGTCAATAAAAGCAATATAGTATAATTCTTGGTAGTAAACCTCTTTGTTTTCATTCTGTTGCCCACCATGTGAGCTGCCATGTTGGTATAATACCTTGATCATTTGATATTTTAATACAGCAAATAATAGTGATCCCCCCAAAATAATAAATAAATAAATAAATCAGTGAGTTTCAAGGAAATAAATTGTTTGATGGATCAGATAATTTGAAGTTGTTAGTTTGTTCTCTATCAAGGTGAACGAAGATGAAAACTAAAGTTCTCAAGGCCAGTGCATACATCAGTCACCATTACCAAATATCTTGACACCTATATTGCCAAATATTTCATGTACCGCTTTAGTGGTGATTAATCAATGTGCCATGGCACTGAAACTGAAACAAGACTTTGTAGTACAAGTGATATTCAAAGGGTTTTGAAAATTTATCAGCCCTATAGATATAGATGAAAATTTATCATCTATATCTATCTAGAAATACTGTTTTTATAAATGTTACCTATCCAAATATTGGTTTTATTTACTTAATATTTAGAAAACATGAGTTTAGTAAAAATTGTTCAGATTTTCTTAATGTAGTGTGTGAAATTACTATGTAATTATACAAGAAATATGCTACACAGCTGAATATACAAATAGGCCAGCAGAGGTAGCAAAAGGTGCCCTTCAGTGTTATTATCTCCCCTATAATCTTCAGCAACATCACCCGCTCTTCTCTCTACACCACTGATGTATGTTATCTAAATCAAGTTCTGTGCAAATGCCACCTCAACATGAGTCCTCTAGCCTTGCCTTCTTATCAGAATGCAGCTTGCAAGCCCCAATATGTAATTCTAGAGCCACCTCTGAAAAATACACACTTGTTGCAAGTATTGAAAAGCCTCATATTGCAAATTCAGAATTTACAATATTGAAAAAATTAATAATTTTTTTAAAAAGTTACAATACTGTGAACTATATAAAATGAATTGTGCTGGGATCAGATGACTCTCTTCATTCCAGCCTATCTTATATTTTCTCATTAATTTCTCCATATAGTCACAACTAACAACAACAGACTCACTATTACATTTCATTAATTGGCTATTTTATAATAAATGATCTCAATAGCATTTCTGAACTGTCTGCTGTTCTGGTTTTACATAATTCTTGAATTTTTGAATGAGTTAGTTTTTTATTGAAAAAGACCTGACTCTTATGCTTAGAAAAGCCATCATTTCTTTCTGTAAGCTTTCTATCTTCTATAAGCTTTACATGTTCCATAAGCAAACATTCACTGGTTTTGTGATCAAACTAGAGAGGCAAATTCAGTTAATAATAACAACGTCATTTATCATCCTCAAATCTAGTGTTATGGATAATATGATTTCCACAAGGAGATGGTTGCATGAGCGACAAGAGAAAGACAATCAACAGTCTTTTACTCATACCAAGATATGTGCACACACACTTGTTTCCACAGTCAAAGTAATGCCATATGTCCCCAGTGATGTGGGTGGGCAAAAGGAACAGTTGGCCTGCTAATGAGGGCCATATGTACACGCAGCCTATCATACCATCCTTCTTACTTATGGTTGCTGAAAACTCAGTTGAAGTGCTTGCTCTGAGGAATAGCATGGCTGGAGGAGGGGAGGCTTCCTTAATAGCAGGAAAGGACCATTTGTTGTACAACTACTGTATCTCTGAAACTGGGAGCTAAAAATATGCATGTACAATACTCATTCTCATTAAGAGTTACTTAAGCATCAGTAGAGTTCTTTATTCCAGTTTCACCTTATTTCACTAAATTCTTTTGCATTTATGTGCAAAGGGATCTTTGGCCCTTTTCAAAAATTACCTTTCATAATCAATCTTGTTAATTTGATGTTCAGTTACACCAACCTCTCTTTATTTTTAGCTTGATCTTCAGAAAATTTATACTTTCTTTGACATTGTTAAATGTTACAATATTAAAAGAAATGAAAAAGACTTAAAAACTTAGAATATTTGAATGAGGGTTGCTGGAAGGCAGAGAGAGCAATAAGGCAAAAGTACTTACTTACTGCACTACTGTTCCAAAGTAAAAAAAAAAAACGAAGATTTTAAAAATGATTATAGCAGCTTTGTATCTCAACCAGGGTTTCCTTTGAAATTTCTACAACTGCAAACACTATTCAGCAATTTACACTGATTATAAAATTTATTGTTTTAAGGTCAATTGTGATACTGTGATCAGATAATAAAATTTACTTTACTCTTAATGGCTTCATTTTGACAAATGAGGGAGCTTTTAGGAAGGACAATGCCCCCTGCACAACAACCAGTTAAGCATGTCACATCCATTTACAATATAATTTTAAGAAAAATGAAGGACAAACTACTTGTGAGGCAGCAAGAATTCATTTGCATTAAATTAATTTGAACAGGGCATTTCAAGTTCTCTCTGGCAACGACGGAATAAAGGGGAAAACGAATCTATCTTATGCAACGATCCTCTTCTAGGTTACAGAAAGATTTGAAAGGCTGACATGATCATTGTTAAATTTCTTCTAGAAGTCTATGATTAGTATCATAGATAAAACTCATGAGATAAAATATTCACAATGAATGTTTGTGAACTGCATCAATTATTATGGAACTACTGTCTAACATCCCTTTGAAAATTGATATTCTGCAAAGGTTAAAAAAACACCAACCTTTCTGTGCTTTCTTATATGGATGAGGTTTTGTAAACAAGAACTAAGCTTCACAAATAAGCACTATGGAAGATAATGTTCTATGTTAATTTAAACCTAAGTAATCCAGAAGTTGGCCTTGATAAATAATGGGTTTAATTAATATTTTTGACCCCAGCAGTGCAAATACTTTTACTTACATTTTACTAAAGCTAGATTTGACAAATCTAAGGGTATTTAATTTATCAGTAGCTGTTATCAGTCAGATGAAAACTTCCCCATCAATACCTTCTAATGGTTCAAAAATAAATTGTTACTCCCACAGATACATTGTTTTTCCATGCGTAAGCAAGCACATTAATTTCAGGTTCTCAATGCACAAAAATATTATTACCACTTGTGATAGGCTGCATAATAGTCCCAAAAGATGTTCTTGGCCTAATCTCCAGGCCCTGGGAATGTGCTGCCTTACACAGCCAAAGGGACTTGTAGATATGATTAAGTTAAGGATCTTGAGACAAAGTGATTATCCCAGATCATCTATGTGAGTCCAAAGTAATCACAGGAGTCTTTAGATGAAGTAGAGAGAAGGACTCAAAGTTAAAGGAGGAGACAATGCGGAGACAGAAACAGAAATAAGAGCAATGCACCTTGAAAATGGAGGAATGGGTAAAAGACAATGAATACAGGTGCCACTAGAAGCAGAAAAAGGCAAGAGAATGGATTCTCCCCTCAGCACCTCGAGAAGGAACCAACACGGCAGACACATTGACTTAGCCTAATTAAAGTGATTTTGGACTTCTGACCTTTGAAACTGTAAGACGATAAATATGTGTTATTTTAAGTTATTTAAATGTGTGGTAATTTGTTATAGCAGCAGTAATGCAACTAATACACCACTACAATAAGCAAAGGAAATACAGTGCAATAGTGACAAACTTAAGGGATTCCAGAAAGGAGAAATGAAGTGGTAAACTCAATCACAGGATTATATTAGTAACTGTATTATATGTTACTTGCTTACCCTTTCAATCATATTATTGCTGTAATTATCATTATCATCCAATCAATATGATTACACTAGTACGTATAACTTAGAGATGAAAATTTTTTTCTATTTCACCCTTCCCATAATTCCATGCAGCTACCCCTAAGCAACCGTGTATCTGATGGAGCTAATATTTTCATGGAAAAATCTTCCATGTTAAGCAGAAAATTTACATCTAAAATTAAATTCCTTTAAGCCAGTCTGGGGACAATACCTAGAAAATTCAAATATTACTTCTCAAGAATACCACTAGCAGTGAGTTTGTGATGCTCTCTTCCACCAACTGAAAATTAATTTTAAAGATTTTCAAAGCAATATTTTAAAAAATCGTGTACAAATTTTTCCTCTTGGTAAAAATAAACCACTTCTCAACCCTCCATTATATTTATGTTAATTACATGAAGTCCATACATGAATTATCATACCACAAATAGAAAACTATTTAAATAGAAAAATCTCACTTGGTGCTGACAGTAAATTAAGTTGAAAGGAAAAGAGTCCCAACTCCCACCCCCAAACTTAGAGACCAAGGTTGCCTTGTCACATTCTGTGCCCAGACCTTCTACTTCCACGCCTTCCCAATCCTTTCCTTGGCTTGGAAAATTGGGCATGAGGCAAGCAAAAGGAAGGACAGAAGGCCAAAATGGGCATCCGGGAAACCAAATTTCTGTCTTAAAAGCTTGTCTAGAAACACATACATAATGCTTGCCTTTGGGGACATTTCCTAAAACCCCATTCACTTAAGCTAATTCCATCCGAATGCCTCCATGCTGGCTGTGAGGATCGCAACCACCCACCGCCCATCCGCCCACTCGCAGACTGTGCAGCTACCGCCAAAACCTTCCGTGAATTTGGGAAATATAAAGGCAGCAGTGCTTGGGGGAGCTGAGCAGCCTCGCCAATTCCACGTCTCTGGTTCGAGACCCCTCCGTTCACCTCTTTGCCGAACTCACCTGGAGTCAGGTTTAGACGACAGCCTCCACCCAGGGGGACTGGGAAGCAACCCTGGGAAGCTCCGCAGCGTCCGTGTGAATAATGAGCGCAGCGCAGCGGAACAGCTCCCCCCCGGACCTGCTGCTCCGGCTGCTCCCCGATTTCTTCCACTCTCTGTCTGGGAGCCGTCTTTCCTTTTCTTTCCTCTCCCTCCCCTGCCTGCAGCTACCGCGCTCCCTTCTCCTGGTGGTGGCGCAGGGCTGTCCTTCCGCCTCCCTCCTCCAGGCGCAGGAGCTGCCCGTGCTACTAATGAGCAGGCTCCAGGCTCCTCCCGGTCTGGGGTGCGCACAAGCCCCACGCCAGAAACGAGTTCCCAGGAGCAGAGCTATGGATATGCCTTGTGCGGCCACTGGAGAAATGAACTGGAGGAGGCAACCATCTGTACCCCTCTAGCATCTCACACTTTCTAGCCACTCAGCTTAACTAAGCCATAACCCCAGACTTCTTCCTAAATCTCTCCCGTAACTTACAAGTGCTGAAAAGTAAATGAGGGGTTTGAGCACATATCTGTGTTAACATTATTGTTTGTATAGAGATGCTAATTTGGCTAGATTCTAGGGATGAAATGTTGAAGGAATGGTACATGATTTTGTCTGGTTGCTATTTTGACTGTACTTACAGATCTGTAACATAAACCAGCAATCTTCTAATCATGACAACACAGATTGCTAATGGAAGGCAACTGATACTTATTGAATACCAGGCTCTGTTTAATAGTCTCTTTTTTCCCAGCTAATCTTTACTACAATTCTGTGAGCACTACTAGCATCCCTATTCTATATTTTAAGAATTTGAGACTAACTTTTAAAACAAGACGGTCTTAAAACAAGACTAAGTAACATGTTCCAGCTCGCAGAGATTCTAAGTTTCTGAGCCTGAATAATAACTGAAATCTGTAGCTCTCACAACCCATACCCTGTGTATAACGTGTTGCAGCGTCTTGGATGGTACTGTGTAATTGAACCAGCAAAGATAACAGGACTATCAGCAAATACACACCACGAGACTAATGAATACCTAGACTCCTAGTGAGACTTGTAAATAGTTTTTCCTTAGGAAAAAGATAAGAATTTTTTTCCATGGTATAAAATACTAGAATATGACTTTTATATTTTTCTTCATGAAGATTAAAGAATTAATAAATTAAGTACAGACATATTTATTGTCAACAAATCTATCCAGATCATTCATTCTCCACTCAAGAAATTATTCTAGGCAAGCTTTATTTCTCCATATGTATGAGGCAATTCAGAGGTCAAAAATTTTAAAACACTTAAATTAATATCAACCATTAATTAACTAAGAGTAGATTTTATTTATAAACAACTTTAAAAGACTATGAACAAGGTATAACAAACTTCTACTTTATAAATACTACTACTTCTACTGAACACAAAGATATATAATTATAGTTTTCTCCCTATTTAAAATATCTATTGATTCTGGCATAATAATGTCATACTCATCCCTCAATAATCAGTGTACATGTAACCAGAAATCTTTTTTATTCATCTAGCCAATGTAAGTATCTCTGTGTTTTGCATGTTAACACTCTATTTATTCTGTGTTTCTAGTGCTTATCCTCAAAATTTTTATAGTTCTGTTCACATATGAATTCTACCAATCAGCACTGTATAAATAATGAAACATATAAAATGTGTTAAATAAATGGATGTAAGGTTTATGCTAAATTTTTCACATAGTAAGTGCTTCAAAACCCTTATTATTTTTCCTTAAGCTTTTATGTGTGCATATTTTATCTCTCCAACTAAAGAATAAACTTCTAAATAAGAATAGTTTTGTCTATAAATTTTATGCATTTTAACACATTATTAATCTAAAACCTTGGACTAGAGTTTGGAAATTCTTTTATGTATTCATTTATTGATTCAAAAAATAGGTTTCCATGCCATTTTTTCTAAACCTTGTGCAAGATGTAGGGTATAAAATGATGTCCAAACTTGATAGAGTCCTTGACCTCATGGAGTTTAAGGTGCAGTAATGTACAGTAATTTTAAAATCTATTTATTATTATTTGAAACAATAAATGAATATATTCTTGCCAAAAATAAGTGAAAAGTCTGTCTGAACTCCTTGGCCAAGGCCAAAGCAAGAAAGCAAAAGAGCTGCCTGAAAACACTGCAAGCCACTCTCAAGAGGGTTTCTCTGTTGAAACAGTACATCTCATTATGGAAATGATGAGAAAAATTAGTAACTGTGCAAATGGCAGCACACATGCATCTTTGTGGTTTCTGACCTTTTAGCATTGTCAAAGGAAGACCACAAACCTTTCAACACCATGCGTGGTATTAATCTTGCACAGAATATAATGTTTTCACATATTTTATTCTGATTTCCTATAAAGTAATTTCAACTTTTAGCTAAAGCTAATGGATTTTTCTAGTGAAAACATTGTGTACTGAATGGCTTTCCAGTGAGATCGGCGTACCATGCGCCATTTTCATGCTCATACTCATTTCTCCGAAGTCTGTTTGCCTTTAATTCACCATGATAAAATTCCTTGTGTACTTTTATTGGCAACCATCGCATAGTGACACTTGCATCCAAATGTAATTCAATTTGAGCTTGGCAGTGTTTGCTTTTTTATCAGAAAAGGAAAGTTAGAGGGAACGAGGTGCAAAGATGTGTGTAAGAACATCTGAGGGGCCATCACAGCATCATCACAAATTCAAGATTTTTTTGAAACATTAGATAAGGGACTGAGAGCCATGCCCTGGGATGGCTGAAACACTTCACAACCTGCTCATGTTTATGAGCAAAATCATCACCTAAAATGAATTCAATGTATAACTATCATAATATTGTTTGTGTATAAGTAATCATGAAGCAGTGTTAGGGAAGGGAGTATAATCTAGTAAGAAATTGGAACAAAAAAATGTTAGACAAAATTCAAGAAGATTTAAAAGAAGAAAATTATCCTGTCTGTTCTGAACAGAATTGAAAAAGCACATCAATCATAGCTCTATACATTGACCATAGACTTAAAGCATAACATAAAAATAAAGAAGGCAGATAACTGAGGAAAACATTTCTATAAAATCTACTCCGTAAAGTTTTCCCATACTTTTATTTTACTAACAGGAGCATACATTTAAATCTCACAAAATCAAATATATTTTGCTGATTCAATTTGTAGCAGATAGAGGAGCGCGTCCCAGTGCTATGACAGTGAGTTGTCACTATAACATACCACTGCTTTACATCTTACCCACAGGCTAAAATGTTTACCCCTAGAGTCATGACTTTGTATACGGCAGGGGATTGCTACTAAAAGCAAATATATGTGGCTGAAGGGTAGATAAATCTTTAGGCCATTATATTACTCACTAAAATTTAGCAGGCATTTACATATTTACCTACTTAGTTCATATGACAAATATGTTTGAGAGTCTGCCATATACAAAAAAGAAAAAGATGGAACCATCTTACAAATTTAGAGATTACTGAAAGAAATGGAACTGAAGGGTTAATCGTGATGGCAAAAATGAAGAGAGCAAAACCAGAGGGTACTTCAAGGAGAACAGGCCTGGGAGAGGCATTATAATTTGGAGGGTGCTATGATTTGAACCTATGTGCCCATCCAAAGTTTGTATGTTGAAACTAAAATCCCAGGATAATGATATTAAGAGATGGGGCTTTTGGTTAAGTGATTAAGTGAAGAAGGACCCACCCTCATGAATGAGATAAATGCCCTAATAAAAGATGCTTTAGAGGAATGCCTGGCTCCTCAGTCTCTTCTGCCATGTCCTTACATTGTCCGTTTTTGCCCACTTTTGTCATGTGAAGACGAAGCAAGAAGGTGCCACCTTGGGAGCAGAGAGCAGTCCAGACCAACCGCCAAATCTCCACTGCCTTGATTTCGGACTTCTCAGCCCCAGAACTGTGAGAAATACATTTCTGTTTTTTATAAATTACTCAATCTGTGGCATTTTGTTATAGCAGCACACAGACAAAAACAGAGGGTAAACAGCCTGGTGAGAGTGGATATTTTAGAAACTTGAGATGATTTAATGTCGCTGATTCTCCATTTTCTCGTATGTAAAATGAAGGAAATAATGCTGATTACTTCATAGTTCATTGTGCAAATTAAATTAACTAAACTATGTAAATAAAGCAAGCAATATAGTTCCTCTTATCTAGTATACACTGTTTAAGTATTGTTATTATTACATGAGGAAACCAAGAACTTCCCCACACAGAAGGATGTGGCAACCAAAACCAAGATGTAAGAAAGAACCAAAGTTCACTGTGACAATTTGGTCAAGCGCTGGTTAGGGAAGATAGCATAATGTTACATATAGATATTATTTTAGGATAATTTTACTCTCCCCGAACTCCTCTAGCACTTTTCCTAGGTCTTTCATTGCACTTCTTAGTTTGTCTCTTTAATTATGGTTATTTATATAAATCTTTTAGCTTCCTACAAAAATAAGCTTGTAGTGGGACAGATTCTTAAGGATCTATGTCAAAGCAATTTTTCTATTTCCTACAGCAAGTAACCCAGCAGTAATCACCCAGAATTTGTTAAAGGAAGAAACACAGGAAGATTAATTTCAATTTTTTCTTTGCTAATTTTTAATCAGAATTATACCATTGTTAGGGAGGGAGAAATTATAAATTGTGAGGACATGAGTATTAATATTTAAATCTGTTATTCTGCTTTATTTTAGAGTTTGCCATGTTTTGTGATTAAAAAAAAAGAAACAGGGCATTCTATATAGCTGTTGCAAAACGTGTGGTCTGTTGGTGAACTAGCAGCACCAGCATTACCAAGAGTTCCTTAGTTTGCAGGACTATTGAGTCAGAATTCGTATTTTGACAAAACTCCAGCTGATTCATGCTATGCATTTAAGTTGGAGAAGCACTGTTTTATAGTTCTCCTTATGTCCTAAACGCATTGTCAGTGAAAGAAAATACCATATGTATGATAATAATAGTGGTAATATTAACAAAAATGTAACTGTTAGTAATTTTATATGCTCTCCCAGATACTAAGTCCTTTATTTAATACTTGTGATAATTCTGCGAAGTTGCAATTGATATCACCTACTAAACTGATACTCAGAAATCTGAAGTAATTCTCCAAGGTCACAAAGCTAGTGAATCACAAACAAGATTTTTAAACTCTTGCTGCTTCATTCCAAAGACTAAACTGTTTCTAACTCACGGTTAATACATTTGCTTCTGCCTTCCATTTCCTGAATGTGGTTTCCTTTCTATTTCATTAACTTTGTTTATACATGACTGATTTTTAACCCTCTCTAATATTTTCAGAATACGGTGTACTATAGGTTAATAAGGACAATACCAAGTAATATCATGTTGAGAAAGTGTGCAGAAGTAGCATCAAAAAACAGAGACTTTTTCCAAAATGTTTACTAAAAACGTTCAATAAAAACAAGACTTTCTACTTAGAAATTCTACCTTGCATAACTCAAAAGGAACATGATTATTAAAATGACAAAAAAGATTCCATAATTGCCTAAGAGCTAAGAATAAGAATTGCTATATAAAAAAGCATAAATATGCCATGTGAATGACATCTATAAGAATCATCGGAGTGCTATCTGGTATTTAGTATTTAGTTCCATTCTGCAGTATGATCAAAAAGAAGCGTCTGTATAATTCACTGTGCATTATAGCACAATAAATCACCTCATTAGGCTCAGATATATGTAAAGATTTACAGTCTGGGAAAGTCCACTGGGTATTCTTAATCACTTCTTAGACTGTACCGTCCCCCATATTTCTCTTTGTCTATAGAAAGGTTGCACATGGAAAGGCTTTATTTTAAATCCGGCAATGAATGGAATGTCTGTGAAGCAAGAAATAGATGGAAATTGACATTTTAAAAGAAAGATTGGCTTCTGAAGAGATATAGCTGTGACCTTGGTCTTTTTGTTGGAGCGAAGTATTCCCTAGCCTTACTGCACTATTTTTCCCAAAGCACTCTTTGTATTGTTCTCCCTTCATCTCTGGCTCCTATCACATGGCCCCTCCCTCATTCTATCTGTTGACTTCTGAGAAAAATGCTTAAATTCTCCAGAGAAGATTGAGAACAATGCTAAATATTCCTCAGAGAAGCAAAATGTTAACAGTTTATAGTTTCACATGAAATTCTCTATCTCTTCTCTCTTTCTGTCTCGTGTGTGTGTGTGTGTATACAGTATAATATACAGTAGATATGTATATATACAGTATAATATACAGTATATATAGTATAATATACAGTAGATATATACAGTATAATATACAGTATATATAGTATAATATATAGTATAATATACAGTATATATAGTATAATATATAGTATATATGTATATCTATACAGTATATGTATACACACACACACACACACACACACACACACTACCATTTACCTCCCAGGCTATACATCCTGAAATCTTAAAAGTAGAAAGCCCTCACAGGCCACGGTTGCTCATGCCTGTAATCCCAGCACTTTGGGAGGCCGAGGCGTGCGGATCACCTGAGGTCGGGAGTTCGAGACCAGCCTGACCAACATGGTGAAACCCCATCTCTACTAAAAATACAAAAAATTAGCTGGGCGTTGTGTTTTGTGCCTGTAATCCCAGCTACTCAGGAGGTGGAGGCAGGAGAATCACTTGAACCCGGGAGTCGGAGGTTGTGTGAGCCGAGACCATGACATTGCACTCCAGCCTGGGCAATGAGAGCGAAACTCCATCTCAAAAAAAAAAAAGGTGGAAAGGTCTTAAAAGACTTTTGAAAATGAGATTTGTCAAATATTTCTTATTAGAGATGAAGAAAATAAGTGTGGACCCACATGTAACCTGTCTGAGGTCACAGAGGTAGGGACCCACACATAACGTGTTTGAGGTCACAGAGGTAGGGACACACACGTACCCTGTCTGAGGTCACAGAGGTAGGGACCCACACTAACCTGTCTGAGGTCACAGAGGTAGGGACCCACACGTAACCTGTCTGAGGTCACAGAGGTAGGGACCCACACGTAACCTGTCTGAGGTCACAGAGGTAGGGACCCACACGTAACCTGTCTGAGGTCACGTAGGTAGTCATGCTGCAGCAGGCTTATTGGTTATCCTCTATGACATGTATTATTTTTGTTTTTGATCATTTCAAGAGGTTTCTAGTCGATAGTGGGACAAAATTTCTAATTTGGGAACCTAATTTTCTCTTCAAATCTTCTTTACATCTCTAGCTTATTAATACACCTCAGAAGTGTTACAGGAATTAATTAGCAGGATTTTGAAGAATATTTTGAGGTATGCTGGGAAAAATCATGTCAAGTATCAATGATTAGAAGCTAAACAATCAATACTAGATATAGTAAAATTATATTTAAACTTCCATATGGCATAAATAAGTTATTTTAATGTACAGTCAATGTACTTTGTAAACTTGCATATAAAATATTTGAAAAAATAACTTGCAATATATAAAATGTAAATATGCAAAGGAACAGAAAGGAAAAAATAGGTGAAAATAATCAGGCTAAAAAAACAGTACAGTGTCATCCTCAGAAGACTATAAAAGGATTCTCAACCTCAAGAAACAGAAGAACTTGAACATGGAAAATACCCTCTTCTAGCTGTACTGATTATGGTACATAATTTTAAAAGGCTTTTAGAGAGAAGGGAAATGTTTTATTATGTATTCAGCACAGTGTTATGGTGATGTTTCTTAACTATCAGCTATTTTTAAAATTCCCATAATCTTTCTATAGATGACAAAGTTACATAAATATGAAGGATAAGAAGAGGCCCTGCAAAGGTGATAATACAATTCTCTTTTCAATGATAAGATATTTCTAAGCATGCATCTGCTAATCATATTGATGTGCATTTAGTGTTCTTTTACCTACCCCTGTCAAAGTGGCTAAAGTAATCCTTCATAAGGAGATAATTTTTTCTTGTAGGTGATTTTTTTCCACATAATACTCTAACATTTCCAATTCAATTTTTCTCGAAAAAGTTTACATGATATGCATATACAGTTACTAAAACTTTGGCTGCATAAATAATTTAAATGGACTTTACTTCAAAGATAATATTTACTTTTAAAGTTGTAAACCTTTGAATCATCAATTAATTAGAATTATCTTATATCTTTCTTTATGAATAAAGTTTTTTGTCCCTACATATTTATGATTTGGAAATTTTCACCTGGAAAATTTCATTTTCATTTGGATGCCTTGTCTTTAGTATAAAATTCAATATTTCAATTTCAATATAATTTTTTTATTGATTTTTACCTGAAATTATGATAAAATAAGAAAAATGAAAAATAGAGATAAACTTTAAATACAATGTTATTTGTGCTTAATAATAAAATCAAGAAAGTAAAATATCTAAAATAATAACTATTTAAATAAACAAAGTATCATATAATGGGCAAAATATTCTTCTGGCTAGTCAGATGATTTTGACAGGTTGTTTACAGGTTCTGAAGTTCAGTTTGCTCATCTCTAACATGAGGTTGAACTAGTTATGGCTTGTTTGGCTGAACTCTGTAAAGCTGGTCAAAAAAGTTGCATTTGGATTCTTCTTCCTGTTACTGTATACAATAGAATCCTTCCTGTTTCTACCATAAGATTCAGAACACAGTCTCTGACCTTTCCGAATAATTTCCAAGTCTCCTTGTTCTACTGAAGCCTTCTATAAATGGCTGTACCATGCACCCTGTTTGTCAACACCAAACTCGAAGTATACCTGATGTCATCCCTTCCTTTACCATCTTCCTACCTGTATCCAATCTGTAGCTCAACCATTTCAAACTTGAGAAATTTCTCTCATGCATCCATTCTGCTCATTCTCCATAATAACCACTCTAGGTCAAACCACGGCCAAACCCATCAGTTCAGTTCAATATTTTGATGGGTCCCTAATGTGTCTGCATATTTCCACTTCCCCCTTCTACTATCTGTTCTCTAGAAAGCAAAGAGAGTAATCACCAAAAAAAGAAAAAGAAAAAGAAAACAGGAAAGGAATTACATCAGGTCACTGCCCTAGATAAATCTTCCAGAAGCTTCTCAATACTTGTGCAAGAAAGCTCACACCCCATATTCTGACCCCCTAACTCTAAATGTATGTATAACCTCATGTCATGCATCCCTCACTTACTATGCTCCAGCCACCATGGACTTCTGTTACTCATACACACTGAACATTCTCCTGTGAGAAGGCCTTGTCATGTGTTCTTTTGGTTGCCTGGAATTCTCTTGTCATCTTCTCCTCTTTCAGGCCTGAGCTTAATTTCCTCAAAGTGGCCTTTCTTGATCCCACCTTATCTCACTTCATCTTCAATCTCTTTTAAAAATCCTCAGTCTGATTTTTCTTCATAGCGTTTATTATAATATATCAATATCTTGTCTATTTATGTGATTACTAACTTATACTGAGGAGAGCCTTTTGAAGAATATCTCAATAGGCTGAGTTTCTACTCCTTTGTCCTCATCCCTCAATTCCCAGCACTTGGCACAGGTTCGAGTACAACAAACACTTACTGGCTGGATAATGAACTGCATATAAGATAAAATCAAACAAACCTTGGGGAATTGCAGGCATGTTCCCTTACTCTTGTACTCTTATGCTTAAAGTGAAAATATATTCATGTTATATAATAAAAATATGTCCAGCTATATTGGTACAAAAAAGGGTTATTTTTTTTTTCCTTATCCCATGTTGGTTTGGGTTTTCCAGTAACCTAAAATGCAAATTTATATGCTGAAAGTTTATTAAGAAACACCCTTGGGATTAAAAGGAAGCAATATTGGGCAGAGGAAGGTTAGCTGTGATGCAATCTCAACACATTCTTCAACCAAACTTGTAGAGTTCTTCAGAGGTGTCTGAATTGGGACACGGAGGGTGGGCTTCTGTACCTCACACATCAGTCAGTCACTGTGTAAAGGCTTCCCTGTAAAGGAACATGACCGCGGGAATTTCTACAACCAAGAAATTTCCCATAGAAGGCTGACAGCTAAGGGCTCTCTGCCACAGTTCTCCCACCAGCTAGGAAAATCAGTCCTTCATTCATAAAGGATGTGCAAGACAATATATCACAGAGGCCAGTGTAATCATGTTGCAATTATCTTCAAGTCATCATTGAAACAGAGTGGCTGTTTTCTCCTACCAGCCATGTTAGCTCACAAATATATTTAATAACAATATAAAGTGATAGATAAAAATCTGGGGCGATAATGGGAAAACCTTGTTATACTCCTGGGGTTGTTGTTAAATATTTAGGTAATAGAGGTAATACATAGATAAATGTTTAGACCATGGGCCCATCTAAAAAATTAAAATGCTCAGATTGGCTGAATTTTAATCCAATGAAGTACTATTTTTAAGACTCTCGATGCAGACAGATCTATTTTGTCTGTAGTTAGCTTAATTAAATTGTTATCTCCTTTTTATTATTTTATTGTATTTGTAGCTAGCAATCCATTATTGAAGGAGAAAATACAACTCTTGAGAATGTGGTGGTATTTCCTATTTACAGATTATCCTCCCCTGAGTGGCAGCAAAATGAACTAAAATATTCACCAAATCAAGAAAACAACTTTACTAAGAAACAAGGAAATAAAATAATCTCATATAAACTTCAAAAATAATGACCAAATACTATTCACTTGGACACATGAGAAAGCAAAAGTTGGATTTGGAAACCTTTGTTAGTGACCTCATGCTTCTCCCTAGATGTTTTTAAGATTCTCTCTTAAACTTTGATACTTAATAAATTTCCTAAAATTTGTCAGAGTAATTGTTTATTAGGCTTCATTTCAGAATACTTGATGTCAAAAGACAAATGAAAAGATGTTGGCAAAGTCTTTATATAAGAACAAAATATTCTATGCCAAGTGCAGTTGACATTTATATATTCCCAGATCATAGAAAAACATTGCTTAATAAAAATAAAAATCTGGAAGTCTATTACCCATGTACCCCTCTCCCTCAAAGTGTCCACTAGAAGATGACTTTATTTTGATAGAGCAAAATAAATAACTCACAACAAATGTGTTAGGATGAAAGTATTGATGTTAATATTGTATTAGTAAATAGAATTAAGTCCCTTTTTAAAGAAAAATTATACTTAGAGGTATAAAACAGGATATAAGATGACAGGCTCAATAATCTGTGGTCAAGACTTCAGTATGTATTTACACCCAATTAAGGGGCAAAGAAGAGGTATATGTAAAGCTTTCTTCACTTTACAAATAACGATCATTCATATGATGAAACTGAGAAATGTGCATTTAAACATATGATTGAAAAGTGTAAAACTTATTAAAATTATATTTAAAATCCTATAATCTTTTAAAATTACTGGGAAATAGCAAAAAATATGGCATAGCAATAAAACAATATGACAAATATGGAGTCAAATAAAATAGAAAGAAACTATTAAAAATGGGGGAAAAGTCTTCATATGTCAGAAATTGAAAAAGTACTTAATACAACCAAAAATTGGGGGAAAACATGAAAAACAGATCATTAAAGTGTGTTATGAAAACACAAAAGCACACACAACACACAGCAAGTATATACTATAGACCCAGTAAGAGTACCTAAAGCAGAAAGTAAAATGATAGCAAAAAATATAACCTGGCAAAGAAACAAGAGAAGAAACTAGGAACTGAAATTGTAGTATCAGAGTTAGGAAATCTTAATATTGAAAGATATAGTTTATAATAAATATATAATATTTAGAAATCTTTATGTCCCAAATACATAAAATTTGGACAAATTCAAGGAATGCAAAGTGAAATAAGCATGACCGTGCAGAGAGACTTGAAATCGCCTCTGACAAAGTAAAAAGTCCTGTAAATAAAGTAGAAATGATCCTGTAATAATAACATCAGTAAGAATGACCAGGTAGCTATATAGTAAAATCTATACTTCATAGGATCTATATTTCCTAAGTATTCATAGCATAATTATGAAAATTACTGCTGTGTTAGGCCACAAAAACATCAATAATTTCCTGAATAAGTAAAAACATTTGTAGAACATACAGGATTATGATGTATTCAGTAAGAGCACATTTCTGTTTATGCCCACAAATTTACATAGGGAGGAGATGGCCACTCGGGCTCACGACCTGTTGTGTCTTTATGGGTTACAGTTACTGTAACTTCGCTGATGACATAGGCTATGATGCTTGACCAAGGCCAAATAGGAGCAAAGGAAAATAAGGTGTCTTAGGGAACCGATTGTAAGAACTGGAAAAGAATAAATTTGTTAATGAATTATCTGCCACAAAAGCTGGATGGAGAAGAAATGTTAGTTTGATATATGCAAAACAACTGACACCACAATCCCTTCTAGTCCAACCATCCTACTGGCAGGGTGTGTACTGGGGAAATGAACATCAAGTGAATTCAAAGAATTTGACTAAATGAACACTGGGAGCTATTCTGCAACACGGAGCCCTCTTGATTAAACGGAACCACAGGAAGGAAAATTTCTCTTCTAGACACCATTGTGGCACAGCAGAAACTCTGGATCATAGTACGTAGAGTTACAAGACACAGTTATCGTTTGTGACTCAGGTTGGCCCATCTATTCTGCCTAAAATAGTTTTCAGAGGAGGTGACATCAAGACTTTTTTTGTGGCAATTATAGCAAGTTCTGAAATTTTGAATGATAAACTTATGTGGAAAAAAATTTTTAAACTGTGCTTATTACTGGGAAAATTAAATTTTATTTTTTTAAATTACACAACACAGAAGAAAATCATTAGTAATCAGTATTTTACATTTAATGAAAAGGCATTAGCAGAAACTAAAAAGTTAATTTTTACTGGAATTGAGAAGAAATGAAACCTAATACCTTAGTCATTAATCAAGAATAAATTGGGAGAGTCCAAAAGTGTTACTCTGACTTTTTAGTTCAATCTCAGTGGCTTTGAATATTTACTTTCAATGAAGACAAGCCAGTTCATGGATATAAAAGGAGTTTATTAAACAAATGTCACTTTAATTTGTTCCTGGAATATATTATGTGAGCTTCTGGTGGCTGATTCATCCTGCTTATTATGTTTTATTCATGCTAAAATTAAGAAGAGTTTCATTTTATAGGACACTAAAGGTTGGTAGTTGGGGGAACCGTAATGCGTAGCAGGTGGCAGGGAAAGCCGGTGAAGAATTAAGAAAGAGGCACTTAATGTTTAATGAAAACCAAAACTGTTGATAATTATAAAAGGACTCGGTCATATTTAAAAATGTATATTTCACTTAAAAACATTTCCTCAATTAATTTATTATGACCTTTAAACTTTGGTTCCAGGTTAAATGATCAGCTCTCACCTGGGTACACTCAGCATAACCTCTATACTTGATGAGTAAAATGCTCCTATTAAATGTCATTCTCACTCTATAAACATCTTTCGAAATAATTCTTTATTTATATAACTCTCCACCCATCAACTCTTAAGAATGTCTTATTCATCTTTCTATCTACAGTGTAAATACGCAAAGACTGTATACGCAAACAGTAACTTAAAAGTCTACAGTTCAGAGTTGTACTTTGTAACTTAATGTATTGCCACATAGAACCCAATTTTTAATATGCTCATCAGTTTTGCCTCCTCACTGTTAGAATTCAGAATTTATTATTTTGTGAATAACAAAGTGTGTCCTGGCTTTAACAACCTTGAAATTTTTGAACCATGTCGAGTGGTACCTGGAGCAGAAACAACTATTTAACAGCCATATATTATTTCAGTTTAGCAAGAGGTGGACACAAATTCAAATGTAAGAAATAGCATTCCTTGGTTTTATGAAAAGTGCAAAAAAATCAATCGTTTCTTTACATATATGTGAAGCAAATATGACCCACTATCTTGAGAGAAACTAGAATATCCTGATTGCGGATACTTTAATCCAAAAATCCAGCTGTGAAGGAAATTCAAATTGCTGTTCAATTGTTTTAAAAGAGTTATGGTTCTATAGATACTGCAACTTCTTTGGGGAAAGTGTTTGTGTTCTCATGTGGTAGTAGATATGATGAACTATGGGTGGTTCTCAAGCACTTGTAAAGTACGGTCATTAGTTAGAAATAAGGAATGAGGAGAAAGAGCACTGGAGACAAGACATATAGCATTGATCGTCCTTCTCAGGTAGAGAGATTGTAAGAAAATGAACCCCAGCATGGCAAAGTTCCACCAGGCCTGGATGTTTGATGTACTAGACATGGTCTCATTAAATGAGTATGATTTCACAGGTTTGTGGCCTTGCCAGTTGGGATATGGTTGTAGTGTGTAGAGTAAGATTTACCTTAAAGACAGATCATATTTTCTTCTTTAAATCATTTTAAGAAAAGACTGATCCCCAGAAAGGAGATGAGAATCAGGGAGGAAGGACTTTGACGAGCAGAAAAACAGGTTTTCAACTTTGTTTAGCCTCAAATGGTAGTGCCCCAAGAATTTCAAACCCTTTAATTAGTAAAGTTAATCTCAACCCTGCCAGATGAAGTAGTATTTTAATTCAGCATAGCAACTTCTTAGTAAACATCCACTCACTTCATTTACTGAGTAAAATGGTCCTATTAAATACACTCTTACAGCAATATGTACCTGGATTCTAAGCTTTGTTCTCAACTAAGTTCAAATGATTGCTTAGTATCTGGGTCCCCAATTAGACTGTAGATACTTTTCAAAGAAAACACTAAAACCAGAAATACTTTTTAAAAATAACCATAGCTACTTAATTAATGTGTTAATCTCTGTTAGTTTGTTTGATGGATTATATTTGCAAGTAGTACTTGTAATTAGCAAAAGGTCTTCAGAAGACATCTGTTAACTGCATATTTCTGTAACAGAATTGTGTGTTTTAAGAATTTTCCTCTATAGTCCAAATGTTTTTTAATAATGTTTTGCCCATATCTTTATACAAAAATTTCCCCCTATGAAATCTTATAAAGCTAAGGTAATCCATTATGAAATGAAATCAATATGAGATTGGGTCATGATAAATCTGAGATGAAGGGGCAGGTTTCTGTCAGTTAAGTGCTTAACCTTTCTACCCTCCATGACTCCCTGAAGCTATTTTTCACTTAAAAGCATCACTAACCTAGTAATTAAGCAATGATAATATAAGATGTATTGAACTACTTGTAGAGGCTTACAATCTTTTGTCTTTACTCATCTGATTTTTAGTATTATAGAAACATCAACGAAAAAGTCTTCAACAAACACGTTAATATCATTTCTTTAAAGATGGCAATATTTTAATGATGATAATATTAATAAGAGACATTATTACAAACAGCATTTTAACTTCCAAAACATTAAAAATGTTGCCTGTGTCTTACCATTTTTAATCTTATAGCACCTCTATGAGATTTGGAAGACACCTATTCTTGCTGTGCAGTAATTTCAAGTTCACTCAGAAGAAATGGCTCAATAATGCTGATTCATTCTGCATCTCCATTCTATGCTTTCTAGTTTAAGGCATTATCAAAAAGTATTAAGTATTCACTTAAATAAAATATTTTACTGGTTTGAAATAATGAAAGGGATAAATATCTGTCACTCTCATCTTACAATAAATAGAGGAGGACAAAGCAAATATGATCATGAAAGATTATTGCATGCTTCTTTGAAAGTATCAAGCAATCTGCTAGAACATTCCTCAAAGAACTCTAAGGTTAACATGAACTGGTTAAGTCATTCATTCATGCATTCATCTTTTCAAGAAGTATGTTTAAGTATCCACTAAAAAGAGTCAGACATCAGACTAATTAAAATATGAACTCAGCAACTGCCCCTTCTTTCAGATTATGTTATGCAAAAGTGCTTTTTCACTGAAATGAAGGGATGTTAATTTGAATCATGTTTGACAATATCTAGAATACTGAGCTTGAGAAACATTAAAATAACCACTTAGGAAGACCGTTTCTTTTTTTAGTTTTTATAAACCTGACTAGAAAAACTCAATAACATTTTAAAAATAGACTTCAGACATGAGTAATTGCAACCTTGCCACTTAAAAGTAGAATGCTCTCAGGAAAGTTGCTTAACTTCTTTGAAGTTCAATTTTCCATGTGTAAGCAGATTAAAAATACCTGTCTCTTAGGTTGTGGTAAAGATTAAATGAAGTATATGTAAGATTCTAAATACACAGATTTAGTATATAAAACTACCTTGATAATTAGTTTTTTGTTTCCTGGTTATCTATTGATGTATATTAGCCACCTTAAAATTTGTGGCATAAAATAGCATACATTTTAGGATGCTCATAGTTCTGAGGGTCAGGAGTATAGATGGGGTACAGAGAGGAAGGTAATCTGCCCACAAACTCTGGGGCCTCAGCTGGGAAGACCTAAGTAGGTGGAATTGTCTAGAGTTGTCTTCATTAACTTGCCTGGTCCCTAGGTTGGAATCACTCAAAGGCTAGAACTATAAACAGGAACACCTATATGTATTCTCTTTGTGTGGTTTGGGCTTCCTACAGCATGACTGTTGTGTCCCAGTAGCACACACCCAAGACAAACCACTCCAGGAGCAAACATTCCAGGATAACCAGTTGGAAGCTGCATGGTCTTTTATGACTTAGTCTCAGATGACAGGCTGTGTCACTTTCTTCTCAGCCAGCTCAAGTCTGCTGAGATTTCCACGGGTAGGCAACATAGACCATTGATAAAAGGAAAAAAGTTCTAAAAAATTTGTGGAGGCTATTTTATAAAAACCACCAAAACATGCTGACTGTTGGCAGTACTTGCTGAACTAGGGAGTATTCTGGAACTATGTGAGGACATCTTCATTGTAAGAAGTTGGATCAAGACATCCTAGGTAATGTGATTCCTGATTTTGAGCTAGTTAGGAGTGATTACAAGCTGCTTTAAAAGGGAAGTCGTTTGCTCTTTAGGTGGAGATGTTTTGCATTTTATTTTCAGTACGTTTTTTCCATTGGAATTTTGGGTAGTAAAAATTAATTTTGTTTATATTATGTGACTGTACATGGGGTCTTTCTTAGCATCTACCACATGTACTTCTATAAATAATTTGTAAGAAACTAAGTACTGCTCAGTGAATGTCACTATCAATTTCTTTAATGTTCACCATGTTAGAATGCCAAATATTGTGCTAAAACATAAAAATACATTTTCAAATCTTAACAATTCAGTTAGCACAATAAAATTATGCATTCCATGTAACACATGTCACCTTTTTTTTATTTCTTAGGAAAAAAATATGAAACTTTCATATTTAAAAATATTTACCTAAAGTATCATTGAATAAAATCCTTGCTATACATTTTTAAGTATAATTTGAAAATTACTTATTTCAAATTCATCATCTTATTTCAATTTCATCATCTTTTAATTATTTTATGCTTGTATCATGGCAAACTAGTTGACTTCCTTCTGAAAGCCACATTTGGTGTGATTGGCTAGTTCCGTCCCACACTCCAGTGATAGGAAAAGGCTCGAATGATGAGCATATGGTGCAAGTGTCACCAACTGCTGAAGAGAACTTCTGGATGTCTTAGACTTTTCTGCTTGGAATGTAAAGCTGCTACTACATGATACAAAGTAGTAGCTAAATAATCCCTTTCTTCTTTTTATTTTACTCTTGCTCCTTGTCTCTGCCTCCCTTTATCTGTTTTGTCCTGTTTGGATTTGTTTTGATTCTATCTGAAATAGTGGTAAACAGCTGTCATCTTTTTCAAGGACTGTCACTTTCTGTCAATTTGGTAATGTAAGAAAGTATGAGACTGATGAAATTTTTTAACCTGACATGACTAATCATGGCTTTCCTCTGATCATTAGCTTCTAAAAGCAACAGGACTTCTTGTTTGGATTAATTAGAATGTCATGTTAATATGCTGAAATGCCCAGCAGCAAATCACTTTGATGTTGACCATTGTTGTTGAAGGTGAGTGGGGACAGCAGTGGAGAGTGGTGAGGGGTGCCTAGACCTTAATGCTTTACTAAAGATATTAAAGCCAGAAAATAAGTTTCCTAAATTATTCATTTATTCTGACTCAACCTGCTGTTTGAAAATGGCATTTGATCTGATATTTTATTCCCTAGGTTTTCTCAGACAAAGGACACAGGAATTGCTCCTGTTCAGGCTGCTTCTTCTCTTTTGTTCACAATTCTGAGTTTGCTTATTTGAGAAGTGTGGGTTACAGCTTATATGAGAATTAAGATTATACGTATCTTTTTTCTAAAGGCTAACATCCTACAAAAAAAACATTTTAAAATATGCATTAAATTTCTCCTTAGAATTTGACTATAGCAACACGGTTTACGTCACAGTGCTATGTGATCATGAAGTTTACCAATAGCAATATTCAGTAGGTGCCACTTTGCTAGAGGATATTCCTTTTCCTTTGGGGATATACCCAGTATTGGGGTAGCTGGATGAAATTAAAAGATATATTTTAAATAATATGTGTTAGTGTGTGTATGATATTTTAAATCTAGAAAGTTAGATGTATTGTCTCGTCTTAAAATCTGCCAAAAGAGCCAAGCTTTAATTTGAGAAAAAAATATAACACATCACATTCTATATTGCTTACTATATCCTGGCACTGGTCAAAACATTTTACATATATATCAACTTATTTAACAGAACAAGGATCATAAGCTTTCAACAACAGCTAAATAATTTTAACAACCAAGCAGCTGATATGGAAATAACTGTTTATAGATGGAACTACTGAGTTTACTCACAGAAGTAAATGTTTGCCAGCTATTGGTTTGGTGAAAGCATAGCTGTGATATGACACTTGTGTGAAGGAATAAAAGGTACTTGCATTTGGAAATGAATGTAAGGATACTGAAGCGTCATTGAGTTTTTCACTGGCATTATAATTTTTTTCAAGTGTCTGACCATAATACTATGCATGCTTCTTTTTATAATCTCTCTTCTCACTCTACCACCATAATGTTAGCAGAAGGAGTGTGGGTGAATCTATCTCCTGCTACCAAATCAACTGAAAGAGTTACATCTGGCTACCTACCACAAATTAGAAATTCAGTAGAAAGAAGCTTAATCTGATGGCTCCACCATGAAAATTAACAGGTTAAGAAGGTGTATGTACTTCTGTGTATCTGTCATAAATAATGACAAAATGCTTTGAAATATCTACCAAAGGAAAATACAATTAATTTATGATTGGGATACTTTATTTATATTAATATAATTATTTTAAGCAGCATTATTTGATACAAATCAATTATAAATAGAAATCAAAGTAAAATAAAATATTCCTATGAGGAAAATAAAATATGATTAGATTTCTTGACATAAACTGCACTTCATACATAGCCCATTTTTAATCATAATAAGAATGTAGGTTTAGTCAAAACTTTAACCATGTTAAAACTTAATTCTACCAACTGATTTGTGAGATATTGAGCGTAAGGCTGCCTCAGTGTGTACATATTCCCAATCAATCCACTTTAAACAGTCTTCATTTTTACTCATAAAATCATGAGGATTACTGTAACATTTTCAACCTAAAAGGCATAAACCTCAAAATAATAACCCATTTATTTAAAAAATTTTAATTGCAAAATAAGTTTAAAGTATAATAGAGATAAAATATCTCATCAAATACTGAGCCTATAGATTATGAAATATTGATGCATAGTCCTTAGAATAGTATTATAAAGAGATCACCGTGACTAGCAGGCATGCATTCTGTGCTCAATCCTTGGCATCACATACCAGCTTTAGTTACTGAATAAGAGTTAGCTGTGACACACCCAACAGACAATCAATACTCTTTAATAGCAACCATTATAGATTCCATGTCTTAAACAAAATCATCTATAAATATGTTCGCTAGTGAGGCTTTTAAAAAGCCAAACCATTAATCCTAGCACTTTGGGAGGCTGAGCCGGGCGGATCACGAGGTCAGGAGATCGAGACCATCCTGGCTAACACGGTGAAACCCCGTCTCTACTAAAAAAAAATACAAAAAATTAGCCAGGCGTGGTGGTTCAAGCCTGTAATCCCAGCACTTTGGGAGACGGAGGCGGGCGGATCACGAGGTCAGGAGATCGAGACCATCCTGGCTAACACGGTGAAACCCCGTCTCTACTAAAAATATAAAAAATTAGCCGGGCGTGGTGGTGGGCGCCTGTAGTCCCAGCTACTCGGGAGGCTGAGGCAGGAGAATGGCGTGAACCCGGGAGGCGGAGCTTGCAGTGAGCCGAGATTGCGCCACTGCACTCCAGCCTGGGCGACAGAGCGAGACTCCATCTCAAAAAAAAAAAAACAAAAAAACAAAGCCAAACCATTGACTGCCAAAATTCATTTGCCAGGTCATGCAAAGGCTATACAATATAGTGACTAAGGAGCTGTACACTAGTTTGAATTTATCCCTACAGTCTGTTTAAATTACATCATCTTTCTCTCATTTCTCTACTTCTCCATCAGTAAAATGGTCATAATCCCAGTACCTACCTCTCTGAAACATCATGAGATTACATTGAGTTAAAAATGCAGGAATTTTAAAATACTACTACTTTGTTAGCTGTTAATGATAGCTAAAATGATAGCTCAATTTTGAGCGGTGGTAGTTTTTCTCAAACGAATTCATTCTATTAGAAAAATAAATATCCACGTAAAGCAAAACCAGACTTGGAAGAAATATCGAAAGCAGGTAACTGATTGTTTAACTCGAATGCCTAAACATCCTTATCCCAATGCCTAAATTCAAGTCAAATTGCAGGATACATTTTTCTTTCTACCTGTGCTTCCTGTCTCCCTTCCTTCTTTCCCCATTCATGTATGACGTATGTCCCCATTTTGATGAAGTAAACATTTTGTGCCTCAATTTTTCATTTTAAAAACCTAGAAATTTTTAACTTTTTGTATAAAATTTAATATGGAGTTGAAGGTGGGCTAGTAACAACAATATTAGGGGGTTATTTTCTATTATCTCATCTTTCACTTTTTAAAAGAAGGCCCAGAACTAATCAGGCTCTAAGAAATTTGCGTTACTGAAAATATATACAAATTTGGGAAAGATAACTTAATTAGAAGATTGTTGATTTGCATTGAGAAACAACCACCATAAGATCCAAAATGCCTGAGCATTCTGTTCCCTGCCAAATTGTAATCTCTTAGCTTTGTCCACCATAATTGTCAAAGCACAAGGAATTTTAGACTCTGTTTCTGAAAATGTCCAAGGTACTCACCTTTTCAAAAAACAAAAAAAAGTCTGAGCTCCTACTGTTGATTTAAATTCTTTTATAAATCTCTATCAAACTTTTCATGTTTACAGTTCTTATGCAATTATAAAACAAATCCAATACATGTATAACCACACAATCAATAAATTAAAATTAGTAATTTATATCAAATGATAAATAATGTAGTTTTGTTGGAATTAATTTGACAATGTTTGATTCAGTTACAAACAGAGATATAACTAAATGTGTTTAAAATATTAAAAGATGAATTACTATCAATTGTTTTGAATTTTAAACTAAAAATCAGTAGTTACTATAAAATTATTATTAAATGTTCTAATAATTGTACAGAATCCAGAGCAACTCTTTTCCCAGTTTACCGTATAGTAATGTGTGCTTAGATCAGTGTTATATTAGATAGCATGCTGTAGGAAAGACAGGATGGGCATTCATTAAACTAGCTATGATTTAATTTGTCTGCTGTCATTTTGTTACTATAATCCAGGGACTACCTACTCCTTAACTTCTCAAATCTGTTTTCTCACCTATAAATAATAATTGCTACCTGAAAAAAATTGTGGGGCATATGAGATTTAATTAACATATGTTAATCATAGCACATGTCCTAGTATTTAGTAGATATTTAGTAATTATTAGTCAAAGCCAATTTATTTTCCTTTGGATTAATAAAGATTTAAATATTTGCCATAGGTTGCATTATGCAATTATATTTACCCAAAATTTTGAGGAAATATAATTTTTTACAACGTTCCCATATTTCTAGAAAAAGAAAAGGTAGCTTTTTAGAAATGGCACTAACATAATTGGTAGTTTTTCTTGATGAATATTTCTGAGAGAGATTACAGAAGTTATATATTAAAAATAAATAACTTTAAGTAAAAGCCATGATCTGCCTTGCAGTGCTCAAGTAAGTTCTTTCATATAGTCACAATGATTTATTTTCTCATGACAGAACTTTATAATGAAACTATCTTACTCTTGGAGATTTTAATAGTTTTTCAGCCTTAGAACTGTGGACATTGATTAATAACAGCAAAATGATATTGAGTAAATAGTAATGCAAAAAGGATTAGATTGTACATCCAGTATCATAAGAATCAGAAAGCTTATCCAATGTAAGTTTTACTAATTATTCAAAGGAAACAATTAATCATGAGACAAAGAACAAACAAAAATGGGTCCAAGACGACCAACATAACTCTCTAGGCCTTTTCTTACGCTGTGAGCATACACCTGGCACAGATTAAAATATGAAGTTCTCCAGAACACATATGGAGTCACATCACATACACAGGAGGAGTAATTTTTGGTATAAAATATAGTCATTTGTCTTCGGATAATCATGCCTCATAAATCTTTGAAATGCATGGCTGTTTGCTATTGACAAGGCTAGAAAATCAGGCATATCTTGCCAAAAGTATTTCCAAGGTAAGAACTCTCCCACCAGCAAATATCATCTATTTGTTTGCCAGGATGACAGTCATTATTTTAGTCTCCAGGCACCAAATTCTGATTAAAGGAGAAAATGTATTTTATGCTTGCTGTTTAATTATTTCCTTTCTAGGATTATAAGATAAAAACAAAATTTGGCAAATAGTGGGCCCATTAACTGAATGAAGAGTGAAGTGTGAGGCTGTTGATAAATTGTGACCACTTGAATAGAGCAGAGTCAGGACCAATAACAGAGTAAAGATCAAGATACACCTGCACACAAGGCAAGTAGGCAACCAGGAATTGACATCATGCCAGAAAAGGAAGTTGAGACAAAGAAGTGTATCTAAGCAGGCAGTAAATAAGAAAAACTAGAAGAACATAGGCATAGAAAGGAAAAAAAATCAAAGGATTTGAAGGAGTCAGACTGTAGGTCTAGGTAGAGTCAGAAATCATTCAAGCCATCAGGGCATCGATGGCACCATAAGCAGCCATCCGTCGCTCTATATTCTCCAAGAGCAGAGGCCCGTATCAAGCAGGTGGGAGCAGATGTGCAGTCATTGCAACCTGGGAAGGAAGCTGTCTACGTGAAAACTGTACCTTTATGCCAAACCTTTCAACCAAATATTACACAATCAATAACCAAAAGGCTATACAATATAGTGACAATAACCAATTAAAGAGAGCTTGAGGAGCTAAAAACAAAATATTCCTCAGTTGCTTCCTCCTGCTACTTGTTCCTTGCTCTTTATTTTATGCCTATATTTAACTCCCCACCTGCTTTTTTGGTAAGATTTTAATGTCATTCATAGAACTTTATTCATTATTTGATGTTGGTAGTAGATCCAACTTCTCTACTCTTCATTTTCTTTTTTATATGGATTTTTTTATTTCCAACTTTTAAGTTTAAGTGTACATGTGCAGATGTGCAGGTTTATTACATAGGTACATGTGTGTCATGGGGGTTTGCTGCACAGATCATCCCATCACCTAAGTATTAAGCTCAGCATGCATTAGCTATTTTTCCTGATTCTCTCCCTCCTCCTGCCCCCCACTAACAGACCCTAGTGTGTGTTGTTCCTCATCCCACGTGTCCATGTGTTCTCATCATTTAGCTCCCACTTATAAGTGAGAACATGCAGTGTTTGGTTTTCTGTTCCTGCATTAGTTTGATAAGGATAATGGCCTCCAACTTCATCCATGTCCTCACAAAGGACATGATCTGGTTTGTTTTTACAGCTGCATAATATTTCATGGTGTATATGTATGACATTTTCTTCATCCAGTCTATCATTGATGGACATTTAATTCTGTGTCTTTGTTATTGTGAATAGTGCTGCAATGATATACTTGTGCATGTGCCTTTATAATAGAATAATTTATATTCCTTTGGGAATTACCCAGTAATGGGATTGCTAGGTTGAACGGCATTTCTGACTTTATGTCTTTGAGTGATTGCCACACCGTCATCCACAATGGTTGAATTAATTTACGCTTCCAACAACAGTGTAAAAGAGTTCCTTTTTCTCCACAATCTCACTAGCATCTGTTATTTTTGACTTTTTAATAATTGCCATTCTGACCGGTGTTAAATGGTATCTCATTGTGGTTTTGATTTGCATTTCTCCAATGATGACTAATGAGCTTTTTTACATATATTTGTTGGCCACATGTATGTCTTCTTTTGAGAAGTGTCTGTTCATGTCCTTTGCCCACTTTTTAATGAGGTTATTTGTCTTTTCTTGTAAATTTGCTTGAGTTCTTTATAGATGCTGGATATTAGACTTTTGCTAGATGGATTGATGGCAAAAATTTTCTCCCTTTCTGTAGGTTGTCTGTTTACTTTGTTGATAGTTGTTTTGTGTGTGTGTGTGTGTGTGTGTGTGTGTGTGTGTGTGTGTGTGCTGTGAAGAAACACTTTAGTTTAATTGGGTCCTATTTGTCAACTTTTGCTTTTTTTGTAATTGCTTTTGGCATCTTGGTCATGAAATCTTTGTCAGTGTCTGTGTCCTGAATCATATTGCCTAGGTTTTCTTCCAGGGTTTTTATGGTTTGGCATTTCACGTTTAAGTCTTTATTCCATCTTGGATTGATTTTGTATATGGTGTAAAGAAGGGGTCCAGTTCCAGTTTTTTCAACTGATGCCAGCCAGTTATCCCAGCATCATTTATTAAATAGGGAATCATTTCCCCATTGCTTGTTTTTGTTAGGTTTGTCAAAGATCAGATGGTTGCAGGTGTGCAGCATTATTTCTGGGTTCTCTATCCTGTTCCATTGGTCTATGTGTCTGTTCTTGTACCAGTACCATGCTGTTTTGGTTACTGTAGCCCTGTTGTATAGTTTGAAGTCAGGCAGTGTGATAACTTCCAGCCTTGTCCTTTCTGCTAAGGGTTGCTTTGGCTATTCAGGCTCTTCTTTGGGTCCATATAAATTTTAAAATAGTTTTTTTTTCTAATTATGTGCAGAATGTCTATGGTAGTTTGATAGGATGCATTGAATCTGTAAATTGCTTTGGGCAGTATGGCCATTTTAATGATATTGATTCTTCCTATCCATGAGCGTGGAATGCTTTTCCATTTGTTTGTGTCTTCTCTACTTTGAGCAGTGGTTTGTAGTTCTCTTTGAAGATGTCCTTCACTTCCCTTGTTAGCTGTATTCCTAGCTATTTTATTCATTTTGTAGCAATTGTGAAGGGGAGTTCATTCCTGATTTGGCTCTCAGCTTGCCTGTTGTTAGCATACAGAAATGCTGGTAATTTTTGCACATTGATTTTGTATCCTGAGACTTTGATGAATTTGCTTATCAGCTTAAGAGGCTTTTGGGTAGAAATGATGGGGTTTTCTAGATATAGGACCATGTCATCTGGAAACAAAGATAGTTTAATTTCTCTTTCTATTTGAATATGCTTTATTTCTTTCTCTTTCCTGATTGCCCTGGCCAGGACTTCCAACGCTATGTTGTATAGGGGTAGTGAGAGAGGACAACCTTGTCTTGTGCTGTTTTTCAATGGGAATGCTTCCAGTTGTTGCCCATTCAGTATGATATTGGCTCTGGGTTTGCATGTATGGCTCTTACTATTTTGAGCTATATTCCTTTAATACCTACTTTACTGAGAGGACTACCAACCAAAAAAAAAGTTCAGGACCAGAAGGATTCACAGCTGAATCCTACCAGAGGTACAAAGAAGAGCTGGAACCATTCCTACTTAAACTATTTCAAGAAACTGAGGAGGAGGGGCTCCTCCCTAACTCATTCTATGAGGCCAGCATTATCCTGATACCAAATCCTGGCAGAGACACAACAGAAAAAGAAAACTTCAGGCCAATATCCTTGATGAACATCGATGCAAAAATCCTCAACAAAATACTGGCAAACCAAATCCAGATGCACATCAAATAGCTTATCCACCATGATCAAGTAGGCTTCATCCCCAGGGTGCATCCCCAGGGTGCAAGTCTAGCTCAACATACACAAATCAATAAAAGTGATTCATCACATAAACTGGACTAAACCCAAAAACCACATGATTATCTCAATAGATGCAGAAAAGGCCTTTATAAAGTTCAACATGGCTTCTGGTCTAGTCTTCATTTTCTGTGCCTTCCATGAATAGCAGTTGACATTCACCCAGAAGATTCTATTCATTCCCATCCACACTGAGCATCTATCCTATTCCACATGATCCCAATGCTGGACTCCAATCTGTAATATCAAATTGATGTCCTTTCCTCCCCAAGAAATAGGATTTTCTCAGATTCCCTTGAGAAAAAAAATAGGCAGCATGAGTCAAAGTCAAGGTAGGTTTTGATATATCTGATTTAAATTATAGCTATATAACGTCAAGTTAGCAGGCCCAGATAACACATTTCAGTGACGAACAACTAAGTGCCAGATTCTAGGCTGCTGTTTTTACGTGAGTTATGCAGAAACACATTTTTTTCTATCTTTCATTTTAAGGAAAAAATTTCATGATGCTTTTCTTGGTTTATTAGATACAACTTCTAAGACATCTCAACTCTCTGTGAATTTTGATACTATAGGGAACCAGGACATGACACTAATTGAATAGATTCCTCAGAGACCTACAAGCTGTCAACTGTATAAAGATTTCTTTTTGTAATGCAATGTTTTGGTTCATTGCACACAACATCAAAACACTAAGATCAGAGAGAATGCAAAAGATGTTTTAACTGATACTTAAGAACAGAATACATTTGACCCCTCAAAGTGTCCCAGGAAGAGTAATTATTCTAAACATTTTTCTATATTCCTCACAAAACAGTAGAATCCCATAGTTAACTATTGTTTAAAATAGTGGCTTAACAATTATCTTTGATGCCTAGGTGAACATTTATTTTTCTTGTCCCTATTATTATACAGTAAAAGTCCAAAAATACATAAAGTCACCTACCTACAATGACAAAAATAAATTGACAGTGTGAACCTGGGGATGGCCTGGAAGCAAGTCGTGAGCACTAACGCATTTGCATGCATTTGACTGTCTAGTAAAGCAGACCAATTATACAGCTCCCAAAAGGCAGCTTAGTGATGGAAAATTCTTTCAGTAGCTTTTTAGTTTATTTGATTGATTATGTGTGACCCAGTGATAGCAGTTTGAATTTGATTGTAGGTAGAAAAGAAAAAGAAAGCAAACTGAGCTGTATTACTTAAAAGAGCAAGTATACAGAGAACTAGGCATGCAATTATTCATTCCATATTGGTGAATATTAGTTTTTGAGAAATTAAAAAATACATTTCTTTGTATTTCCAGGTATTGATTTTAATCTTATTAAATGAAATAACCACGTGTCAACCTGGGGGAAAGACTGAGTGAAGACCATCATGATCATCTCAAAACTCAAAGGAATTTGCATCCAGAATGGCTTAACTTTGAAAATAGGTACCTGAGCAAAGAAAAGGGTTAATTCATTTGGTTGTTATAGATTTAGAAGAAAGCTATGGATTTAGAAGAAAACTCACTTGACTACCTAAATAGCTTTATGTCATTTCCAGCTCTCATATCTCTCTACTTTGGAAGTAGATTTTGAAACCCAGATTCTATTTTGAGGCTTCTCTTGCCAAAGGAATTGTCATGACTCTTCTCTTTACTTCACAGGACCCAACTTTCACACCATTCTAATCTTTTCTAATTCAACTTCCTATGCTTTGTTTTCATCAAGGCAGTTAATCAAATAATAACCATAATCATAGTAATAGTAATAATTATGACTATAATTAAGTTGTATTTAAATACTAAGTGCTTTGCCTGTATACATTCATTTTATCCTCACAACTATAGGAGGTAGCAACTAGTGTCATACTGAGGCATAGAAAGGTGAAGTAAGTCACCCAATTTTAAGTGGCAGAGGAAATTTTCATGCCCACATGGTGTGGCTCAAAGCCTGCACACTGGAACACTATACCAGATAGCATGGATTACTAGGCAGGATTAAAGAGAAGTGGCATAATTGTATCACAGTTGGTATACTAAAGGAAAATTTGGTAAGTATTGTTTCTAAGACGAATACTTTGATTTTGTATAACAGAACAATATAAGTGAAGTAAATATTGTTTAGGAAGGATTTTAAGCTCATATTGATTCAAACTGCCTCACTGGGGACGTGTGCCTTAAAAACCCTCTTACTCCTTTTTCATCTTAGAGAGAGGTTTCCTTCCCTTTTTTGTGAGACAGTGTCTCACTTTGTCAGTCAGTCTGAGTGCAGTGGCAGTCATAGCTCACCGTAGCCTCTACCTTCTGAGCTCGAGTGAGCCTCCTGTCTCAGCCTCCTGAGTAGCCACCAGCATAGCTGGGGCTACAGGGGTGCACCACCGCATCTTATTTTTTGGTAGAGATGGGATTTCAGCATTTTGCCCAGCCTGGTCACTTGGAGAGAGGTTTCTAGTCGCATATTCAGTATGTTACTTTTCTTTAGATCTTGCTTATTCAATTTTTAATCAAAGGCATGAATGAAGATATAGACTGCAAACAGATGTTGGCTTATTTAATACCAGACTCAAAAATAATATGCCTAAGTATATAAAACCAAATGTAGTAGAAACAAGTATCAAGTTTTATTTTAGTTTTATGAAATGTATTTTTTAAGATGTTTAAACTTGAAACGCATGTCACAGTGTTATGTAAGTTTTGGTTCATTTGTCTCGCTCTGCTTCTGTATAATAGGTATAAGATGATCTTTCAGAATTCTTAGCAACTGTATAGTACTTATCTCCTAGAACTTGTTCAATAATAATTGTTAGATGGATTCATAGACTAAAGAATTAATAGATATAGATTGAAAACTAAAGCATTTTATTTTACAAAGATCAGAATTAATTTACTAAAATCTAAATTTCTGCTAGTAATATTAAATACATGTGGATAAACTACAAGAATGATAAAAATATTGCATTGTAAGAGTCATTAAAAACTTGATATATTGTTAGACAACAACAGTATATTATGATTGTTTTTCAGGCCTCTCATTCCAAGAGAGATTTTAATACAATGCAAAGCATCAAAAATAACTTGAAAATATGATGAATGCTGTGAAATTCATGAAACATGAATAAAACCTTAGGATATTCCATGTTTATTTCAGAGAAGATATAAGAAATTGATTTTTACATACTTAAAGGCTTTCCAAAGCAAGATTAGAAATGTTGAGTTTTTCCAGAGACTTACATATTTCAGAAAAGCCAATTTAATCTCAAACTCTGAAAGTCATTTTATAAGGTACATTGGTAATCATTGCATCTGCTACTTCACAAGGTTTTGTACTCTTTGAAAGGTGTCGAGCAGATCACCCTTCAAAAATGTTCCAGTTTTCTACTGAATGAACTGAAAGGCCTCCCAATTCCATATTCAAAAGATTGTGCAATTTCATGATTTGAAAAATTATATAAAGTCCTAGTGAATTAATTCATTCTGCAGCCAAACCCCCAGGAGTCCTGTCCTCAGGACCTCCCTGAGCCGACTTCCACCGAGGGAGGGGGAGCTTCAGGAGGCAGAGCTTCAGGATGCCTGCTGTGTTCTGGGGACATCCTTGTCATATCCGGTTTTCAGCTTCTTCTTGAAGATTGTTTCGTATCCTGGCTTCATTTCTCAGAGAAGAGCCGCGAGGAGATATAACCATCTCCTTTCACATTGGTCTCCTCCCCTCCTGGAAAACAATGAGCTCCTTGTACCTTTTTTTTTTTTTTTGGTTGGAGTGTGGTCATCTTGATTCTACAAAAGAGGTAGCTCAGGATCGGGATGAAATTTCGGTTTCTTTGAGACCGAAGCTTCTCACATTGTCGAGGTCTTCAGAAAGCCAAAGTGGAACCGCCGTGGAAATGATTGACAACCGCCCACATGACCCAGGCAGAGTCGCAGACAGAGGCCCACTAAAGACACGCTGACATGCAAGAGACCGCTTTGTAGCGCACTGGGCACAGAAACACACACGCTCACGGGCACACACGCACAGAGACAGAGAAAGCCAGAGAAACAGAGAGTGAGTGACAGAGAGAAGAGAGAATGGGAGACACAGGCACCCAGACATACAGCAGTGGCAGAGAGACACAACCCCCAGGCAATCACTGAGGCTGCGGGTTTCTGCTCTTTGGGAGAATGACCCTCGGGTGAGACAGTAGTCCTTGGGCACACAGGCAGACCTGTCCTCGAGATCACGGGGGGCACGGCTTTGGGGGAACTCACCCGAACACCGTACGGGCAGGCCTGAGGCTGGGATGCCGCACTGCTTTCCCCGGACTCCGTCTGCTGTTTCTGCATCCTGGTAGGCCCTGCGTGTAGCATGGTGTCCCGAATCTGTTTTGTCGACCCCCTGGATTGGTCAGGCTGGAGCCTCGACCCCGACGCACTGCCACGGAGGGCTCCTGCTTTGTCAAGGCTCAGGGAATCGTCCTCAGCCAACCGTTGGAGTCACCGTCACGGGAGAATGGGCTCGTGCCTCCCGCATGCGCATTGCCCAGGCCGACTCCTGCTTTGCTCTTCAAACTCCGGCTGTGGCCCCTTTAAACAGGTTCGGCGACACGTGGCGGGGGTTCTGTGGCAGTCGCAGTGGCGGCTGGAGTGGGGATGTAGTAGGGGGCGTTTATGGGACTGGGGGCTTCGGGTCCTCCAGGGCCGGACCCCCGGGAGTCCTGTTCTCAGAACCTCCTTGAGCCGACTTCTACCGGTGCAGGGGACCCCGCTTCAAGGCGCCAGCTCGGGTCTCCGGACTCACAGGCTGGCGTGCATTGTGGTGATCAGAGCTCACTGCAGCCTCAATCTCCCAGGCTGAAGCAATTTTCTTGCCTCAGCCTCCCACGTACCTGGGACTACAGGCATGTGCCCCCACACTCAACTACTTTTCTCCAAAAACATTTTTGTACGAATGGGGACTTACTACGTTGCCTGGCTCATGTCAAACACCTGGGCTCAAACTGTCCTCCTGCGCTGGCCTCCCCAAGTGCTGAGATTACAGGTGTGAGCTCGCTCCTGCAGCTAAATTCTTATATCTTAAATTCCTACCTCCCACAAGAAGCAGATGTTAGTCCCACTTATTTTATAACTTTTTGCTGTTGATGTCTCTTTTTGTCCCTGGACACAGGGATTAGTGACCCACTCTCCACCAAATTTCAAATCATTAGGGGCATTATGTTGTGTCCCACGAGTGGCTGAGGCTTCAAGCACCTGCTGCTCTAACCTAGGCCTGCTGAGGAGTACAATTCATCTTGTGTTTCTGTGTTGTTTAACAACCTTCCTGAGCTCCTCTAAGTCAATCCATCCTGCCACAACTGGCAAGAATCAAGAAACTCTCCAAGAAAATGTTTCTCAACCTGCCTGTTGTCAAGTAGAAGAGGTCTGCTGACCATGGCAGGCATGGCAGTGCATGACAGTGAGCGCCCCCCACCGTGTTTGCTATTCACTGCATGTTCCACCTGAACGTTCCCGTCTGCTCAGTGAGTCTTGACAGTGGGGTAAAGGGGACTCACTCTCAAAGACCAAGGCTGACCCTCTCTGAATACAATGCCTTGACCTAGTTACTGTCACTGTGGTTTTGTCTTCAGGGACTAAAAGATACAATAAGAATTTGTTCCTTTAATTGTCCTGTTGATGCACAAAATACTTAATGCTTCTACATAGGTCTGCTCTTGTGCCCCACAGAGCACTAAGGGAAAGTCCCCACAATAAAAGTGCTTTTCACCTGAGCTGCTACGTGTGACAGTAAAGCAGCTGAAGGTTAAAAAAATCAAAGCTCCCCAAATATGGGTATGACAGCTGGTCCAACCTCACGGTCTGTACTTTCCCTCTGTAACAGCATGGATAAATACAGAGATAACTAGCAACTGATACCCTAGTGTGCCAAGCAATCGATGTATCCGTGTGATTAAAAACCAGCATTTAACCATACTCTAGATACACTAAATATCAACCCCACACTCATAGCCTGTAATTCCACTTTGCTTCCAGATGGCAGTTACAATTGGAAAGGAAATACCTAGTTTACAGAAGGCATTAATACTTCATTGTTGCAGAAACCAAACCCTTAAAAAAATGTATCCTGGACTTTCTGACCTGGATAATAACAAACAGTGAAAAATATGTATCTAAGAATACACTTGGAACAGAAATGTGAAAAACCAAAAGTAAGAGATATTATGAAGGATCAAATATAAAATGACCCACTGCTAAAGAGGCAACAAAGAAAATTGTAGAAGAAAATGACAAGAAGCATTATGCCTTAATGAGTTTGTGCTACTATATAAGAAAATACACTAGGCTGGGTAATTTCTGAAGAAGAGAAATGTATTTCTCACAGTTCCATAGGCTGGAAGTCCAAGATCCAGGTGCCAGCAGGATTGGTGTCTGGTCAGGGCCTGACCTCTGCATCCAAGATGGTACCTTGTGCACTCTGTCCTCAGGAGGAGATGCACTGTGCCCTCACATGGCAGAAGGCAGAAGGGCAAAACAGGGGAAGCCCACTCCCTCCAGTCCTTGTGTAAGGACCCTAAACCCATTCGTGAAGATTCTCCCTTCATGACTGAATCACTACCTAAGGGCCCTACTTCCTAATCCTATAACACTGTGATTAATTTTAGGGGGACACATTCAGAACATAGCACTCTATATTCAATTTGTTAAAATTTATCTTCTTGTTTTGCTTTTCTGTTTTTCAAATGGTTTAAAGTGCACAAAATTTGATTAATCATATTCCTTGGCTCATAGCATACCTTGGCTCCTGTTTCACCCTTGTCTGTGCCTGGGCCTCTATGTAAATGTATTTGAATAATGTGGTAATCACTTGTGAACCCACAACACAACCCAAGAACTAGGGTTCTGACCTAACATCTGCTCCTCCTCTGTCCTTTTTCCTGATTTACACCCTTCAGCCCCAGGGTAACTACTACCCTGAATTTATGTTTAGGATTCCCTGCCTTTAAAAAAACATTGTTTTATTGCATATATATGATTGCCCTAAATGGCATATTATTTAGTTTTTTAAGGGTATAATTTATTTACCCATTCTCCTATTAATTTACCCATTCTCCTATCAATGAACATCTGGCTTGTTTCCATATATTTGCTATTATGAATGGCATTACATGAGCATTTTTTTTAATACTTCTGGTACATATGGGCAAGAGTTTCTCCAGGGCCTATAGTAGAGAAATTACTTTGCCGTAACATATGAGAATGCTCAACTTTATAAGATAATCCAAATTGTTTTCTAAAGTGGTTGTTCTCATTTAAACACTCACGTCCTGTATTAGTTTGAGATGATCTTGTTGATCCACAGTCTCTCCCTATTTGGTGATATGGTTTGGCTGTGTCCACACCCAAATCCCAGCTTGAATTCTATCTCCCAGAATACCCACATGTTGTGGGAGGGACCCAGGGTGAGGTAATTGAATGATGGAGGCCAGTCTTTCCTGTGCTATTCTCGTGACAGTGAATAAGTCTCATGAGATCTGATGGGTTTATCAGGGGTTTCTGCTTTGGCTTCCTCCTCATTTTCTCTTGCTGCTGCCATTTAAGAAGTGCCTTTCACCTCCTGCCATGACTCTGAGGCCTCCCCCACCATGTGGGACTGCAAATCCAGTTGCAGTTCTTTTTCTTTACATCTCTTTTTCTTCTCAGACTTGGGTATGTCTTTATCAGCAGTGTGAAAATGGACTAATACAGTAAATGGATACCAGTGGTGTGGGGTGCTGCTGAAAAGATACCCAAAAATGTAGAAGTGACTTTGAAACTTGGTAACAGGCAGAAGTTGGAACAGTTTGGAGGGCTCAGAAAAACACTGGAAAAGGTGGGAAATTTTGGAACTTCCTAGAGACTTGTTGAATGGCTTTGACAAAAATGCTGATAGTGTTTTGAACAATAAGGTCCAGGCTGAGGTGGTCTCAGATGGAGATGAGGAACTTGTTGGGAACTGGGGCAAAGGTGGCTCTCATTATGTTTTAGCAAAGAGAATGGCAGCATTTTGCCCCTGCCCTAGAGATTTGTGGAACTTTGAACTTGAGAGAGATGATTTAGGTTATCTGCTGGAAGAAAATTCTAAGCAGTAAAGCATTCAAGAGGTGACTTGGGTGATGCTAAATGCCTTCAGTTTTGTAAAGGAAGCAGAGCATACAAGTTTGGAAAATTTGCAGCCTGACAATGTGATAGAAAAGAAAATCCCATTTTCTGAGGATAAATTCAAGCAGTCTGCAGAAATTTGCGTAAGTAACGAGAAGCTGAATGTTAATCCCCAAAACAATGGGGAAAATTTCTACAGGACATGTCACAGGTCATCACAGCAGCCCCTCCCATCACACGCCCAGAGGCCTAGGAGGAAAAAATGGCTTTCTGGGCTGGGCCCAGGTTGACTGTGCTGTGTGTAGCCTAGGGCCTTGGTTCTCTGTGTTTCAGCCCCTCCAGCCATGGCTGAAAGGGGCCAATATAGAACTCAGGCCATGGCCTTGAGAGTGCAAGCACCAAACCTTAGCAGCTTCCACGTGGTGTTGAGCCTGCACATGCATAGAAGTCAGGAATTGAGGTTTGGAAACCCCCACCTAGATTTCAGAGGATGTATGAAAATACCTGGATGTCCAAGCAGAAGTTTGCTGCAGGGGTGGGGCTCTGATGGAGAACCTCTGCTAGGGCTGTGCAGAAGGGAAATGTGGGGTTGGAGCCCCTGCACAGAGTCCCTACTGGGGCACTTCCTAGTGGAGCTGTGAGGAGAGGGCCACTCTCCTCCAGGCCCCAGAATGGTAGATTCACTGATGGCTTGCACTGTGAGCCTGGAAAAGCTGCAGTCACTCAACATCAGCCCATGAAAACAGCCAGGAGGTGGGCTATACCCTGCAAAGCCACAGAGGCAGAACTACCCAAGGTGGTGGGAGCCCACCTCTTGCATCAGCATGATCTTGATGTGAAACATGGAGTCAACGGAGATCATTTTGGAGCTTTAAAATTTGACTACCTTGCTGGATTTCAGACTTGCATGGGGCCTGTAACCCCTTTGTTTTGGCCAATTTCTCCCATTTGGAACAGCTGCATTTACTCAATTACCTGTACCCCCACTGTATCTAGGAAGTAACTAGCTTGATTTGGATTTTACAGGGTCATAGGCAGAAGAGACTTGCCTTGTCTCAGATGAGACTTTGGACAGTGGACATTTGGGTTAATGCTGAAATGAGTTAAGACTTTGGGGGACTGTTGGGAAGGCATAATAGGTTTTGAAATGTGAGGACATGAGGTTTGGAGAGGACATGAGATTTGGAGGGGCCAGGAGTGGAAAAATATGGTTTGACTATGTCCCTACCCACATCTCAACTTGAATTGTATTGCTCAGAATTCCCACTTGTTCGGGGAGGGAACCAGGGGGAGGTAGTTGAATCTTTGGGGCTGGTCTTTCCAATGCTATTCTTGTGATAGTGGATAAATCTCACAAGATCTGATGGGATTATTAGGGGTTTCGTCTTTTGCTTCTTTTGCCTCCTTCTCATATTCTCTTGCCACTGCCATGTAAGAAGTGCTGTTCACTGACAGCCATAACTCTGAGGCCTCCTCAACCATGTGAAAACCTAAATCCAATTAAGCCTCTTTTTCTTCCCTGTCTCAGGTATGTCTTTATCAGCAGTATGAATGTGGACTAATACATTTGGTATTGTCAAACTTCTTAATAATTGTGGGGAGAATAGATGTGTAGTATCTTGTGCATTTTCCTGATTACTAATGAGGTTGAGAAATTTTTTTACATTTTGCGGGCTTTCTCTTTTGTGAAATCCCTATTGATGTCTTTTCCCAATTTTCTGTTGGGTTGCTATTTTTAAAATTAATTCATAGGAGCTCCTTATACTTAGTTGATCTGGTTGTAATCTTTCATAGGTTTTAGGTACTGCAAATATCTTCTAATTTACAGTTTATCTTTTCACTTTGTTACTTTTATTTTTTAATTTCTATTTTTTTTTTTTTTGAGACAGAGTCTAGCTCTGTTATTCAGGCTGGAGTGCCGTGGCTCACTGCAACCTCCACCTCCTGGGTTCAGATGATTCTCGTGCCTCAGCTTCCCAAGTAGCTGGGATTACAAGTGTCTGCCACTAATGTCAAGCTAATTTCTTGTATTTTTAGTAGAGATGGGGTTTCACCATGTTGGCCAGCCTGGTCTCAAACTCCTGACCTCAGGTGATGTACTATTGGGATTACAGGCTTGAGACACTGTGCCCAGCCTATCTTTCCACTTTTTGATGTAAAAAGTTCTTAATTTTGTGATAGTCAAAATGTCTAATCTTTTTTAATGGTTAAATGGCTTTTTGTGTCTCATTCACTTACATTTTCTACTAAAAGTTTTAAAGTTTTGTTTCTGACATGTAAGTCTTTGGTCCTCTGGAATTTAATGTTTGTATATAGAGTGAAGCAGGAATATAATTTCATTTTGTTTCCTATATCAATAACCATTATTTTTCTATTCTATTTATTGAAATGTCCTTTCTTTCCTTGTTGATCTGCCATGTCACCTACATCACATATCAAAGATTAAATTTGTGGAGATTTGTTTGGGAATTCTCTATTCTGTTTCATTAGTCAGTTTATCAGTGAAGACCACTATTTATTTATTTATTTGTAGAGAGAGACAGGGTCTCACTTTGTTGCCCAGGCTTGAGGACTGATGCAATTGTAGCTCACTGCAGACTTGAACTCCTGGGCTCAAGAACTCCTCCTACCTCAGCCTCCCAAGTAACTGGGACTCTAAGGCATGCACCACCTCATCCAGCTAATTTAAAAAAAAATTATTATTTTTTGTAATGATGGGGATCTTGCTATGCTGCCCAGGCTGGTCTCAAACTTTTGAGCTCAAGCAATCCTCCCACCTCAAGCTCCCAAAGTGCTGGGATCACAGGAGTGAGCCACCACACCTGGCTCCATTTTCCATATTTTAAGACCATTTTTTAAAAGCTGCTCAAGACTGCTTTTTTCTCTTGGTGCTACTTGCAACTCCCTTACTTAGCTTTGGAAATACTCTTAATGAAGAAAATCTAAAGAGTTGAAAAATAAAATATTATTTCTTTTCTTCCAATTGCAAAAGAGCAGACAGCCTCCTGAATTATAAAGTTAGTTTTGATAAATTGGTGAACTGAGAGCATACACAGTATTATTAATTCTGTTCTAATTTCTGCTTCACTGTGGAGTGTCTTCACATAGTCTCAAAAGATTATTGCTATGAAATATTCTTATACATGTAACACATAACCTCTATAATTCTGCAGTTGTACTTGGCTGTCTTACCTAATACTCAGTTGCTTTGCTTCATAATATTTAAATTGGCATCTTTATTTTCCAAAATGCATAAATACTAGTATAGATTTTTAGTTAAGCCAGAAGAAAGTAGACTTTATTTACTAACATAACTTATATGTAAAGGTTTAATAAATCTCCCTGCTTCTTTAGCATCATAACAACCACTGAAAATAATATTTCTATAGCAGTTGGGGGTAAATGGGCAATGACTTTTGTGGCCAGAGGTGAATGGCCCAGGGGCTCCTGCACTTCAGGTCCCACTGAGCCTGCCACACAGCTGAGGGCATCGGTATTTCCACACACCTACAGTGCACGCTGTCCCAGAACACAGATCAAATGCTCTCCTTTATTCAAATGGGGAGTTGAGAGTATTGTCATTGTAATTAAATTAATAAATACATATTTATACACTGTTAAAATCTGGTTGGATTTGTGTCCCTTCACAAAACAAATTGCTTAAATGAAACCACAGATTTAACATAAATGAGTACATTTGCTTCTACGAGATGCTCTTTTAAATGGAATTAGAATCTAATTTGAAATGTCAATTAAAAGTTTAAATATTCAACTCAATTACATTTAGATTTTTGTTTTGTTTTGTTTTGAGATGGAGTTTAGCTCTTGTCACCCAGGCTGGAATGCAATGGCGCAATCTCAGATCACTGCAAGCACCTTCTCCCAGGTTCAAGCAATTCTCTTGCCTCAACCTACTGAGTAGCTGGGATTACAGGTGCCTGCCACCATGCCTGGCTAATTTTTGTATTTTCAGTAGAGATGGGGTTTCACCATGTTGGCCAGGCTGGTCTTGAACTCCTGAGCTCATGTGATCCACCCATCTTGGCCTCCCAAAGTGCTGGGATTACAGGTGTGAGCCACTGCGCTCGACCTTTTTAGATTATTTTACTTTATTTTAGTTACTTATTTTTATGACTTTATTGTTATAAAAATGCTAGCTTTTTAAAAAAATCAATCAATATAACAAAGAACATAGAAGATGATCAACAAGCATTCCCACCTCCATGATCTGGAAATAACTGTCATTAATCCAAAAGCTTACACATGGTGGATCCCTTCACACCAGTTCCCAGTACAAAGTAACTCCTTGCTTGTAGAAAACATTATTATTATCATTAGTATTTTCGAGACGGAATTTGAGTCTTGTAGCCCAGGCTGGAGAGCAATGGTCCAATCTCAGCTCACTGCAACCTCTGCCTCCCAGGATCAAAGTATTCTCCTGCCTCAGCCTCCCAAGCAGCTGGGATTACAGGCATGCACCACCATGGCCTGCTAATTTTTTGTATTTTTAGTAGAGACAGGGTTTCACCATGTTGGCCAGGCTGGTCTTGAACTCCTGACCCTCAGGTGATCCACTTGCCTCAACCTTCCAAAGTGTTGGGATTACAGGCATGAACCACCACACCTGGACCAGAAAACACTATTCAATAGCAAACAGTAGCAGTATGCTTGGCGGTTTTAGGATTGATTATTTTCAAATCTCTAGAAAAGTTCAATGCATTACCTTAGGCTATAATCCCAGGGCAGAGTCTCATCTGTTAGTAGGGGGCTGGTCTAAGGGTCCTTCCAGCTCTCAGATTAATGGTTTCCCATGTTGAACTGCTCCCTGCCACCCACCCATCCTTGGTTTTGTTTGTTTGTTTGTTTTTACAGAGACAAGGTCTCACTATATTGCCCAGGCTGGTCTTCAGCTCCTGGCCTCAAGCGATCCTCCCGCCTTGGCCTCCCAAAGTGTTGGAGTTACAGACGTGAGCCTCTGTGCTCAGCCCATCCTTGGCTGTTCAAATGTGGAGGTAAATTGTAGATGCCAAGTTTACCTCCAGGTCAGAAGGGGCAGATGCCCCAGGGCAGAATCATAACCCTAACCAGGCCTCCCACTGCATGAAGCCCTTATTTTCTGAAGCTTAAACCTGGACAAAGGTCTGACCAGTAGCACTGTGTTCATGAATGTCAGCTCAAAAATTTAAAACTGGGACTATCCAGAAGAACCTGGTAGATGCAGGTGCAGTCTGCAGTCCAATGGTCAGCCATGAAAGAACAGGCTACCTGTTCTTTCTCTTTACCATGGAGGCCTTGATGTAAAAATCGATGATGCTTTCTTGCTTCTGGTGTGCTTCCCTTTCTTCTTCATTTTCCATAAGTAGTTTCCTCCATCCCACCTCCCAACAGGCCACAGTCAATTCAGGACATTTTAACCATGAAAATGAGTCTACATAACATGAATTTAGAGGCCAGGCAGGGTGGCTCATGTCTCTGGGAGGCTGAAGTGGGAGAATGGCTTGAGCTTAGGAGTTTGAGACCAGCCTGGGCAACATGGTGAAACCCTGTCTCTAACCAAAAATAAATGAATAAAAAAAAATAAGTCATGTATGGTGGTGCATGCTACTAGTCCAGCTACTCAGGAAGCTGAGGTGGGAGGATTGCTTGAGTCAAGGAGGTCAAGTCTGAAGTGGGCCAAGATCATGCCACTGCAATTCAGCCTGGGCAACAGAGTGAGACCTTACCTCAAGAAAAAAAAAAAAAAGATTTAAAGGACAGACTGACTCTCTTATTACAAGCCAATGCTCATTTGCCGTTCCATAAATCCTAGGGCACCTCTTAAGAATTATGCTAAATCTACTCTACCCGTGCTCTATAAATGGATTCACTATTGTAGACGCCACTAAGAACATTCATGATTCACCAGAGGAGGTAAAAATAGCAGCATTAATGGGAGTTTGGAAGAAGTTGATTCTAACCCTCATAAATGACTTTGAGGGGTTCAAGACTTTAGCAGAGGAAGTAACCACAGATATGGTGAAGACAGCAAGAGAACTAGTATTAAAAGTGGAGCATGAAGATGTGAGTGAATTGCTGCAATCTTTTTTTTTTTTTTTTTTTTTTTGAGATAGACTTTTGCTCTTGTTGCCCAGGCTGGAGTGCAATGGTGTGATCTCAGCTCACAGCAACCTCCACCTCCTGGGTTCAAGCGATTCTCCTGCCTCAGCCTCCCGAGTAGCTGGTATTGTAGGCATGTGCCACAACACCCAGCTAATTTTGTATTTTTAGTAGAGACGGAGTTTCACCATATTGGTCAGGCTGGTCTCGAGCTCCCAACGTCAGATGATCCACCCGCCTCAGCCTACAAAAGTGCTGGGATTACAGGCATGAGCCACCGCACCGGCCAGATTGCTGCAATCTTAACGGATGAGGAGTTGCTTATTATGAATGAGCAAAGAAAGTGGTTTCTTGGGATGGAATCTACTCCTGGTGAAGATGCCGTGAACATTGTGGAAAGAACAACAAAGGACTTAGAATATGCCACGAACTTAGTTGATAGAGGAGTGGCAGGGTTTGAGAGGATTGGTTCCAGTTTTGATATAAATTCTACTGTGGGTAAAATGCTACCAAACTGTACAGCATGCTACAGTGAAATCTTTTGTGAAAGCAAGAGTCAGTCAACGCGGCAAACTTCATTGTCATGTTACTTTAAGAAATCGCCACACCCTCTCCAGCCCTCAGCAACCATTACCCTGATCAGTCAGTAGCTATCAACACTGAGACAAGACCATCCACCAGCAAAATGATTATGACTTGCTGAAGGCCCAGATGATGGTTAGCATTTTTTGGCAATCAAGTATTTTCAAAGTAACGTACATACATTATATTTTAAACATAATGCTATTGCACACTAATTGACTACAGTAGTTTAAACACAACTTTCTTTTTTGAGATGGAGTCTCACTCTGTTGCCCAGGTTGGAGTGCAGTGGTGTGATCTTGTCTCACTGCAAACTCTGCTTCCCAGGTTCAAACAATTCTCCTGCCTCAGCCTCTTGAGTAGCTAGGAATACAGGCGCTCACCACCATTTTTGTATTTTCACAGGGTTTCCCCATGTTGGCCAGGCTGATCTCAAACTTCTGGCCTCTGGTGATCCACTCGCCTCGGCCTCCCAATGTGCTGGGATTACAGGCGTGAGCCACCATGCCCGGCAACATAACTTTTATATGCACCAGAAAGCAAAAAATTTCTTGTGACTTGCTCTATTGTGATATTCGCCTTATTGTGGTGACCTAGAACCAAACCTGCAATATCTCCAAGGTGTGCCTGTACCCCTGAAAGCAGAGCTGGAGTAAAGACTTGGGTGTGGATGGTTTATTTGGGAAGTGATTCCAAGAAGCAAGAGTGAGATGTGGGAAGAGTGAGCCAGGCAAGAAAAAAAAAGCCAAAATAATGAAATGCCATTGAGGCTGCTCCCATGGACTTTTTTTATGCGGGACCTACCGAGAGGCTCTGGAAAGTTATCCAGGACTGTCCACCTGAAACGTGAGCCTCGAGCATTTGCCCACCTGTCCCACACGGGTTGAGGTCTTCCCCTGAGGCTGTTAACCTGCAAGTGTTTCTGGGCTGTATTTGTGCTTAGGCAAAATCCTACAATAGTGGAGATGTCCCGGGGCGGAAAGTGTAGCTTGAGTTTGCTGGCAGCACAAGGGAAGCCTGTGCTTCCATGGAACTCCCCACGGTGGCTGAGACTGAATGAAAGGTGCGCTGAGAAGACCTGACGCAGTCGTCATTGCACGGAGGAATCGCAGCCATCGATCTTGGCAAGAGGACCCCCGCCCTGAATCCTGCGCTTGAGAGGGTGCCTCTCTGGCCCTCCACTGACTGTAACCCGGCCCACCCAGAGCTCTCACCCTCTGTTCTAGGGCACACGCTGGGCACTCAGGCCCCTGGCCAAATGTACCTGAGCCTGCATGGCCTCTTCCCTGGGTCCATTTCAAAGTGAAAACTGTGCTTGTTGAAATGGTGCCCAAGGCTCTGCTGTCTGAAGGGGTGAGAATTGTGGATGGAGCTTGTATGGGGCCTAGGGAGTCCCCCACACAGGGGTACGCAAGGCTTCTCAAGTAAGGACAGGGCTAGCTACGATGAAAGAAAAAAGTTTAGCCTGGGGCTGAAGATCAGCTCTCCCTTTGCTACCACATTCTCTGGCAGAGCACCAAGGAATCAGAGAATTCTACACTCGACTTCGACCTTGTGGGTTATTACGGTGGTATATTTATTGAAGTAGAAGAATAGAACATATTTAGCTATTTTTTAACTTCATTTATAATTCGTAATTATTTAGACATAATGCAAATATGGGCTGGAATTCATGTTCTGATTTTTGTGGCCTTGAGCTAAGGAAAAGGGACCCAGGGAAATGTGGCTTTATACGCTTAGATGACTTCATGGAATCCCCAACTTCATTAGCTTCTATGATGACTCAACATTGTTACTAAAATTCACTTTGTATTATCTTTAAAAACCAAGGGATATTATGTAGCTCAGCGGTTAGAAGGCACTTGACTCAGAATATCTATGAACCAAAGGATATAAATGACTAAGAGCAGGAGGATCATTACCTGAAGGGGTGGAGGGTTGATCTCAGGATATGACCTGTGAGATCCTTCCTGCTGGCTCAGTGCTGACTGAACGTGGGGCAGGAGAGTCCCAGGAGCAACACATATCTGGGATAGGAGGGAATGTGGGGAGGAAGGAAAGAGAAATAGGCCCTTTTTGTTTTTATTGATACAATTATAATTATTTCTAGGGTACATGTGATATTTTGATACATGCATACAATGTGTAGTGATCAAATCAGGATAATTTGCATATCCATCACCTCAACCATTTATCATTTATTTGTGTTGAGAACATTCCACATCTTTCCTCTAGTCATTTTGAAATATATGTTATTGTTAATGATCGTCACCCTACTGTGCTATTGAACACTAGAAATTCTTCTGTTCATTCCATCTAACTGTATTTTTGTGCCCATTAACCAACTTCTGGGATGGGTAAAAGAGTGAGTGGATGAAAAGGGCCCTTTTTAAGGAAAAGTAAATTTTACGAGAAGGGAAGACATTTTAGGAGGAAAAATAAAATGGTGGACCATGGGCTTAGTGTGGGGACTGCAGAAATCGAATGGCAAAGAGAAAAAACCAACTTAGCGATGTGAAAATACATCTCAATGTCATTCCTTTCACAGGTCCAATGTCTGATATTCTTTTGGGAAGCTGGATAGGAGGTAGGAATCTTCCTTTGAGTCATATATTTTTATGATTATGATTGTTATTGAACGATAGCTGACAATTATTGAGAGCAATTATTGAGGACAATTATTGAGCTTTGACAAGCTCTTTTCAAAGGCCTTTACATATATTTTCTCCATTTCTAACTGTTAGATATTCTTATTATTCCCATTTTGTAGATGAGGGATGCACAGGCATAAATCCTATGTGGAGGCAGAGAGCAGCTAAGTAACCTGACCATGGCCCAACAGCAAACAAATGATGGGGCCACATGCAAATCCAGGCAGAACCCTTCTATTATATGAAGCTCAATGTTTTCTTGTTTCCATCTTGTTATGAAAACACCTATTTGCAAAGGGGTTTTGAAGCTACTTTAAAGCATTTTGTGGCTGTGTGTGGTGGCTGACACCTGTAATCCCAGCATTTTGGGAGACCAAGGTGGGTAGATTGCCTGAGCTCATGAGTTTGAGACCAGCCTGGCCAACATGGTGAAACCCTGTGTCTACTAAAAATACAAAAAAATTAGCATGTTGGTGTGCACCTGTAATCCCAGCTACTCTGGAGACTGAGGCAGGAGAATCGCTTGAACCCAGGAGACAAAGGTTGCAGTAAGCTGAGATCGCACCACTGCACTCCAGCCTTGGCAACAGAGTGAGACACTGTCTCTAAATAAATAAATAAATAAATAAGATTGAATTTTGAGCTCCTGACCATGTCCCTAGATTGTACTCATACATATTTTGATGTCTAATAAGATTTATTCTTAGTGCATTTTTTAAGTTAAAGTATTTACTGAGCATCTATTGTATATCATGAGCTGAGATAGGCATCAGCGGTGCAGGGAACATATGGCACAGTCTCTGCCCTCAAGTAAATTTCACTCACCACACATATTTATTAGGACTGATACATGTGTGAATATAAGATAGTATGATAGGCATTGCAACAAATAATTATTTACTGTAAACCTATTTTATAAGATTTTAAACTTAAAGTACTTTCATGCTATTTCCAAAAAAAGTATTGCATAACTTTAAATGGATTCTCAGTTTGAAATCATCATACAAACTGCAGTAGCATCTGCTGGTGAAATACTGCTTTGTATCTATTAGAATAGTCCAAACAACTGGGAGAGAACTGCATTATTAGAGCTGTAAAAGTTATCGTCTAGAAATCTCAGTAAAGAAGAGGAAGTTCTATGGTAGATGAATAAGATGACACCTAAACTGTTGTCTTAAGCTACTGAAGTTCTGTGGATATCTCACAGCACAAAGTTCAAGTGTATGCCCACAACTCCTCATGCCACAAGATGTGACACCTTTCCAAACTCTTTTTGCAAAAGTTTCCAGTTATGTCTCTTATTAGAGTACTTTTTATACCCACGTATTCCAGATTTTGTAGTGCACGCAAAGAAAAGTTGGGAAGGGGCTTCCATTTGTTGATGCCAGCTACTCGTTCTATGGACCAGGCCCTTGCCCATGCATCAGGGTTGGTTCTTTTGTCCCCACATCAGCCATAGCCCATAGGCATTAACCTCCATTGTACAGACGAGGAAATTGAAACTCTAAGAGAATATGCAATCAACCCAGAGTCAGGCAGCTTGTGTATGTAAGGGTTGGAATGAAAATCCGTGTGAGTCCCAAGTCCCCTTCTACCATATGGTTTCCATTTCATTTTGCAATCACCTTGGCTGGGATATGTCTGCCCTAAAAGATAGTAAGTAGGAATACTTGTCTCTATACCTTAACCTAACATCCATGGGCTTGCTTTTTGTATTTGGAGGTGCCATAATATTATAATGATAATTTGATTTTATTTGAACAGTGAATATTATACTACTCAGTCTAGACATTTATGACATCCCAGTCTAAACTGGATGATAGCAATGAAGCTTCTTCAAGGAGACAAGTATGAGTAATAAGGTAGAAATAAGTTGAATTTCTATGGAGTTGCTACTTCTGAATTTAAAACTAGTTGAGGTTAAGTAGACATTCAAAAAGATCGCTATAATCTTCACTTGAATAATATAAACATTTCTTATTTTTTATATATTTATTTATGGAACATAGATGTAATTTTAAAACAGAATTTTTGCAAACTGTATTAAAATATATTAAAAACTTAATACATTATGACCCAATAGAGTTTTTCAAAGTAACTCAGTGTTAGTTTAAAATGTGAAATTCAATCAGTATAATTCACCATAGAATACAGTGTGTATGTCAGTATAATATATATCAAAATTGGAAAGAAGTAACTTTATCCTTGTTTTTTAATAAGATGAAATTACAATCTTAAGGAATTTCAACTTTCATTTTAGATTCTGGAGGGTACCTGTGCAGGTTTATTACATGGGTATATTGCGTGATGCTGAGATTTGGGGTATGAATGAAGGTGTGAGTGCCTGTCTTGAACTTGCACCCAGAGCAACCTCCGCTCATCAGCAGAGGGTAAACTAACTTGAATTACACTTGAATTTTTTAGGAGAGCAGGTCACAAAGGGCAAATTGTGGTCCAGAGACAAAAGTGCTCGAAGGTCTAAAACGAGCCTGCCATATCACTGAGGGTACAGGTCTTCACACAAATATATTTCAGAAAGGGGTCAAACCCTTGTTTAAAGATAAATGTAAGCTGGGTGTGGAGGCACACGTCTATAATTCCAGCTACTCAGGAGGCTGAGGCAGGTGGATCCCTTGAGTTCAGGAGTTTTAGACCAGTCTGGACAACATAGGAAGATCCCATTTCAATTTTTAAAAATCAGAAAAAAAATAGATAAACTTAAGCATATTAAAATTTAAAAGAGTTTATTTGAGCAAACAGAGATTCATGGATCAGGCAGCTCCAAACTGAAAGTGGCTGGAGGATCTACTGGAGGTGTTTGTAGGGAAGGCTTTCATAGGGTGAATACAGAAGTAGAGTAGAGAAATTATTTGATTGGCAAAAAATTGGGCAGTTGCATTATTTGAACTATCCTGGTGGTAGGTCTCTCATTACACAGCTAACACTCAGCAGGCCACTTTTTGATGGGCTAAGCTTTTTACAGGTTGTTGACGGGTTCCTTTTGTCTATGTAGGAACCCAGGCCATGGGAGCTATCTCAGCCTAATGCTCTCCCATTAAGTTATTTTACACCTTCTCTCTGTATCAGGGTAAGCAGGGGTCTTCCCCACGAGGGTTCTTACCACCCTGTTTCCCTCAGCAAAATGAAACTGTCCCTTTTGCCTCTGTAGGCAATCTTCTGAACAAGGCTTTCCTAATATTCTTATGTCATCTTATTTTAACTTATCCTCTTCTCTGTACCTTGTTTACATGCTTCTGGAACACTTGTGTGTCTTGTACCCATCCCCTGCATTATTTAGTCAATCCTAAAAGAAGACCTCTAGGATGGATTGGTAGAGAACTGCTGGCATATTGAGCCCTCTCTCTTTGTATCTGGAACTTTCATAATTACCTTAGTTCTCCATGCCAATTTTGCAATTATCTTTGTTCTCCACTTCAAAATACATTTATCTCTAACAGAAGCTAAGTACATAAAAGGGACCTTGTCCAGTGGTACTTATGAGGCAGGAGATGTGATATATTTAAAATTATAAACTAAAAGCTTTCTGACACCAAAAGCATAAGTAACAAAACAAAAAATAAGTAAATTGGACATCATCAAAATTTAAAACTTTTGTGCAATCAGAGGACAACCGGCAGAATGGAAGAAAATATTTTAAATAATATCTTTGATAAGGGATCAATATCCAGAATATATAAAGAACTCCTACAACTCAGCAATAAAGAAACAACCCAATTAAAAAATAGGCAAAGGACTTACATAGAAATTTTCCCAAAAAAGATATACAACTTGCCATCAAGCCCATGAAAGACGCTCAACATCACTGATTACTAAGGAAAAGCAAATCAAAACCATAATAAGATACCACTTCATACCCATTAAGATGGCAATCATCAAAAAACCAGGGAATAATAAGTGTTGGTGAGGATGTAGCCAAATTGAAACTCTTGTGAATTGCCAGTGGATTCTACAGTGGTATAGTCATGGTGGAAAAGAGTACAGCGGTTCCTAAATTAAAAAAAAAAAAATGGAACATAGGCTGGGCTCAGTGGCTCATGCTTGTAATCCCAGCACTTTAGGACACCAAGGTGGCCAGATCACGAGGTCAGGAGTTCAAGACCAGCCTGACCAACATGGTGAAACCCCATCTCAACTAAAAATACAAAAATTAGCTGGGCATGGTGCTGTGTGCCTATAATCCCAGATACTCAGGAGGCTGAGGCAGCAGAACCCCTTGAACCTGGGAGGTGGGGGTCGCAGTGAGCCAAGATCACACCACTGCACTCCAGCCTGGGTGACAGAGCCAGACTCCATCTCAAATAAATAAATAAATAAATAAATAAATAAATAAAAATGAAACATAGAATTACCATATGAGTCAGCAAGTCCACTTCTGGGTTTAAACCCACAAGACTTGAAAGCAGGGACTTCAACAGATATTTGCAAATTCATGTGCATAGTAACATTATTCATGATAGCCAAAAGGTGGAAGCATTCATTGACAGAGGAATGGATAAACAAAATGTGGTACAGATATACAGTGGAATATTACTTAGCCTTAAAAAGGGACATTCTGATGCATGTTACAACATGGATGGACTTTGACATAATGCTAAGTGAAAGAAGCTGGATACAAAAAACTAATACTGCCTGATTCCACTTATATGAGATATCTAGCATGTAATATTCATAGAAACCAAAAGTAGAATGATGCTTCCCAGTTACTGGGAGAAGAGATTAAGGAAGGGCTATTGCTTAAAGAATGCAGAGTTTCAGTCTGGGAAATCAAAAAAGAAAAACTTCTAGAGATGATGGATGGTGGTGATGGTTGTACAATCAGGTGACTGTATTTAGTGACACTGAACTATGCACTTAAAAATGGTTAAAATGGGGGGGAGGTGGTGGTGGAGCCAAGATGGCCGAATAGGAACAGCTCCGGTCTACAGCTCCCAGCGTGGGCGATGCAGAAGATGGATGATTTCTGCATTTCCATCTGAGGTACCGGGTTCATCTCACTAGGGAGTGCCAGACACTGGGTGCAGGACAGTGGGTGCAGCGCACAATGTGTAAGCTGAAGCAGGGTGAGGTATTGCCTTACTCGGGAAGCACAAGGGGTCAGGGAGTTCCCTTTCCTAGTCAAAGAAAGGGGTGACAGATGGCACCTGGAAAATTGGGTCACTCCCACCCTAATACGGCGCTTTTCCAACAGGCTTAAAAAATGGCACACCAGGAGATTATATCCCACACATGGCTCAGAGGGTCCTATGCCCACGGAGTCTCACTGATTGCTAGCACAGCAGTCTGAGATCAAACTGCAAGGTGGCAGCGAGGATGGGGGAGGGGCGCCTGCCATTGCCCAGGCTTGCGTAGGTAAACAAAGCAGCCGGGAAGCTTGCACTGGGTGGAGCCCACCACAGCTCAAGGAGGCCTGCCTGCCTCTACAGGCTCCACCTCTTGGGGCAGGGCACAGACAAACAAAAAGACAGCAGTAACCTCTGCAGACTTAAATGTCCCTCCCTGTCTGACAGCTTTGAAGAGAGTAGTGGTTCTCCCAGCATGCAGCTAGAGATCTGAGAACGGGCAGACTGACTCCTCAAGTGGGTCCCTGACCCCCGAGCAGCCTAACTGGAAGGCACCCCCCAGTAGGGGCAGACTGACACTTCACATGGCTGGGTACTCCTCTGAGACAAAACTTCCAGAGGAACGATCAGGCAGCAGCATTTGTGGTTCACGAAAATCCACTGTTCTGCAGCCACCGCTGCTGATACCCAGGCAAACAGGGTCTGGAGTGGACCTCTAGCAAACTCTAACAGACCTGCAGCTGAGGTCTGGTCCCACTTGAGGAGCCAATGCGATCAACTGGAAGAAAGGGTATCAGTGATGGAAGATGAAATGAATGAAATGAAGTGAGAAGGGAAATTTAGAGAAAAAAGAATAAAAAGAATAAAAAGAAATGAACAAAGCCTCCAAGAAATATGGGACTATGTGAAATATGGGACTATCTACATCTGATTGGTGTAACTGAAAGTGACAGGGAGAACAGAACCAAGTTGGAAAACACTCTGCAGGATATTATCCAGGAGAACTTCCCCAATCTAGCAAGACAGGCCAACATTCAGATTCAAGAAATACAGAGAATGCCAGAAAGATACTCCTCGAGAAGAGCAACTCCAAGACACATAATTGTCAGATTCACCAAAGTTGAAATGAAGGAAAAAATGTTAAGGGCAGCCAAAGAGAAAGGTCGGGTTACCCACAAAGGGAAGCCCATCAGACTAACAGCGGATCTCTTGGCAGAAACCCTACAAGCCAGAAGAGAGTGGGGGACAATATTCAACATTCTTAAAGAAAACAATTTTCAACCCAGAATTTCATATCCAGCCAAACTAAGCTTCATAAGTGAAGGAGAAATAAAATACTTTACAGACAAGCAAATGCTGAGAGATTTTGTCAACACCAGGCCTGCCCTAAAAGAGTTCCTGAAGGGAGCGCTAAACATGGAAAGGAACAAGTGGTAACAGCCACTGCAAAAACATGCCAAAATGTAAAGACCATTGAGGCTAGGAAGAAACTGCATCAACTAACGAGCAAAACAACCAGCTAACATCATAATGACAGGATCAAATTCACACATAACAATATTAACTTTAAATGTAAATGGGCTAAATGCTCCAATTAAAAGACACAGACTGGCAAATTGGATAAGGAGTCAAGACCCATCAGTGTGCTGTATTCAGGAAACCCATCTCAAGTGCAGAGACACACATAGGCTCAAAATAAAGGGATGGAGGAAGATCTACCAAGCAAATGGAAAACAAAAAAAGGCAGGGGTTGCAATCCTACTCTCTGATAGAACAGATTTTAAACCAACAAAGATCAAAAGAGACAAAGAAGGCCATTACATAATGGTAAAGGGATCAATTCAACAAGAAGAGCTAACTATCCTAAATATATATGCACCCAATACAGGAGAACCCAGATTCATAAAGCAAGTCCTGAGTGACCTACAAAGAGACTTAGACTCCCACACAATAATAATGGGAGACTTTAACACCCCACTGTCAACATTAGATAGATCAATGAGACAGAAAGTTAATAAGGATACCCAGGAATTGAACTCAGCTCTGCACCAAGCGGAACTAATAGACATCTACAGAACTCTCCACCCCAAATCAACAGAATATACATTTTTTTCAGCACCACACCACACCTATTCCAAAATTGACCACATACTTGGAAGTAAAGCTCTCCTCAGCAAATGTAAAAGAACAGAAATTATAATAAACTGTCTCTCAGACCACAGTGCAATCAAACTAGAACTCAGGATTAAGAAACTCACTCAAAACCGCTCAACTACATGGAAACTGAACAATGTGCTCCTGAATGACTACTGGGTACACAACGAAAAGAAGGCAGAAATAAAGATGTTCTTTGAAACCAATGAGAACAAAGACACAACATACCAGAATCTCTGGGACACATTCAAAGCAGTGTGTAGAGGGAAATTTAGAGCACCAAATGCTCACAAGAGAGAGCAGGAAAGATCCAAAATTGGCACCATAACATCACAATTAAAAGAACTAGAAAAGCAAGAGTAAACACATTCAAAAGCTAGCAGAAGGCAAGAAATAACTAAAATCAGAGCAGAACTGAAGGAAATAGAGACACAAAAAACCCTTCAAAAAATCAATGAATCCAGGAGCTGGTTTTTTAAAAAGATCAACAAAATTGATAGACCGCTAGCAAGACTAATAAAGAAGAAAAGAGAGAAGAATCAAATAGATGCAATAAAAAATGATAAAGGGGATATCACCACCGATCCCACAGAAATACAAAGTACCATCAGAGAATACTACAAACACCTTTACGCAAATAAACTAGAAAATCTAGAAGAAATGGATAAATTCCTCGACACATACACCCTCCCAAGACTAAACCAGGAAGAAGTTGAATCTCTGAATACACCAATAACAAGCTCTGAAATTGTGGCAATAATCAATAGGTTACCAACCAAAAAGAGTCCAGGACCAGATGGATACACAGCCGAATTCTACCAGAGGTACAAGGAGGAACTGGTACCATTCCTTCTGAAACTATTTCAATCAATAGAAATAGAGGGAATCCTCCCTAACTCATTTTATGAGGCCAGCATCATTCTGATACCAAAGCCTGGCAGAGACACAACCAAAAAAGAGAATTTTAGGCCAATATCCTTCATGAACATTGATGCAAAAATCCTCAATAAAATACTGGCAAACCGAATCCAGCAGCACATCAAAAAGCTTATCCACCATGATCAAGTGGGCTTCACCCCTGGGATGCAAGGCTGGTTCAATATACGCAAATCAATAACTATAATCCAGCATATAAACAGAACCAAAGACAAAAACCACATGATTATCTCAATACATGCAGAAAAGGCCTTTGACAAAATTCAACAACCCTTCATGCTAAAAACTCTCAATAAATTAGGTATTGATGGGATGTATCTCAAAATAATAAGAGCTATCTATGACAAACCCACAGCCAAGATCATAATGAATGGGCAAAAACTAGAAGCATTCCCTTTGAAAACTGGCACAAGACAGGGATGCCCTCTCTCACCACTCCTATTCAACGTAGTGTTGGAAGTTCTGGCCAGGGCAATTAGGCAGGAGAAGGAAATAAAGGGTATTCAATTAGAAAAAGAGGAAGTCAAATTGTCCCTGTTTGCAGATGACATGACTGTATATCTAGAAAACCCCATTGTCTCAGCCCAAAATCTCCTCAAGCTGATAAGCAACTTCAGCAAAGTCTCAGGATACAAAATCAATGTGCAAAAATTGCAAGCATTCTTGTATACCAATAACAGATAAACAGAGAGCCAAATCATGAGTGAACTCCCATTCACAATTACTTCAAAGAGAATAAAATACCTAGGAATCCAACTTACAAGGGATGTGAAGGACCTCTTCAAGGAGAACTACAAACCACTGCTCAATGAAATAAAAGAGGATACAAACAAATGGAAGAACATTCCATGCTCATGGGTTGGAAGAATCAATATCGTGAAAATGGCCATACTGCCCAAGGTAATTTATAGATTCAATGCCATCCCCATCAAGCTACCAATGACTTTCTTCACAGAATTGGAAAAAACTACCTTAAAGTTCATATGGAACCAAAAAAGAGCCCGCATCGCCATGTCAATCCTAAGCCAAAAGAACAAAGCTGGAGGCATTACGCTACCTGACTTCAAACTATACTACAAGGCTACAGTAACCAAAACAGCATGGTACTGGTACCAAAACGGAGACATAGATCAATGGAACAGAACAGAGCCCTCAGAAATAATACCACACATCTACAACTATGTGATCTTTGACAAACCTGACAAAAACAAGCAATGGGGAAAGGATTCCCTATTTAATAAATGGTGCTGGGAAAACTGGCTAGCCATATGTAGAAAGTTGAAACTGGATCCCTTCCTTACACCTTATATACAAAAATTAATTCAAGATGGATTAAAGACTTACATGTTAGACCTAAAACTATAAAAACCCTAGAAGAAAATCTAGGCAATACCATTCAGGACACAGGCATGGGCAAGGACTTCATGTCTAAAACACCAAAAGCAATGGCAACAAAAGGCAAACTTGACAAATGGGATCTAATTAAACTAAAGAGCTTCTGCACAGCAAAAGAAACTACCATCAGAGTGAACAGGCAACCTACAAAATGGGAGAAAATTTTTGCAACCTACTCATCTGACAAAGGGCTAATATCCAGAATCTACAAAGAACTCAAACAAATTTACAAGAAAAAAACAAACAATCCCATCAAAAAGTGGGCAAAGGACATGAACAGACAGACACTTCTCAAAAGAAGACATTTATGTAGCCAAAAAACACATGAAAAAATGCTCATCATCACTGGCCATCAGAGAAATGCAAATCAAAACCACAATGAGATACCATCTCACACCAGTTAGAATGGCAATCATTAAAAAGTCAGGAAACAACAGGTGCTGGAGAGGATGTGGAGAAATAGGAACATTTTTACACTGTTGGTGGGACTGTAAACTAGTTCAACCATTGTGGAAGTCAGTGTGGCGATTCCTCAGGGATCTAGAACTAGAAATACCATTTGACCCAGCCATCCCATTAGTGGGTATATACACAAAGGACTATAAATCACACTGCTATAAAGACACATGCACATGTATGTTTATTGCGGCAGTATTCACAATAGCAAAGACTTGGAAACAACCCAGATGTCCAACAACGATAGTCTGGGTTAAGAAAATGTGGCCCATATACACCATGGAATACTATGCAGCCATAAAAAATGATGAGTTCATGTCCTTTGTAGGGACATGGATGAAACTGGAAATCATCATTCTCAGCAAACTGTCGCAAGGACAAAAAACCAAACACCACATGTTCTCACTCATAGGTGGGAATTGAACAATGAGAACACAGGGACACAGGAAGGGGAACATCACACACCGGGGACTGTTGTGGGGTGGGGGGAGGGGGGAGGGATAACATTAGGAGGTATACCTAATGCTAAATGACGAGTTAATGGGTGCAGCATACCAACATGGCACATGGATACATATGTAACAAACCTGCACATTGTGCACATGTACCCTAAAACTTAAAGTATAATAATAATAAAAAAAATAAAAATAAAATGTTGATACCTAGTTATCCAGCTTCAGCTTACAAGGTTTGGGGAAAATTGGGCAGTTTTAGTTTTCAGTGATGCTAAACCATGAAAAGGGGGACACAATGTTGAAATTTTAGTTTACAGAGTTGTAGCTATATATTGAATAAAACAAGAACTGAAAAATGTAGACTAATAAAATTTGTAAAACATCTCACGTGGGTGTCCTCTAATTTTCCATTGAAACAAAATTCTCTCTGTGGTACTTCTCTTTACTCTTGTTCAGAAAATCAGTCTGGCCTTACTAGTTTTGGCATTATTTACCTGAGTGCAATAAGAATGGTCACTGACCACAAACACCTTTCTTTATTTCTTCATTTATTCATTATACACTTTTTAAATGAAAGACAGTGTCTGGCTCACTGCATTCTCAACCTCCTGGGCTCAAGTGGTCCTCCCACCTCAGCCTCCTGAGTAACTGAGACCATAGGAGCACACCATCATGGCTGGTTAATTTTGTGTTTTGTTTTGTTTGTTTGTTTGTATCTGGATATGGGGTTGCACCATGTTGTCTAGGCTAGTCGTGAATTCCTGGGCTCAAGTGCCTCTCCCACCTCAGCCTGTGAGAGTGCTGCGATTACAGGTGTGACCCACCTTCCTGGCCACAGAGGCCTTTCCAGTTTCATTTTTGAAAATTTCTGTAACTAGTCTCAGATTATATTTTTTGAAGCCTTGGGACTAGAAGCCAAGCCAGGAACTTGCCACCGACTTCCCTATCAGAACCTGTAGATTTGGTTGAATTCCACTCCTCTCAAAGTCTTCAAATATGGTGAGGTTCCAGAGCTTGCCCAGAAGTGACCTTTCTTATCTTGTAGGCTAGGAACTCTGTAACCAATTACCAGGTTGGTTTTTCCATGAAGGCTTTATAAGTATTGCCCCCACGGTCAACTTTAGTTCTTAATGCTACCTGGTTATATCTGATTCTATGGAAATCATTCTTAAACATATTTGATATTTCAGACAAGACTTGGTTATAAAACCACTTTCCACTTATGTTCTATGCAAATGCATTTTTACTAAACTGCAGAAATTTCTCTATTGTCATAAAAATCTTTATAAAATCTTAAATGTCCAGTGAGTATATCACAGCTCAATTACTACATTAGGAAATCCAATAAGTATACAAATCAAGTGTATTCCCTTTTTTCGTGTTTTTTGTTTGTTTGTTTGTTTGTTTGTTTGTTTTTTCTGACAGAGTCACCCTCTGTCATCCAGGCTGGATTGCAGTGGTGTGAGCTCAGCTCACTGCAGCCTCTGCCACCTGGGATCAAAAAATTGTCCTGCCTCAACCACCTGTGTAGCTAGGATTACAGGTGTGCACCACATTTCCTGGCTGACTTTTGTATTTCTAGTAAGGATGGCATTTCAACATCTTGGCCATGCTGGTCTGGTCTCCTGACTTCAGATGATCCACCTGCCTTGGTTTCCCAAAGTGCAGGGATTACAGGCGTTAGCCACCATGCCTGGCCCGCAAATGTATTCTTGCAGTTAATAATAACAATAACTTGTAATCTGTGGCTGTGTGCAATAAACTATTTTAAACTAATCTCATTTACTAAACATTTTCATGAGTCATGTGAACTTGATTGTCTATTTCTAGGATTTTTAGGAGTATGTAATTCACAATAATGCTCATTTATCTCTTAGCCAATTTGGATAGCACCCTTTTAAGTGATATTAAAAATTAACTTGGTACTAACATCCAGAGGTAGAAATATATCACACACAGTTCATCTATATGCTAAAAATATAGATAAAGGCAAGCAGATTTTATAGCCCTGACAAAATTTACCCATGAATAAAGCAATAGAGTAATATAAAACTCACTGGCTTATATCCATTTTATATTTTATCTAAATTGTGCTTCTAGCAAATGAGACAAGATTACCGATTCTATAGGAGACCTAATACCTAGCTGGAATTACAGGTGTGCACCACTATGCCAAGCTAAATTTTTGTATTCTTAGCAGAGACAGGGTTTCAGCATGTTGTCCAGGCTGGTCTTGAACTCCCGACTGCAAGTGATCCACCCACCTCAACCTCCCAAAGTGCTGGGATTACAGGCGTGAGCCACCATACCTAGCCCTAATAACCTGTTTTAGAGCTCACTCTAAAAATCACATTTGATTTTTTTGTTGTTTGATCTGTTTTGCTGGTGAGAGTCTCTTGAATTTTTCACTTCAGCCAATGTGTTTCTTAGTTCCAGGATTTTTTAAATTATTTCATTTTTAAAAATTTCTCTCAGAAGTTTATTAGTTCCTTTTCTGTCATTTTAGAGATCTGAATTTCCTGAAAACCGCCATTTTGAATTCTTGATTAGAGAACTCACTGATAGCCATCACATTATTTAGCACTGGTCAATGGTTTAGTGCTTTGTCCATTTGGGAAGATTATGATTCCTTGTTCGGTATTATTTCTAGTGGTTATACATCTATATCTTTTTATTGAAGGACTAGTTATTCAGTTCATTCTTTTCTCTGTATTATTTTGTGTTTTACTGAATATATTTGCGTTGAGGTTTTTTTAGACACACCTATGGTGGGTTTTTGTTTGCTTGCTTTCAGCTACGTCAGTTCCTTTGTTTTGACAGTAGATGGTGCCTTAAGCCAAGGTTTGCCTCAGCTCTAGCAAGCTTAGGATTGCTGCCAGTCCCCTATCAGAGAGATCCTGAAGGGGCTATGCTAACAGTGAGGGAAGGCTGGCTATAAGTTTGTGCCTAGGGAAATTATGAAATATACCTCCTACCTCATGGTACTGCTGCACAGGCACTCTGGTTTGGCATCTCCTATGGCTAAGATATCAAGGCTGGAGGTGGTAGTCCTGCCTTTCTGCCTTGTCCCTGGTTGTCCTCAGGAATTCTTCTTCTTTCAGGCATTCACAAGGCTTCCTGTGGGTTAAGACAGGAACAGGTTTCCTGCCAGGAAATCAAAAGTGGCTTGTGTTGTCCACTTCAACTTTATTTAATCCAGTGTAGTAAGCATGAGACAGAGGATTTTTTTTTTTTTTTACACTTCGTTGCCAGCAGACTAGGGGAAGAGTGTCATGAATATAAAAGCCAAACTTTCTTATCATCTGCCTGGTTTCTTCACTTCTCTGTCACCCTAGGAGCTGCCTCATCCTCATATTTGAGCTCTGAGTTATTGCTGGTGATAACCTATGCAATGTATATCGGTTTTTGGTTTCCTGTATGTGTTCTTGGGGGGAGGGGGAGCTAGGGTTGGTGGGGAAACATGCCAGCTTCCTTTACTATGTCATTTTTTTGTAAAAGTACTCTTCTCTAGTTTGCACTTTTTCTACTTCCTTGTGTGTGAATTGATAATTTTACATTTCTTCTTTATGTGTCTATGTTTGCAACTATATATTTCTCAGTATTGATTTTGCTGCATCCCAGAAGTTTCAATATGCTTTAATTTTCCATTTATCTGCAAGGATTCTTTAATTTCTTGCAGATTCTTCAATTAGCCATAGGTTGTTGAAGAGTGTATTGTTTAGTTTCCAAATATTATACATTTTTCAGTTTTTAGAAAATGGGGCTCAGGCGGTCACAGTGGCTCGTGCGTGTAATCCCAGCACTTTGGGAGGCTGAGGGGGATGGATCACTTGAGGTCAGGAGTTCAAGACCAGACTGATCAATATGGTGAAACTCCATCTCTACTAAAATTATAAAAATTAGCCAGGTGTGGTGGTGGGCACCTGTAGTCTCAGCTACTTGGGAGGCTGAGGCAGTAGAATCACTTGAACATGGAAGGCAGAGGTTGCAGTGAGCTGACATTGTGCCACTGCAGTCCAGCCTGCGTGACAGAGCAAAACTCCGTCTCAAAAAAAAAGAGGGGGGGCAGTCTCTAGTTTTATTCCACTGTGGTTGGAAAAAGCATTATGTGTGATTTCAATAGTTTTAAATATGAGACTTGCTTTGTGGCCTACCGTGAAGACTATTCTGGACCTATAAACCCTTTAGAAGAATATTTAATCCACTTGTGGAGTGGAGTGTTTTGTATATGTCTAATAGCCTCATTTGGTTTATAATGCTGTTTAAGACATTTGTTTTCTTATTGAACCTCTGTTTGGTTGTTTCATCCACTGTTGAAAGTGGGATGTTGAAATCACCAACTATTATTGCAGAACTGTCCACCTCTTCAAATCTGTTTGTCTTTGTTTCATATATCCTGCGGATCTTTTATTAGGTAAATATGTAAGGATAATATCTTTTTGATGAATTAAACATTCTTGATATTTGCATAGTACCTCTAGCTCTATTTTGGTTACTGTTTGAATTAATTTTCCCGTCCCTTTTAAAACATGTAAAAAGTCATTCTGTCAATCTTTGACTTTTAACTGGAGTTTAATTTATCTGCATTTAAGGTAATTACTGATAAGAAAGATTTTGCTATTTTTGTCCTTGTTTTCTACAAATTTGTTGTTGTTGTGGTTGTTATTCAATTCCTCCAAAAACTGCTCATTTTTACATTTGATTGTTTTTCTAGGGTACCATTTTGACTGTCTCATTTCTCTTTAGTATATTTTAACAGTTATTTTCTTAGTGGTCATTAAGGGTATTATAACTAATATCTTAAATTTATAATAATATAGTGTGAATTATAACAACTGTTTACATTATATAAAAATATTTTCCCATACTGCTGTCCCTCCATTCCTACGTTTTGTCAAAAATTGCTTCTTATTCAATATGTGCTAACAGCACAGATATATAATTCTTGTCTTATTATATGTCATTTCTTTATTTTATTATTTTATTTTACTTTACTGAGACATGGTTTCAATCATGCAGGCTAAACATGGTTCACTACAGCCTTGAGCTCCTGGCCTCAAGGGATCCTCCCACTTCCACCTCCCTTGTAGCTGGGGCTAGAGGTTCATGCCACCATACCTGGCTAATTTTATTTTCTGTAGAGACAGGGTCACACTTTGTTGCCCCGGCTGGTCTCAAACTCCTGGGCTCAACCAAACCTCCCACCTTGGTTGGGATTACAGATGTGAAATACTGTGCCTTACCACTTTTTAAATCTAGTAGAAAAATAAAGTCACAGAAACCCCCAAATACAATGGTATTGGCTTTTCTATTTCCTGGTGTAATTACTTTATTGATGTTATTTATTTATTTATTTGCACATGGGTTACTGTGTATTGTTCTTACATTCCTTACTTCATCATATTTTGTAAGGCCAATCTAATAGTGATGTACTCTCTTTAATTGTTTGCTTGGAAATGCCTTACTCATAAATTGAGAAATTGAGTTCGGTTTTGCCAGATATTGAGTTTATGACTGATTTATGTTTTCTTTCAGCCCTCTAAATATGTCACCCCAGTGACTTCTTTCCTCCATAAATTTTAATGAGAAATTGGCTGTTAATGTCATTGAGGATAACTTGCATGTGATCAGTTACTTCTGTCTTGCTTCTTTTAAAGTTCTCTATTAATTTATCTTTTGTCAATTTCAGTGTATGTGTTCCAGTGTAGATATCTTTGAGGTTATTCTTCTAGGAGTATTTTTTTTCTTCTGGGATTCTTGAATAAGTAAATTTGTATCTATCAGCACATTTGGGAAGTTTCAGCCATTGCTTCTTCAAATTATTTTTTTTATCTCTGTGTCTCCTTTTCCTGTGGGGCTCCCATTATGAATATGTTGATATACTTGATGTTGTTCCATGGCTACCTTAGTTTTATTCATTTTTCTTGTTTTTCTCTTCTTGTACCTTCCTTAGACTGAATAGCAAACAATCCGTCTTCAAGTTCCTTGATTATCCTTCCTGCATGCTCATGCATACTCTTCAGTCTTTCTAGTTACAGGGTATGAATTTCATTTTTAAAAATAATTTGTAGGTCTTTATTGGTATTTTCCATTTTTGAAACACTGTTGTCCTGGCTTCTCTTAGGTATTTGAGAACATTGAAGTCAAGTAAATTAAAATATTTGCCTAGTAAATACCACGGCTGGGATTCCTGAAGTACAGTTTCTTTTCATTATTTTCCCGTTGAGGGTGCCATTTTTTTGTCCTTTTGAATGCCTTGTATTTTATTGTTGAACAGTGAACACTTTAGAAATCATTCAGCATATCCAGAAAACATATTCCTGCCCTCCACAATTGCTTAGTTTTGGGGGTCATTTACTTGTTTTGCAACCCTCTAAAGCTATTTTTGTATCCTGTATTCTTTGTCATGTATGGACACTTAACCTGTGTTCTGTCACTCTGTTTGCCATCTACAGTTTTTGACAAATTTTTAGAAAACACTCCAAGCAAAGAAAAGGAAAAGGAGAAAAGAAAGAAAAGAAAAACTGCCCAGACTTTGCAGATTGACTCTTTGAGGAACTCCAGTGTTTAGCCCAAAGTCAGGGAAAAGTGAAAGCTTCAGGAGCTTCTCTGTGCATACATCCAATACTGGAAATATTTATAACCTTCTAAATATACCAGTAGGAGGCTGGGCATGGTGGTTCATACCTGTAATGCCAGCACTTTGGGAGGCTGAGGTGAACAAGTCACTTGAGCCCAGAAGTTTGAGACCAGTTTTGACAACATGGCAAGATCTCATCTCTATAAAACATACGAAAATAAGCTGTGTGTGGTGACCCATGCCTGCACTGTGGGAGGCTGAGGTGGGAGGATCACAGAATCCAGAAAGGTTGAGCTGCTGAGGAAACTGAGGTGGGAAAATCACTTGAGCCCAGGGAGGTCGAGGCTGTAGTGAGCCAGGATCATGCCTCATGACTCCAACCTGGGCCACAGGGCAAGGCTCTGTCTCTATTTAAAAACAAAACCAAAGCAAACAACAACAACAAACTGTGAGAGTTTTTCAAAGCTGATTTTCCACAGCAATTTCCTTCCCCAACCTCTTCCTTCCAGGCATTTTCTTTGTGTACTTCTTGACCTGAGTGCCAGGTGGCTCTCACTAGTATATTTCCCTTCCACAAAGGCCTCCTGGGAGTTGACTTCTTACCCCAAGAAAGCTATGAGGTGGGCTAAAGAATCTGAGCTAATAATCTTCAAGATAACTTCAGAGAGTTCAAATCATACAATCATTATTATTATTACTATTATTATTATTATTTGAGACAGAGTCTCAATCTGTTGCACAGGCTGGAGTGCAGTGACAGAATCTCGGTTCAGTGCAAACTCCACCTCCCGGGTTCAAGTGATTCTCCTGCCTCAGCCTCCCCAGTAGCTGGGACTACAGGCTTCTGCTGCCAGGCCCAGCTAATTATTGTAGTTTTAGTAGAGACAGGGTTTCGCCATGACAACCACAATTCTTTGAGATAAGCTCCATATTTTTCCCACATGCATCAAAAGCTGCACCTAGAACTTCGTCTTCTTCACTGTTGCCATGAAGTCATGGAGTGGGTGATAATGGACAGTTAAAATACCACATACTGGCTGGGCATAATGGCTCACGCCTGTCATCCCAGCACTTTGGGAGGCCGAGGCAGGTGTATCACCAGGTAAGGAGGCTGAGACTATCCTGGCTAACACGGTGAAACCCTGTCTCTACTAAAAATACAAAAAATTAGCCAGGCATTGTGGCACGCACCTGTAGTCCAGCTATTCGGGAGGCTGAGGCAGGAGAATCGCTTGAACCCAGGAGGCAGAGGTTGTAGTAAGCCGAGATTGCACCACTACACTCCAGCCTGGGTGACAGAGGGAGAGTCTGTCTCAGAAAAAAAGAAAGAAGACGACGAAGAAAAAAAAAGACACACACTGTCTTGCCTAAACTCAGGGGTAAGGTCTTCTTTAACCACTCCCGTGAGTTATGTTATTAGACTCCAGAGCTCCAAGAGTCAAGTCTGAGGTTTTTTTCTCTGCCTAATACCCCTTAACTTTTAACCCAATTAAATGTAATGACAGCATAAAATATAAACTTGCTTAAATTTACCTTGCTTTTTAATGTTTAGGCGGCGTTCAGCCTGTTTAGTAAGATTTCATACAAGGCTGCGTCCATCATTATTATGAGAGCCATTCTCTCTTTCATTTAATAACGAATAGTTGGCTGGTCACAGTGGCTCATGCTTGTAATCCCAGCCCTTTGGGAGGCTGAGGCGGGTGGATCACAAGGATGAAGACCATCCTTGCTAATACAGTGAAGCCTTGTCTCTACCAAAAATACAAAAAATCAGCCGAGCGTGGTGGCGCATGCCTGCAATCCCAGCTACTCAGGAGGCTGAGGCAGGAGAATGGCTTGAACCGGGGAAGCTGGGAGGCAGAGGTTGCGGTGAGCCTAGATCACACCATTGCATTATAGCCTGGACATCAAGAGTGAAACTCCTTCTCAAAAAAAAAAAAAAAGAAAAGAAAAGAAAAGAAAAAATAATGATACAGGGAGATAATAAATAAGTAAATAAGTGTTTTACGAAGCTGTAAAATCTAAAGTAAAGGTAAAGATGGTCATAGATAGGAGCAGGAAAAATTACACAAATCCACATGAGCTTAATTTTTGGTGGTGATTTCTCATCAGAAAAAAAAACATAAAAGAAAGTATGAATAAGAAAATTGTCCACATTGCTTTGGTAGAAAAAAGTAGGAGGAAAAACAAAAACAACAAAATAATGAGAATTATACAATATTAAGCTTTAGTGTTCTTCATTTATCATGGTGATTGTTTCCCCAAGAAATAACAGAAGCAAAATAGTCAAAATAGAAGGACACATAGGCATATATTACTGTCTACGTATATCAAGCCAAGTTTAATTTTAATTCATTCTTTCAGAAATTTTATTTTAAATTAACAATTGTAAAGATTTATGGGACACAAAGTGATTTTATAATACATGTATACAATGCAAAATAAGTTGGGCTAGTTAACATATACATCACCTCACACACTTATCATTTCGTTGTGGTGAGAATATTTAAACTCTACTTTTCCAACTTTTTTTTTCAGATGGAGTTTCGCTTTTGTCGCCCAGGCTGGAGTGCAGTGGCACAAGCTTGGCTCACTGCAACCTCCACTGTCCGGGTTCAAGTGATTCTTCTGCCTCAGCTTCCTGAGTAGCTGTGACTATAGGTGTGTGCCACCAAACCTGGCTAGTTCTTGTATTTTCCGTAGAGACGGTGTTTCACCATGCTGGCCAGGCTGGTCTTGAACCCCTGACCTCTAGTGATCTGCCTGCCATGGCCGCCCAAAGTCCTGGGATTACAGGCATGAGGCACCATGCCTGCCTTTTTCAGCAATTTTGAAGTGTACATTTTTTAACTGTGATCACCATTCTGTGCAACAGATCACCAGAACTACTTCCGGCCTCACAGAAATTTTTTACCCTTTGACAAATGTCATCCCTTCCGTATGTATTCCTATCACTACCCCACACTCCAATCTCTGACTACTTTCTGTGTATTTGTATAAAGAGTCACGATCTTGCTGTGTTGCCCAGGCTGGAGTGAAGCGGCACAACTATGGCTCACTGTGGCCTCAAACACCTGAACTCAAGTGATCCAACCGCCTCATCCTCCCAAAGTGCTGGAGATAACAGACATGAGTCACCACACTTAGCATATTCACTATTTTTATGAGTTCAACGTTTTTAGATTTTACATGTAATTGTGACCATGCTATATTTGTTTTTCTGTGCCTGTCTTATTTCACTGAGCATGTTTTCCAATTCCATTCATTTTATCATAAATAAATAACAGCACTTTCTCTTTTTTTAAGGCTGTATAGTATATTCCATTGTGTATATGTGCCACGCTTTATCTGCTGATCTGTTGATGAGCACTTGGGTTGTTTCCTTATCTTGGCTATTGTGAATAATGCTGACATGAATATAGGTATGCAAATATCTCTCTGAAATACGAATTTATATCATTTGAGTACATATTCAGAAGTAGAGTAGCTGGACCATGTTGTAATTCTATTTTTAATTTAATTTTTGAAACCTCAGTTCTATCACCCCAGAAGCACAGGCTACAAAAGCACAAGAAAAACAGCAATTGGATTGCATCACATCAAACTAGAAAGTTTCTGCACAGCAAAGGAAACAATTAGCAGAGAGGGTGAAGGGACAACCCCTACACTGGGAGAAAATGTCTGCAAATCATATATATGATAAATGGTGAATAATAAATACATACAAGAAACTCACACCACTTAACAACAACAAATCAAGTAAGCCTATTAAAAATGGGCAAAGGACCTGAATTTACATTTCTCAAAAAAAGACAAAAATGGTCAAGTCTATGTTTAACTATGTTTAATTTTATTTATTCATTTATTTTATTTATTTATTTTGAGATGGAGCCTCACTCTGTCACCCACGCTGGAGTGCAGTGGCGCGATCTCACCTCCCCACAACCTGTGCCTCCCAGGTTCCAGCGATTCTCCTGCCTCAGCCTCCTGAGTAGCTGGGACTATAGATGCATGCCAACACGCCCAGCTAATTTTTATTGTATTTTTAGTAGAGACGGGGTTTCTTCATGTTAGTGAGGATGGTCTCCATCTCCTGACCTCATGACCTGCCCATCTTGGCCTTCCAAAGTGCTGGGATTACAGGCGTGAGCCATCAAGCCCGGCCTTATTTATTTATTTATTTATTTATTTATTTATTTATTTATTTATTTTTTTGGAGACAGAGTCTCACTTTGTCACCCAGGCTGGAGTGCAGTGGTGCGATCTTGGCTCACTGAAACCTCCATCACCTAGGTTCAAGCAATTCTCCTGCCTCAGCCTCCCTAGTAGCTGGAATTACAGGTGTGTGCTACTGTGCCTGGCCAATTTTTGAACAACTGTATATTTAATGATGCTTCACCACCAATCATCAGGGAAATGGTAATTAAAACCAACAATGCACCTTCTCTCAAAATGTTAGAACAGCTATTATCATGAAGATGAAAGATGACAAGTGTTATTGAGAATGTAGAGCAAAGAGAATCCTTGTGCACTGTTGGTAGGAATGTAAATTCGTATTTCAAATTATTAACATGATTATTTATTTTTAATTGAAAAGTTTTTGTGCCTTGAGATGCATTAATATGAGTTGCTTTCTGTTAGTCAAAGTTCAATGAGAAATGCCTTAGTTACCCTAAATTAAGATAAATAGGAGCAGTCTCATAAGACTTGCCTTTCAGATTCTCCTTAAGTACAGAATAAAACCTGTGGTAAATACTCTTTCTGAAGAAAACATGTTCACTGATAATGTATACGCTACAAAAACTTGTTAAAGGCATTCCAAAAACGTACTAGGTGAAAAATGCATTACGGTTATTTTTCCTGCTCAGTTTTTGGATCCAGATGGATTTTTTATTTTGTTTTATTTAATGAATTGTATAATTATAGTTAAGAAAACAAAAATTACTAAGGCACGTTCACAGGAGAACATAAATGAATTTTATTAGAAACCACTTCCAAGATTTTGCTGTGTATATTTTTTAAATTTAAGAGCCTCTTAACAAGTCACATTCAGCATCTTTACTCATTGTTCTGTGAAAGTATATATGTATATTTTATGAACATGTCATACTTTTTCTGATTGAAAAATATCCAACCCTATTGCAGGAGTGACAGTAATTCCTCAGCTGCTTATTTTTATTCTTTTCAGTTTTCTCGATGTTTACATAATAGTACGGTGCTTCTGGCTGATTTTCAGTACGTCCTGGCAACACTTTGCCTGACTGCCATGGGTACAAATACTGATAGAAGAGGAGCATAAAGCCAGTGGCCAATAGGTAGCTTATGATGAGCTGCACGGCAATTAATGAGTCACAACAATTCAGCAAAGTTTTCCCTCCAAAGAACCTAAATACCAATATCATTATCACATTTTCTAAAAACTGAAAGCTGTAGTGTAGGATTCTATGGCCCCACCTCTGTCTCCCGTCAATTATTTTGTCATCTGACAACTGCAGTTTCACTGCTGACCAGCAGGAGAAGTTGATGGCAGCATATAGCAGTGTGATCAAGAAAAGCATCAGTACTGTACCCACCATATTGGAATTATTTTCTTTGTTGCCAGGAAGATGAGCTCCACTTTTCCAAAACTCCAGCCACGGTGCCAACAATGATACAAAATATATGATTAACAAAACGGGTAGGCTCTTCAGTTTCAGAGATGCAATGAAAAATGCCAGAGTCACTACACGTGAGATAACCTCCAAAAAACGCCACATCACGACACAGAAGAATTCTATCGGCGGTAGCTTAATGGTAGTATCATCATTGCTGATCTGGATGGCCAGTATATTGCAGCGAATGGCCCCATAAGTAACTGATAACAGGGAAAATGTCATCAGCAATGCTATTAAAGACAAACATGAAAATGTTAGAGAATATTTTTCATTAGTAATGACCACTTTCTTTTTTAAACTTGCCATTTTAAGATATATTCTTCCTCACCCACCTCCTTTAGAAAATCATTTACTTATAAAAAGAAAGGTTTGTTAATCTTCCATTTTCAGGGATACAGTAAGTATAGGCATGCAAAACATATATTACACCTTGGAAAAACAAATAATAAGCAAATACATACATATCTACATTTATACATGTATATACACATTCCCTCAAAGAGAAGACTGGCACAGATAAAATGGAAGAGACACATTCAGATCTGATGCTATAAGGTGTGACAGCACATATAAAGCAGTCTCAATTAAAAAAAAATACCTGAATTAGACACTGAAAAGACAGTTCCATTCTTTATAGAAAGTTAAGAGTGTTAACTAGGAAGTTAGCATGTGAAATAGGAGACTAATGTAATATAGACTGTGTTTTAGACTATGGTGGTAACAGAAAAGAAGAAATAAGCTGTGGAGTTAAAGTAAATCCTGGAAGTGGAGCTGACAGATTCTGCTGAGTGATGGAATACAAGGTACTAGAGAAGCAGAAAAAAATAAAAAGCTACAGAAATTAAGAAGTATGTGTGGCCGGGCGCGGTGGCTCACGCCTGTAATCCCAGCACTTTAGGAGGCCGAGGCGGGCGGATCACGAGGTCAGGAGATTGAGACCATCCTGGCTAACACGGTGAAACCCAGTCTCTACTAAAAATACAAAAAATTAGCCGGGCGTAGTGGTGGGAGCTTGTAGTCCCAGCTACTCGGGAGGCTGAGGAAGGAGAACGGCATGAACCCGGGAGGCGGAGCTTGCAGTGAGCTGAGATCGTGCCACTGCACTCCAGCCTGGGCGACAGAGCGAGACTCCATCTCAAAAAAACAAACAAAAAAAAAGAAGTGTGTGTGTGCATGTGTGTGATTGTATGTATCCATGCAACTTTATGAGAAACTTTTTCATAAGCAAAATTATTTTAATTTCAACATTGTTCTCTCAACAATTAGACAAATAAGCACATGGAAGAAAACCAAAATTATGAAGTAGTTGAATAATTGGTTTAAGCACTTTTGTACTACATTCAGTTGAAAGAGAAAAAATTCATTTTACATATACATGCAGGTTAAAAAAAAATACACTCTTCAGCTGGGCATAGTGGCTCACACCTGTAATCCCAGCACTTTGGGATGCTGAGGTGGGTGTATCAAGAGGTCAGGAGATCAAGACCATTCTGGGTGACACAGTGAAACCCCATCTCTACTGAAAATACAAAAAATTAGCCGGGCATAGACCCAGATACTCGAGAGGCTGAGGCAGGGCAATTACTTGAACCCAGGAGGCAGAGGTTGCAGTGAACCAGGATAGCGCCACTGGACTCCAGCCTGGGCGACAGAGCGAGACTCCATCTCAAAAAACAAACAAACAAATAAACACTAACAAAAAACACTCTTCATACACAATGAACTTAAGCCAGAAAACAAAAAAAGGCCAAATAGCAAAATAGTCATTCCTCGTCTAAATTTATTATTCACTTTCTAACACCATTTAGAAAATGAATATTAACACTCCATTTATTCCTTAAGGAATACTCAAAGTGAAACTCTAAAACATTAGCATTGTAACTGCATTTATGAGAAATGAGACTGAATATAATAAATGACCTAAAAATTAAATGTTCGAAAGTAAAATTTGGCCAGGTATGGTGACTCATACCTGTAATCCTACCTTTAGGAGGCTGAGGTGAATGGATCACTAGAGCCCAGGAGTTCAAGATCAACCTGGGCAACATGGTGAAAACCTGTATCTACAAAACGCGTGCACACACACACACACACAAATACACAAATTTAGCCAGGCATGGTGGCACATGCCTGTAGTCCCAGCTATTCAGGAGGCTGCAGTGGGAGGATTGCTTGAGCCCAGGAAGAAAACATAGGACTTTCACTTGGGTCTTTATTTTTCTGTGCCTTCACCCCAGCACTTTGGGAGGATGATATCAAGGGGCAAACTTCTAGACACATCCCGACAACAGATGAGAAACTGTGGGCTCAGCAGGATGGAGTCGAGTTCCAGTCAACATTCCTACTGGTTGACTGAATAAACCTCAGAGGGAAGACCATGGCAGCTGCATGCCTTGAGTGCATCCAGTGCTCTACTGTGGGCTACAGGTGCAACCTGGCACTGAGTCAGCTTTGGTGGTCAAATTACTTCAGCCATCAAAGTCTAGGCATTAGGATTCCCCCTACTTCTACCAGGGCTGAAGCTATCATAGACTTAAAGACCTTAATTTCCTTCTTCTTCTTGCCCTGAATCTCTGGACAGGCTTACTGTAGAAAGAAGCTTCCAAACAGAGCCCAGACATGAACACTGAATCAGGCACCTATATCATTGTGCAGATAACAATGCATAGTCACAAAGATCAGGATCAATGACGAGAACATCATGGCACCAAGTGGACAAAATAAGGTGCCAGTTGTGAGTGACCCGAAAGAGATGGGCATGGACACATAGCCTGACAAAAAATTCAAATACTTATTTTAAGACAATGTAGTGGACTTAAGGAAAACACAAACAATTCAGAAATTTATCAGAGAACCTTAGCAAGGAGATTGAAATAATGGGAGGAAAAAACTAATAAAAAAGTTGAAGATAAAAACACAATAAAATAAAAAAAATACAGTTGAGAGTATTGACAGAAGTGGCCAAGCAGAAAAACTCAAGGACAGATCAATTAAAAATATACAGTCAGAAGAAAAAAAAAAGAAATCTAGAAAGTTCATAGGATTTATGTGATAACATCCAAAGAACAAATGTATTAGTCACTGGTGTTCAAGGAAAAGCTGGGTGCAATGGCTCACACCTGTAATCGCAGCTATTTGGGAGGCGGAGGCGGGTGGATCACATGTGGTCAGGAGTTTCAGAGCAGAGTGCCCAACATGGTGAAACTGTGTCTCTACTAAAAATACAAAAATTAGTCAGGTGTGGTTGGTGGACGCCTGTAATCCCAGCCACTCAAGAGGCTGAGGCAGGATAATCACGGAACCCAGGACACGGAGGTTGCATTGAGCCAAGATCACGCCATTGCACTCCAGCCTAGGCAACAAGAGCAAAACTCCGTCTCAAATTAAAAAAAAAAAAAATAAGCGTATTGTAGGAAAAAAAAGTAAAAAGTCTATTTAGAGAAATAACAACAAAAAATTTTCCAAATCTAAATAAAAATATAAATATTCAGGTAAAGGAATATTGAAGTCTTCCAATAAGATTAAATCCAAATAATATCGCCATGGCTTAATATAATCAAACCAACAAATATCAAAGACAAAGACAGCATACAGAATTAAGCAGGATAAAAAAGAAAATATCATATCAGGAATATACATATATATTTATATGCATATATATAATGTAAATATTAATAGATGCAAAGGGAGAAAAAAACTACAAGGTACTAATAGAAAACTTCAGCACCTTACTTTCAGAAATGAATAGATCATGCAGACAGAAAATCAGTAAGTAAACATCAGATTAAAATGCACTGTAGGGCAAATGGACAAAACAGTTACAGAACTATCCATCCAAGAGTTATAGAATACACATTCTTTACTGCATACATGGAACATTTTCCTGGATATATCATACATTAGGCCAAAAAACACATCTTGATGAATTCGAAGAGATCAAAGTCATACAGGGTATCTCTTCTAATATCACTAATTCATAAGTACATGAAAATTAAATTACATACTCCTGAACAACCAGTGAGTCAATGAAGACATTACACAGAAAATACCATATTTCTTGAGACAAAAATAGAAACAGAACACATCAAAACCTACTGGATATGACCAAAGCAGTTTTAAAGGGAAAGTTATGGCAATAAATGTCTTCATCAAAAAGAAGATACGAAATACACCAAACCAAAGAATTAGAAAAACAAAAAGCTAAAATCAAAAGTAAAAAAAGTCACTAATAAATATAATCAGAGACAAAAAAGGAGATGTCATAACTGACACCCAGAAACAAATTAATGGTAAGAAATCAAATCAGCAATAAAAAGTTACCCATTAAAGAAAAGCCCAGGACCTGATAGATTAACTGCTGCATTCTACCTACCACTAAAAAATAACTACTATCAATTCTTTTTAACCTAGTGGAAAAAAATAAAAAAAAGAAGATATGTGAACTGTTCCAGTTCATTCTGTGGGGCCAGCAATATGCTCAATACAAAACCAGACAAGGATACAACAAAGAAGAGAAAACTACAGGCTAATATACCTGATTAACATAATGTAAAAATCCTCAACAGAATACTGGGAAACTGAGTTATAATGCACATTTAGAAAATCATTCATGATTTTCCATGATCAAGTGAGATTACAGGAATACAGGAATGGTTTAATACACAAGAATCATTAAGTGTCATACATTACATCAACAAAATAAATAACAAAATCTAGGTGGTCATTTCAATAAATAAAAAAGCCATTTGACAAAATTCAACATCTTTTTATAATAAAATCTCTCAACAAATTATGCATAGAACAATTGTAACTCAACACAACAAATGACATAAACGAGAATAACCAAATAATGCTCTACATGACAAACCCATAGCTAACATCACACTCAGTGGGAGTTCAAAGTTGAAAGCTTCTCTCTGAAGATCTGAAAGGAGACTAAGAAGTTCACTTTAACTGCTTATATTAACATAATCCTGAAAGTCTTTAGCCAGAGCAACTGGACAAGAGAAAGAAAAGGTACCCAAATTGGAAAGAAAGAAGTAAAATTTTCCATATTTCCTAATGATATTATATGGAAATCCCTAAACACACCACTAAAAAGCAGTTAGAACTATTTCAGAAAATCAGTCAAGTTTCAGTTTACAAAATCAACATATAAATTAAGTAGCATTTTCATATACTAATACGAAAATGTCTACAAAAAAAACCTCAAGAAAATAATCCCATTTACAATAGCTATGGGAAAACAAATGAATGAACAAAAAACCTTTAGAGTAAATTTTACCAAGGAGGTAGAAAATAATCTGCATTCTGAAAATTATGAAGTATTAATAAAAAATTAAAATAACATAAATCAATGGAAAGATATCTATGCTAATTGATTGGAAAAAAGTAATGTGGTTAAAATGTTTATAGGACCCAAATAGGTCCACAGATTCAATGCAATCTCTATCAAAACACCAATGGCATTTTTCACAGAAATAGAAAGAAATTCAAAATTAATATGAAACCGCAGAAAAAAAACCTGAATAGCCAAAGCAATCCTGAAGATGGCCATAGGTTTGGGGAGTGAACCCATAAAGCTGGAGGCATCACAATGCTATAAACCAATGCAACTGAGTATAGTGAGCACAAATAAATCCACACACGGATAGCCAACTGATATTCTACAGAGATGCCAAGAACACAAAATGAGGAAAGTCAGTCTCTTCAATAAGTGGTGCTGGGAAAACAAGAGAGCTACATGCAGAAAAACAAAATCAGAACCCTATCTCTTACTACATACAAAAAATAACTCAAATACACTAAAAAGCCTATAGTGCAGTGGCGTGTACCTATAGTTCCAGCTACTCTGGGGTCTGAGTCAGGAGGATCACCTGAACCTAGGAGTGCAAGGCTGTAGCATGCCACACTCATGCCACTGCACTAACCCTAGGCAATACAGTGAGACCTCATCTGTAAAAATACATTTTTAAAAACGTTTAAAAATAAATATGTAATGAAAACCCTAAACTGTCAAACCTAATAAAACACAGGGCAAACTTAATGACCTTGGTCTGGGCAAGGATTTTTTTTTTTTTTTTGGATAAGACCTCAAAACCACAAGCAACAAAACCACCAACAGACAAATGAGGTTTCATCCTACTAGAAAGCTTCCACGCAGAAAAAAAAAAAAAAAATCAGAGTGATAGAATGAGAGCAAATATTTGCAAATTATACATCAGACAAGGGGTTAATTAAAATATACAAGGAACTTAAAAATATTCAAAAGCAAAACAAACAAATACCACGTGTTCTCACTTATAACTGGGAACTAAATTATGATTACACATGGACAAATAGAGGGAAACAACACGCACTGTGGCCCATTAGAGGCTACAGAGTGGGAGGAAGGAGAACATCAGTGAAAACAACTAATGGACACTAGGCTTAATACCTGGGTGATGAAATAATTTGTACAACAAACCCCTATCATACAAGTTTACTTATATAACAAACCTGCATATGTAGCCCTAAAACTAAAATAGAAGTTAAATTTTAAAAATTAGAAAGAAAAAAATAAACAATTCTCCGTAAAGAAAATAGGTCTCTTAATAGGCCTTTCTCAAAAGGCATTTTTCAAAAGAAGACATGTAAATCAAAACCTGTATGAGACTTCACCTCATCCTGGTTGGAACAGCCATTATTTAAAGAATAAAAAGAAAAAAGAAACGTTGAAAAAAAAAAAAGAATATGGAGGAACGAAAACTCTTGCACATTATGGGTGATAATGCAAATCACTAAACCCATTTTACTCCATGAACAGTTTGGAGCTTCCTCAAAAATTAGAAATTAGTACTAATGCATTATCCAGAAATTCCACTTTTGAGAATGTATCAAAAGGAATTGAATCCAGTATGTTGAAGAGATATATACACTCTCATGTTTATTTCAGCATTATTCACAGTAGCCAAGATATAGAATCACCTCAAGTGTCCATCAGTGAATGAATACATAAAGAAAATGTGGTACATATACACAATGGAAGAGTATTCAGCTATAAAAAAGAATGAAATTCTCATCTGCAGCAACAGGGATGAACCTGGAAGACATTACGTTGAGTGAAAAAAAATGGTCTCACTTTTATGAGAAAACTTAAAAAAAAAAAGACTCTGTGGATATAGAGAGTGAAACAATGGTTACCAGAGACTAGAGTGGTTATAGGAAAAGAAAGAATGAGGAGAATTTTATCAAAAGATTTATAATTACAGTCAGATAGGAGTAATAAATTTAAAGAGATCTATTGTATAGCAGGGTCACTACAGTTAGTGAAGGTATATTGTTGAAATATGTACACAGAATGGATATTAATTGCTCTTACCAAAATAAAAAAAAAAACAGATAACTACGTGAGAAAATGCATTTGTTAATTCTCTGGATTTAACTATTCCATGTTATATATATACTTCAAACATCATCTTGTACACAATAAAAACATACAATGTAACCTGTCGATGTAAAAAAAAAATAGAGAAAGAAAGGAGGCAGGGGGGAGAGAGAGAGGGAGAGAGGGAGAAAGAGGGAGAGAGAGGGAGAGAGAGGGAGAGAGGGAGAGAGAGGGAGAGAGAGAGAGAGAGAGAGAGAGAGAGAGAGAAAGAGAGAGAGAGAGAGAGAGACTGACTCTGAGACTAAAGGGGAAAAACAGCCACACCATAAAATTGTATTACACTGACCACTGGTACCATTTTCTTTTTGTTTTTTTTTTTTGTTTGTTTTTTGCTTTTGTTGTTGTTGTTGGAGGGGATGGAGGTTTGCTCTTGTTCCCCAGGCTGGAGTGCAATGGCACTATCTCGGCTCATTGCATCCTCCGTCTGCTGGGTTCAAGCCATTCTCTTGCCTCAGCCTACCGAATAGTTGAGATTACAGGTACCCGCTACCATGTCCAGCTAATTATTGTATTTTTAGTAGAGACAGACAGGACTTCACCATGTTGGCCAAGCTAGTCTTGAAACCCTAACCTCATGTGATCCACCCACCTTGGCCTCCTAAAATGCTAGGATTACAGGTGTGAGCCACCATGCCCGGCCTACACTGACACAATTTTCATATGTTTATAAATAGGTGTCCGTCTACATTTTGTCAGTTAATAGAAAGCAAATAATTATGAACCTTGTTAAAAAAATTAGTGGTAATAGGAAAAGTGAACACACAAATACACGCAGTCTACAGATCTGTGCGTACAATGAAAACTGCATCTAATGCCATGAAGCTAGTAGAACTTATTTGTAAAAAAATTTCCAACTATAGATCCTATCCCATGGGATATGGTTGTGGTTGTATAGTTATAGGTTTATTCAGCCATCATTTGTTTTACTGCTGAAGGTCTCATATAATTCAATAATTTTGGACACATGTAAACGTGTACCTAACTGCTTCTCATTTGGTTTGAATGCCCACTTGTCAAATATCTATTGATTTGGCAAACAACTTCTTAGTCTTAGTTTGTTGTTCACATATATGCTAAAAACTTCCCTTGTTACGAAAGAATTTCAAATGACATCTGATGTCAAATGACATCTTTGTAATAAAATACTGTATATTTCATGTCTTTTAGTGATGTTTTGTTCAAGTCTATATTTATCAACTCCGAAAATAAAAAATGATTACCTTCCTTTTACATGTTGCAACCAGCACTTCCCTCTTAAACGCCAAATAAAAATGTTTTGATTTTATTTTACCTTTGCAGATAATCAACATGCGTCTGGTTCAACTAGTTATCTTCCTATTCACGTATACTTGAATGGCATATATCTAAATGTCTACATTCCTGCTGACTATTTTTTATTTTTTATTTTATTTTATTTATTTTTTGAGGCAGAGTTTTGCTCTTGTTTCCCAGGCTGGAGTGCAATGGGGCCATCTTGGCTCACCGCAACCTCTGCCTCCCGGTTTCAAGCGATTCTCCTGCCTCAGCCTCCCCAGTAGCTGGGATTACAGGCATGCTCCACCACGCCCGGTTAATTCTGTATTTTTAGTAGAGGCAAGGTTTCTCCATGTTGGCCAGGCTGGTCTCTAACTCCTGACCTCAGGTGATCTGTCCGCCTCGGCCTCCCAAAGGGCTGGGATTACAGGCGTGAGCCACTGCCCCTGGCCCTCGTGACTATTTTTTGAATTTGACATGATAGGGTAATGAAAAGGTGCAAAGACAGTGCAGACATGTTCAATGTACACTTACATATTCCCCCAAAGGCTGCATTTTAAATAATTTTGCGTAATTCCAGTACACGGGTTAAGAGAAAACTGACATTGGTTCAGTGTGTGTGTTGGGGGTTCTACTTCATGTTATTTAGGTGTAGATGCAGGTAACTGCCACTACAATCATGTTACTGAAGAGAGCAGAAATCACCTGGTGACCATAAAACAGACCACCCAGAGACAAAACTTCTTATCTGAGGAATTTAAATGGGAGCAAAGACCACCTGGTGACCATCAAATAGGCTGTCAAAGAGGCAAAACTCCTTGCCTGGGAATTTAGAATCAAATTTTCTGAATATCTAAAGTCAGCATGTCGTTTTGGGTCTCTTTCAACATTTACTGCAAGTTACTAAAATTTCAAATCAACCCAAGGAAGCCAAGCAATGCAACAAAGAAATTCAAGAGCTGAAAGATGAAATAGCCACTTAAAGAAAGACCAAAACTTGACTTCTTCAGCTGAAAACTTCACAATAAGAACATTATAATACAAATGGAAGTGTTAAGAGGGGAATAGACCAAGCTGAGGAAAGAATTTCAGAGCTCCAAGACTGGTTCTTCAAATCAACTTGGTCAAACAATAATGAAGCAAAAATAATTCAAAATGAATAAAACATCCAAGAAATATGGGGTTACGTAAAGCAACCAAATCTGTGACTTGACTCACCAGCATTCCAGAGAGAAAAGGAGGAAGAATAAGCAACTTGAAAAATAAATTTGAGGAGACAGTCATGAAAGTCTTCCTCATCACACTAGAGAGGTCAACATCCAAATCCAAATAAAATAGAGAACCCCAGCCAGATGCTATGTAAGATGACCATTCCCAAGGCACATAGTCATCAGATTCACCAAGGTCACTGCAAAAAGAAACAAACAAACAAACAAAAGAAAGGAAACAAACACGAAAATATAAATGCAGCTAGAGAGAAGTGGCAGGTCACTTATAGAGAGAACACCATCAGGATGGCAGCAGACCTCTTAGCAGAAACCAGAGACTGGTGGCCTATTTTCAACATTAAAAAAAAAAATCCAAGAATTTTATATCCCACCAAACTAAGATTCATAAGGAAAAAAGAAATACAATTATTCTCAGACAAACAAATGCTAAGGGCATACACTTTAAATAGATTAGGCTTTCAAGACATCCTCAAGGGAATGCCAAACGTGCATTTGAAAGAATGGTATCTGCTCTCACAAAAGCACACTTAAGCGCAAGCCCACATGCACTTTAAAGCAGCTACACAACGAAGTCTACCTAACAACCAGCTAACAACATAACAGGATCACAATCACATATCAATACTAACCTTGAATGACACACAGTGGTAGGCTGAATAAAAAGACAAACCCAACCATCTGTGGTCTTCAAGGCACTCATCTCACATCCAATGACACCTGTACCCTCAAAGTAAAGGAGCGGGTAAGATCCATCATGCTAATGGAAAACAAAGAGAGCAGGAAAACAGATGTGAAACCAGTGAAAATTGAGAAGGACAATGAAGGTCATTACATAATAATAATGGGTACAATCAAACACTGTCCTAAATACACATACATACAAAAATGGAGCACCGATTTGTAGAACAAGTTCTTGACTAAAAAAGAAACTCTGGACTTAAACTCAACACTTGACCAAATGGAACTAACACACATCTACAGAATGAACATGCCACCCAACAAATGAAGAATTGTCATTCTTCTCATCTGCACAGAATATAGCCTAAGATGGACTCTGAGCAATTTACTAAGGCAAGCCTCATTAAATTCAAAAGAAACAAATCACACAAAGCACACACTCTTGGTCCACGGTGCAATAAAAATAGAAATCAATACCAAGAAGATCTCTCAAAATACAAAAATACAGGGAAATCAAACAACTTACAACAGAATAACTCCCAGGTGAATATAAAAATTAAGGCAGAAATTAAAATAATTATTTGAAATAAATGAAAATAGGAAAAACTTTCCCAAATCTTTGGGATGCAGTCAAAGCAGAGTTAATTGGAAAGTTTATAGCCCTAAAATGCCTTCATCAAGAAGTTAGAAAAATCTCAAATTAACAATTTAACTTTGCACCTAAAAGAACTGGGAGGGAGGGGGAACCAACACCAAATCTAGCAGAAGAAAATAACTAAAGCTAGAGAAGTTAATGAAACTGAGATGCAAAATAAATATAAAAGATCACTTAAACCAAACCAAGAGTTGGCCTTTGAAAATAAAATAAATAAATAAATGGATAGTGTGCTACCTAAATTAACAAAGACAAAAAAAAAAGGCTGCGTATGATGACTCACCTCTGTAATCCCAGTACTTTCAGAGGTTGACATGGGAGGATTACTTGAGGTCAAGAGTTTGAGACCAGCTTGGCCAACATGGTAAAACCCTGTCTCTACTAAAAATAGAAAAATTAACCAGGCATGGTGGTACATGCCTGTAATCCCAGCTACTCAGGGGGCTGAGGCATGAGAATTGCTTGAACCTGGGAGGTGGAAGTGTCAGTGATGCAAGATCATGTCACTGAACTGCAGCCTTGGTGACAGAAAAAAACTCAGTCTCAAAAAAAAAGGGACCAGAAAATCCAAAGAAGCACAATCAAAACAATATAGGCTATATATGACTGATCCCACAGAAATACAAAAGATCCTCAGAGACAACTATGAACAACTCTATGAACACAAATTAGAAAATCCAGAGGCAACAGATAAATTCTTGGAAGCACACAATCTCCCAAGACTAAATCAAGAAGAGATTGAAACTGAATAGGCCAATATCTATGCCTTAAATTGTTTAGGTAATAAAGAACCTACCAATATTTTAAAAAAAAATCCCTGGAGCAGATGAATTCATAGCCAAATTTTTCCTGATGTACAAAGAATTCATAACAACGCTATTATAATTCAAACAAATGGTGGAGGGGCCTTTTTCCCATCTCATTCAATGAGCCCAGATTCTATGAGCCCAGCATCAGCCTGATACCAAAACCTGGCAGAGACACAAGAAAACTTCTGGCCAATATCCCTCATGAACACAGATGCAAAAATCCTTAACAAAATCTCAGCAAACTGGATCTCACAGTGCATCAAAAAGCTAGTACACCACAATCACAGTAGGCTTTCTTCCTGGAATGCAAAGCTGGCTCAACATGTCCAAATCAATAAATGTGATCACCACATAAACAGAATCAAAAGTAAAAACCAAAACAGAAAAAGGGATTGATAAAATCAAACATCTCTTCATGATAAACTCAACACATTAAGCATCAAAAGAATGTACTTGAAATAATAAGAGTCTTCTATAATGAACCCATAGCCAACATCATACTGAATGGGCAGAAGCGCAAATTATTTAATGCTATCCCTGTCAAACTGCCAACGTCATTCTTCACAAAATTAGAAAAAATTCTATTCTAAATTTCATGTGGAACAGCAACAACAAGAAGCCCAATTAGTCAAAGCAATCATAAGCAAAAATAACAAACCCAGTGATGTTACACTACCTGACTTCAAACTACACTTAAAAGCTGCAGTAGCAAAAACAGCTTAGCACTGGGGCAAAAATAGACACAGAGACCAAGAAAACAGGTCAGGGAACCCAGGTATAAAGCCACACACCTACAACCATCTGATCTTTGACAAGGCCAATGAAACAGGCAATGGGAAAAGGATTCCCTTTTAAATAAATGAATCTAGGATAACTGGCTAGCCATATGTAGAAGAATTAAACTGAACTCCTACCTTTCACCATATACAAAAATTAACTCAAAATGGATGAAATGTTTAAATGTAAGACCTCAAACTATAAAAATTGTGGAAAATAACCTAGGAAGCATTATTTTAAACACTGATAGTGGCAAAAAATTTTTAGCTAAGTCCCCAAATGCAATTTTGCATAAAACACAAAAATAGAAAATTGGGACCTAATTAAACTAAAGGTTTTCCGCACAGCAAAAGAAACTGTAAACAGAGCAAACAGACAACCTACACAATGGGAGAAGATATTTGCAAACGATGCATCCAGCAAAGGCTTAAGATCCAGAATCTATAGGGAACTTAAATCAACAAGCACAAAACAAATAACTCTGTTAAAAAATAGGTAAAAGTGGCCAGGCGCAGTGGCTCGCGCCTGTAATCCCAGCACTTTGGGAGGCTGAGGCGGGCAGATCACGAGGTCAGGAGATCAAGACCATCCTGGCTAACATGGTGAAACCCCGTCTCTACTAAAAATACAAAAAAATTAGCTGGGCATGGTGGTGGGCACCTGTGGTCCCAGCTGCTTGGGAGGGTGAGGCAGAAGAATGGTGTCAACCCAGGAGGCGGAACTTGCAGTGAGCCGAGATTGCACCACTGCACTCCAGCCTGGGCGACAGAGTGAGACTCTGTCTCAAAAAAAAAAAAAAAAATAGGTAAAAGAAAATGAACAGATACTTCTCAAAAGAAGACATACAAGTGTCCAACAAGCATATGAAAAACTGCTCAGCATAAGTCCATGTGCAGTGGCTCACCCCTATAATCCCAGCACTTTGGGAGGCTGAGGTGGGTGGATAACCTGAGGTCAGGAGTTCAAGACCAGCCTGGCCAATATAGCAAAACCTTGTCTCTACAAGGTTTTACAATGTCAAAATTAGCTGGGCATGTTGGCACATGCCTGTAATCACAGGTACCTGGGAGGCTGAGGCAGGAGAATCACTTGAATCTGGGAGGTGGAGGTTGCAGTGGGTCAAAATCATGCCAGGGCACTCCAGCCTTGGCAACAAGAGTGAAACTCCATCTCAAAAAAAAAAAAACAACAACAACAAAAACCCCCACAATTTCAGCATCAGTAATCATCAGAGAAATGCAAATCGAAACCACAATGAGATAGTATCTCACACCAGCAAAAATGGCTACTATTAAAATGTCAGAAACCAACACATGTTGGGTGAGGATGCTTTTGAGAAAGGGGAATGCTTACACACTGCTGATAGAAGTATAAGTTAGATCAGCCATTGTGGAAAGCACTCTGGAAGTTTCTCAAAGAATTTAATACAGAGCTACCATTTCAACCCAGCAATCCCATTAGTGGGTATGTACCCAAAGGAATATAAATCATTCTAGGTCCAAGACACATACAGTCATATGTTCATTGCTGCACTATTCACCATAGCAAAGACATGGGATCAACTCAGGTGCCCATCAATGGTACACTGGATAAGGAAAATAACTGATTAATTTCTTTCGTATGGTTGCATAGTATTCCATGTATGTGTATGTGGAATACTGTGCTGTCATATAAAATAAATAAATCATGTCGTTTGCATCAACATAAATGCAGGTGGAGGCCATTATCCTAAGCAAATCAATGCAGGAATAGAAAACCAAATAGATTTATTACTCATAAGCAGAAGCTGAACATTCAGCACACCTGAACTTAAATATGGAAATAACAAACATTGTCAACCACTATTGGGTGGAGGGAAGAACAGCGTGGCCTAAGAAAAACTCCCTACTGTGTACTATGCTTACTACCTGGGTGATGGGATCCATACTCCAAACCTCAGTATCTCACAATATTCCCATGTAACAAGCCTGTACGTATACTGTACATATACTCCCTGTATCTAAGGTAAAAATTTAAAATAAAATATACAGAACTATTTGCCTGGTGACTTTTATACAATTTTATAGTCTTAGGCACATTCTCACTTTCATGCAGTTTCGACTTCTATTAAAAGCAATGCTGTTTGGCTGGGCGCGGTGGCTCATGCCAGTAATCCCAGTACTTTGGGAGGCCAAGGCAGGTGGATCACGAGGTCAGGAGATCGAGACCATCCTGGCTAACACAGTGAAACCCGATCTCTACTAAAAATATGAAAAAATTAGTCGGGCATGGTGGCGGGCACCTGTAGTCCCAGCTACTCAGGAGGCTGAGTCAGAAGAATGGCGTGAACCTGGGAGGCGGAGCTTGCAGTGGGCCGAGATCGGGCCACTGAACTCCAGCCTGGGCGACAAAGTGAGACTATGTCTCAAAAAAAAAAAAAAAAAAAAAGCAATGCTGTTTATACAAGGTAGATTATAACAAAAATATGTTTTAGATAAAAACTTATTCCTCTGCTTCATCTCTAAATATTATATCAAGCTTAATTTAACTCTTCAGGGTCAATAAAATAAATTGCTGCTAACTTTTAATTATATTAAATTTCTATGGATTCCAGCAGCATCTTTTTATAATCTGCTAATCAAATAAATTCATAGAAACTCAATCTTATAAAAAATTTAGTGCAACTGTAATTTGGGATTACATATTTCAACTTCTCAATTTCTATTATATTAGTACACTTTATTGACCTTTGTGTGTCTTTCAGCATCAAGTAACTCAACTTACCTCTATTCAAAGGCCATTCTCGTATAGTGAGACTGATATACATCTGCAAAATTAATTGTGGAACAGAACCGAGAAAAGCCTGAATCACTGACATGTACTTGAAAGCCTTCTGCTGCATGAAATTATCCCGGATTGAGAATGCAATCTCCCTTTCCAGCATCGTGTTTCTCTTTGTGATGCTAACTTGAGTCTCTTCCTTCTCCTGTTTAAGATTTTTCAACCATTTGTGGTAATTTCTAATGGTGTGCAAACACCTGTTAACATGAAGTAACATCCAAGATTAACATTTATTGGTGACAGACATCTAGAAATATTTGAAAGTTTATCAGGAGAGGAACTCTTAATTTTGAAATTATACTATCAAATGGCAAATATTAACTTAATCACACTGGATAAAAAATAAGTTTCTAACAGTTTCTAATATTATTATTTATGGTAGTTCTTCCCCTCATTTTCAACTTCAAATAATACATAACTGCAGTCTGATAAACAAAAATTCAAACAGCAGATGAAAAGTAAAAATTTCCTCATTCATACACAATTCAATTCACTTTCTCAAGGTCAGTTTGATTAAATAATATCACAATGTTTTTCTAATGCGTTAATATTCTGACACATACAAAAGCTATTTCTCCAGAAACATACTATTCTGACAACTTTTTAAAGACATCAATGTTTTTAGGTGTTCTTCCCATGATACAAATGTCAACTGCCTCAAAGGAAGGACCCCAGATTTTCATTGGAACATATTTTGACTTATGATTTTTCTCTAGTGATGAAATTTAGCTCATTTAGCATTATTTTAAGACAGCAGTCTAAAAAAACTCAATGAATGCTTAAAACAGCCACAGGTAAGTGATAAAAACATACACAGATATGATCTATAGTGGAGTTTAACTTCAAAGTAGTCCTCAAAGAACTTTCACAAATAAAAATCTATGGGAAATAAGCAGATCTTTATAAAAAATCACAAAACATGAATAAAAGCAAGATACCATGAATAAGAAGCACAAGATGACCCCAACGTATTTCCTATGTAAAATTTACCAAACCAAAAAATATTTACTTTTTGAAGAAATAATGGAGTACTTCAGAAGTATGAAAAAATAATGCTTCTCAATGATGAGCAAGTATTAAAAAGAACCAACAGAATCTCTAGAAAACAAAATATAAAAAACACTGGGTAAATTAAATAGTTGAAAGCTAATTCGATAATTGAAAAATAAATAACTTTAACAAAATTACAAAAAAATGTAGCAAAGAGAGAAAGGAGCATCTAATATATGATGGAGATTATAGGGCATTTAAGAAAAGAGTGACAAAGCCTACACTTCTGATCAGAATTTTAAAAGAATACAGGAAGTGGCAGTATTTTTAAAATAATGACTAGAAAAAGAGTTTCAAATTGTTACAATCATGAATTCTCAGATTAAGGAAGTCTTATATATCCTAGGCAGAAAAGATTTATAAAGAATAAAATTAAATAAGTGTGGCCAGGTTCACTGGCTCATGCCTGGAATCCAGCACTTTGGGAGGTCAAGAAGGGGCGGATCCCTTGAGCTCAGGAGTTGGAGACCATTCTGGGCTACATGGTGAAACGCTATCTCACCTAAAAATACAAAAATTAGCCTGGTGTGGTGGTGCATGCCTGTAGGTAGTCCCAGTTATTGCTGAGGCAGGAGTATCGCTTGAGCCTGGGTGGCAGAAATTGCAGTGAGCTGAGATTACACCACTGCTCTCCAACCTGCACAACACGGCAAGATGCCATTTCAAAAAAATAAATATATAAGTAAGTGTAAGTTTTAAAATAACGCAATGCGGGCAAATAGACTAAACGTACATGTTCAGAACTACAAGTTGTCAGGTGTTAAAGAGTTATAATTAAAGCATAAGAACAAGAAATAAAAGCTATCAGCAAAAAAAAAAAAAGCAAACAACAGAAAAGGCAGAAAAGGCTGTTTGTGCTTTTATAAAATCAGAAGAAACATTTCAATGCAAAAAAAGTGTCATCAGCATAATAAAGGTCAGTGCAAAATATTATTTTGTCAGAAAACTGTATTAATTTTAAGCTTCTATACACCCAATAACTTGCAAAAATGAACAAATCCAGCACAAATCTGAAAGAAAAGTATGTGACTAAATGGTCTGGAGCCCATTTTCTCTAATACAAACTGCAATTTTCCAAAAAGGAGACATTGTTAAAATTTATAAAAAATCATTAATGTAAGTAACACCATTCTTTAAACAAACAGAATATTTTCAATATCTCCAAAGTCTCCTCTGTCATTGTCTACTATTGTACCTCTCTCTCACCACATAATCCAATGGCCATAATATATCATTTCATTAGACCCTATTAACTAGCTCTTCTTTAGCAATTATGAAATGTATGATAAATTAAATAGAAAATCATATCACTATACCCTTTAGATACTTTTGACCTTTAAGTACACACTATCATTTATTATCTCTATCTTCTGACCAAATAGAAAACAGTTTTTCTCCCATCCCTTGTCTTTCATTATCTTATATGAAGAATTTTATCAGGGTTTGGGGAAGGAAAAATTTATAGATACTTGATTGAATTGTCTTAGCTTCAAAAAGGAAAAAGAAAGAAGGTAAGGAGTAAAGGAAAGAAAGAAGATAACTGAGAACATTTAGAGGTAGAATGTCTAATATTTAATCCTAACAGATAATTCATGTAAACCATCCCAGTCTTTCTTTTTTTTTTCTTTTTTTGAGACAGAGTTTGCTCTGTTGCCAGGCTGGAGTACAGTGGCGTGATATTGGCTCACTGCAACCTCTCCTTCCCAGGTTCATGTGATTCTCCTGCCTCAGCCTCCCAAGTATCTGGAACTACAGGTGGGCGCCACCAAACCCAGCTAATTTTTGGGTTTGTAGTAGAGACAGGGTTTCACCATGTTGGCCCGGATGGTCTCGATCTCTTGACCTTGTGATCTGCCTGCCTGGGACTCCCAAAGTGCTGGGATTACAGTCATGAGCCACTGCACCCAGCAGTCATCCCAGTCTTCCTACAAACTCATTAACTGACACCAAATGTGATGCTTGTGAAAAACAAAACAAGGTTTTTCCTTCATCCTTTTCTTTTTATTTTTTTGACATTAAAATAAGACATTAAGACAGCTTTGCAGAAATAAAATAGTCACACAAGTTAAAAAGTTGGCCATGAAAGTAAGACTTTCTAAAACCTTGTGGAGATCGTGGAGAGGATGTTAAGCTGTAAAGTTATGTTAATCAGGGACTTCCATGTCAATCCATCTTAAGGTTGGTAGTGTCCTCAATTGACATATATATATATATACACACACAATTTTCCTTAGTTACAGTAGACCAGAATTTAACAATCATTATGTTTTCATAAATTACCTTTCCACTTTTGCATATACTTGTTTTGTTGTCTTAAGGCATAACTATAATAAAATCTATTAAAAATGCTATAGCCTGTCAAAAATGAGAAAAAAACTAGAAGAAACTGCAGACCAATATCCTTTATGAACCACAGACAAAAAAGTCCTCAACACCACACTAGAAAGCCACACTCAGCGACATATAAAAAATGATAATACACAACAACCAAATAGGATTTATTTCCACAACAAGAAGAGATTTGTCAGAGGCATGTGAACTAGAGCAACTCCATCTTAAACAGGAGCTAGGAAAAATGAATGTGAAACACACTGGGCTGCATTCCCAGATATTTAAAGCATTCTAAGTTACAGGATAAAAAGGAGGTTTTATAATGGCTGCCCTTAGAGAATACATGGCAAATGTGTTCTAAAATGTGTGTAATAAAAACTACAGGTCATAATGAACTTCCTAATAAAACAGGTTGCAGCAAAGGAGCCAGTCAAAATGCACGAAAACCAAAATGGCCACAAGAGTGACCTCTGGTCGTCCTCACTGCTGCGCTCCCACCAGTGCCATGACAGTTTACAAATGCCATGGCAACATCAGGAAGTTACCCTATAAGGGCTAAAAAGGGGAGGCATGAATAATCCACCCCTTGTTTAGCATACCATCAAGAAAGAACCATAAAAATGGGCAACCAGCAGCCTTTGGGCATGCTCTCTCTATGGAGTAGCCATTCTTTTATTCCTTTACATTCTTAATAAACTTGCTTTCACTTCACATTGTGGACTTGCCCTGAATTTTTTCTTGCACAAGATCCAAGAACCCTCTCTTGGGGTCTGGATCAGGACCACTTTCCCATAACAGATTCAACATATAAAAATCAGTGAAATACATCATGTTAACAGAATAATGAACAAAAATCACAGGATCATCTCAACAGGCAGAAAAAATCATTTTGCAAAATCCAACACATCTCAAAATAAAAACACTCAACAAACAGTACTTTCTCAGACTAGGAAAAGCCATCAATTAAGAAAAAAAAAGCTAGTACAATATTTCATGCCAAAAATGAGGACTAAGCTCTCATTTTGTAATCTTGCCCAAATCCCTATATAAGGGGTCTGGGTACTAATGCCCTACAAACCATAAATTCTCATCAGATGGATTCTAATTAACCCTATATAATGTGACTTACTTTCCAGTCTGACTCTGGCATAACAAAACAAAATAAAGAAGAAAGTAAAAATATTTTACCCCAAAACATGTTTTTTTTCCCCTCATGTTTTGAAATGGCCCTACAAAGCTGTCCTATGTGGGGGAAAATTTGGATCTGCATGGAATCTCTATTAATTTCCCCAGATCTTTTACTTCCAGGCCCTCCCAAATCTGAAGAGATTAACTGAAAGTCTAGCACTTTTAAAAGGTGTGAATAGAACACATTTGTCATGTATTCTCTAAGGGCAGACATTATAAGACTTCAAAAGAACCTTGGTCTCCACAATATTTTATCTTAACCTGTTTCCTTTCTATCATCCCAGCTGTTTAGATAAACTCACCCAGTTGTCAACCAGAAAATGTTTAAATTTACCTATAGCCTGGAGTCCACCCAACCACCCCACTGTTTTGAGCTGTCAAGCCTTTCTGGAACAAACCAATGTATTTATTAGTTTATTTGATTGATGTCTCATGCCTCCCTAAAATGTATAAAACCACGCTGTACCCTGACCACATTGGGCACATGTACTCAGGACTTCCTGGGAACAGTATCATAGCCCACGGTCACTCACATTTAGCTCAGAATAAATCCCTTCAAAATATTTTACAGAGTTTAACTCTTTTCATCGACCAAAGACTGAAAACTTTCTCCCTTATGTCAAAAATAAGTGAAACATGTAAACTCATTTTCAATATAGTACTAGAGGTTCTAACCAAAATAATTAGTTGTTGGGTTACCAGGTAAGATGTGAAAGGCAAACAGATTAAAAAAAGGAGATGTGAAACTACCTCTATTCAAGATGACATAATTTGTATACAGAAAATCTGGAGGAATCCACACAAAAAAACATTAAAGCTAGTAAATAGTCTCAGCATAGTTTCAGTACACAACATCTGTATGCAAAAATGATTTGTATTTCTACATACTAGCAATGAACGATTGAGAATGATGCTTTAAAAACCTTATTTATAATAACCTAAAAAAGAAAATATTCAGAAATAACTTTGACAAGTAAGTGTAAGACCTGTACATTTAAAACTACCAAACATCAACAAAAGAAGTTAAAGACCTAAGTAAATGTAAATACATCACAGGACCGTGAGTTGAAAGACTTCATATTATTAAGATGACAATACTCCCCAAACTTATCTACAGATTCAATTCATTCCATATCAAAATTCATTGCCTTTATTGTTGTTATTATTATTCACAATATTTGGCAGAAACAATCAACTGATCAGTTGGGAAATGCAAAGGACTCCACACAGCCAAACAATTTTGCAAAAATAATATTATCAACTTAATTAATTTGTTAATTAATACGTTCTACTTAAAAACTTATTACAAAACATTATTCATCAAACTGGTAATAAGAATTAATACATAGATCAATGGGATAGATAAGACACTCCAAAATATACACTCATATTTACCGTCAGCTGATTTTCAACAAGGCTGCCAGGTCCATTCAAAAATCAAATAGAAACCAAAATCACAATGAAATTTTATTCATTCGCATTAGGAGCTATGATTTAAAGAGACAGTAGGAGTGGAGAAGGATGTGCAGAAATAAGAACCCCTAATTATTGCTAGAGGGAGCTAAGGGTGAGGAAGTACAGTTACTTTGGTAAACAGCCTGAGAGTTTCTCAAATGTCAGTCTGACAGTCTGGCAATTCCTCACTAGAGGTCAGGAGTTGGAGACCAGCTTGGCCAACCTGGTGAAACACTACCTCTAATAAAAGTATAAAAGTCAGTTGAGCATGGTTGTGGGCACCTATAATTCCAGCTACTTGGAAGGCTGAGACAGGAGAATCTCTTGAGCTTTGTAGGCAGAGGTTGCAGTGAGCCAAGATTGTGTCAATGCACTCCAGCCTCGGTGAAAAAGAATGATAGTTCATCTCAAAAAAAAAAAGAAAAAAGTCAATTAATCAATACTTTCTTATTTAGCTCGTGAAAAACCTTTGTAACATTTGACATCACATCTGGTAATAATTCAAGACTCCCTTTATATATTTATATTTTTAAATTTACATGTTTATATAATTCATATATAAACATGTATTTCCATTTTATAATGCAGATCACATTTTGTGATGGAATATAGTTAAGGTTTTTTTTTTTTTTTTTTGACAGAGTTTTGCTCTGTTGCCTAGGCGCAACTTCTGCCTCCCAGTTTCAAAAGATTCTCTGGCTTCAGCCTCCCAAATAGCTGGGATTACAGGCATGCACCAACACGCCCGGCTATTTTTTTTGGTATTTAGCAGAGACGGTTTTTCACCATGTTGATCAGGCTGGACTCTACTCCTGACCTCAAATGATCCGCCTGCATTGGCCTCCCAAAGAGCTGGAATTACAGGGATGAGCCACCACACCCAACCTACAGTTAAGTTTTAAATCAATAACAAAACAGTTAACAATAATAAAAAGTAAAATGAAAATATACTTTGCATTGTATTAACCTAAAATGTAAATCCATGATGCAAGAATCCTAAAAAATATAAAAACTTCAATAAAGAAAACACACCAAAAAAAACCACTTAAGATACATCAATCTTAAATAAATATTAATTCCTATGTGGTCCATAAATATGAAGAATTGTTCTTTCAAAGCACGTTAGTCTTTCCCAAAGTTAATCTATAAGTTTAATTGGATAAAATAAAATTTATCAACATCTAGCTCTGAAATTCACACAGAAAAATAAACTTGAGTTTACCTAAAACATTCAGTGAAAAGAAAGTTATAAAAGAATTTACCTGCCAAATTTTATGTTTATTCACATATATAGTAACTAAGAATTTAGAACTATGAGTAAGACAGATTAACATAACAAAATTTACAGTACTCATGCAAATCAGTGTAGTAACAGACAGAAGTGATATGGAAATGAATTGCTAAGCTATGTTTTGATATTCCAAGTCACAGCTACAAATTCCAGGATGTCTGGAAAATTACCACTAAAAAGTTAAATTCGCTTCAGTTGACAAATAAAATTTATGAGATTATTTTCAAGTCTTTCTCTCTTCTCACTCACTCTACTCTCATTCCTTAATTTAAGGTTATAGTTCTAGGCCTCATAACTATTTAAAATGCCCATTAGGCCGAATGAGAAAAATAGTAAAGACTGGAATACAACACATACATAGAAAGAAGAAATGACTGACTCATTCCCATTTGCATTTTTAAAAAACTATCATTACCTTATAACTGATGACAATTAAATAGGAACAGTTACGAAAGTGTGAAAACTAAATAAATCTAAAGAGGGAAATATTTCAATTCCGTAAACGATAATTATGGCATCCTTAATCTTTTTAGCCATCTATTTATATTCAATTTACTTGTTGGAGGCAGTGAATGAGAAATATTTGTGTCACTTACCTCACAATAGGTCCTAAAAGAAGAATGTGCCAAAAAAGTAATGCAGCCTTATTTCTCCTCAAGTCTTTGTTGAAAAACATCAGGATAATTTGATCCAAAATTGCCCCCACAATAATAAAGCTGATGGTAAATGACATCCAGAATGTGTCATTAGCTTTTCGATAAATTTCAAACATGTATAAACCAAAGGCAACCTCACCACAGTAGAGAACAGTTGAGAAGATAATGCTAAAAGGAAAGCTTAGATGGAGTCTCTGGCCAAGGACTATTTCTTCTTTCGAAGATGAAACTCCTCCTGTGCTTTCTTCATCCATCTCTTCAAACACTGTCTCCATTCTCAGGGTGCTGCTAATTCAAAGTCGTCTTGTCAGTGAATCCAGTAGAGTTCAGTATTAAATTTAAACAGAAGTAAACAAGATTCTCTATAATTCACTATTCATAGAAAATGTTAACAGGTAGATATGGATCACTAATCAGAATAGAAAAATCCATGTCTGGTTTAGGGAATATTGAACTATGATGTCTAATTTGACATACTATTTCTTCAGAAAACATTGTTTTAAAGAAGTAGACGATCAAACTTCTATAAGGCATCAACTACCTCTTAGCACTGAGATGATAGTCCTATCTCCAAGTAGTATGAAAGAAATGTTCATTACTCATAAGTTTTCTTTTTGTGCTTTTCAGCCAATGTCTGCAGCTGACATCCACTAAAATAAAACGGCACAATCTAAGCCAAGTCTAACCATGATGACACTAAGAAAACTATCCCCAGATATTCCTGATTAGTAAAGGAATACAGAATAGTGAGGCCTTTAAGTTCCACTTATTGCTAGATGTTGGTTATTTGCATTTAAAATACTGTTTCTTGACTGAACTTAACTCTATGAAGTTATTAATCTAGTAAAGTTTCAATTTAAATAGATGTAAAATCCAGACTGCATGGCAATAGTAGGTTTAAACTCTCTTTTGTTGGGGGGAAAAACAGCTCATTTTAGGTTCTCTGTAGACAAACCGCCAGAAAAATTACTGACATACTGTGAACATCAATTAGTCACTATGTGTGGGAAGCAATATAAAACAAAATGAATAAGAAGGAAAATAAAAGGCAACAGTACTTTTAAATCAAGTAAATATTAAAATGAAATTGTTTTAGAGAAATATTTTTCTGACTAAAAATGCTGTTAATATATTGAAAGCACAAAAAATGAGTAAGCATCTAATGCAAATTTCCAGAAAGAAAGATAATATTTCCCCAGAAGACGTTGGTGGTTTTTAAAAACATATTAATGGGAAAAGTAAAAGTAGTAGTTAAAAAAAGTGGGAGGGAAGAAGCAGGAAGTTATCTATTTTATTTGACAAGTTGTTCATTTCTTGAACTGTCTTTGCATTGCTTTGTCATAATTTATCATAAATATTCCTCAAATTCTTTAAATTTTATGCTGCAGAATATTAAATTCCTCAACTTCTTTTGTTTTTCTGATCTAAATCACACCTTTATCTATATGCACTTATTTATTCAAAGACAAAACCTTCATCCCATTTTAAAATATGTCCTCCTGGACCCAATCCATCAATATGATTGATCTTTTTCTCTTTTGTGTAATTTATTTTATTCTCCTCTTCGGTGCTCTGATTTCCTTATCACACGTGTATTAAAAAAACCATATTTTACAATTCAAAACAAAAACTGTCTCTCATGGTGCTGAACTTTTTCTCTGCTTTTAATTGCCACAGAGAATTTCTATTAGTTATTTCCTTTCCATCACTTCTTATTATTTCTCAGGTTTTATCCCACAACAGTGAAGTCACAGTGGTTTCTCAAAAGTCATCAGTGACACCCTAATTGCTAAATGTAATATGTTACCTTAAACTTCAGTTGAATATTTTTGCCATTGATAATATGCTCTCATTTGAACATTCCACTTACCTTAACCAGTCAGGCTTTCATCCCCAACGGTCCACCAAAAGTACTATATTTAACTTTCTTTTTGCCAAATATAATAGTTTTTTTTTAAATTCCTATCATTGTTTATTGAGACACGGTCTGGTTCTGTTGTCCAGGCTGGAGTGTAGTGGTGCGATCAAGGACTCACTGCAGCCTCAACCTCCCAAGCTCAAGCGATCTTTCCACTTCCACCTTCCGGGTGATTGTGACTGCAGGCCACCAGGCCTAGCTAACTTTGGTATTTTTGTAGAGACAGGGTCTCTTCATATTGCCCAGGCTGGTCTCGAGCTCCTGGGCTCAAGCCTTCTGCCCGCCTCAGGCTCCCAAACTGCTGGCATTGGAGGTGCAAGCCACCACACCTGGCCAATTATAAAAGTTATTTTTTAGTCTCCCTCTTACTTGAATTATTCCTGATGCATTTACTCTCAATCTCCTGGTTATCTTTTCCTGTACAATGGATTTCTGAATGGTACTGAGTCCCATATTTATATCTCCAGCCAGTCTCTTACCAATGCCCCAAACTTATAGGAGTCTGTTGTACATATTCGAGTTTAATAGGCAATTTGAACTCAAGGCTACAGACTGAATTCTGATCCACTTTCCAAACAACTTTCCCCATATGTTTCCCATTTCACCTGATAATAATTACGTCCTGCTGCTAAGGCACATAAGGTCATCCTTAATGCTTTTCTTTTCATTGCATCATTTCTATTAATCATCAAATTCTGCATGTTTTACTTTTAAGACACATGCAGAATCTAGCCACTTTTCCCTATTCCTCCTGCTATCACCCAGATGCAGGCCATCCACATTTCTCAGGCGATTAACTCAGCCTCTTTAGTGATCCCCTACCTTCCTCGATTACCTCTTATATTATGTGAGTTATATCTCAGATACTGTAAAAGTAACCATTTTAAAGTACACATTTAGTGATTTTTAGGGTATTCCCAAAGTTACAGGAAAGATCAACACTATTTATATATAGAATGTTGCCATTACCTTAAAAAGAAACTACCCATTAGCATTCAATCCCAGCCTCCCCCTTTCCTAAGCTAAAACCATGGTCCTTATAATGTAACAAAAACACATAAGTAATTTTATTCTTATTCACTTTTACATATCTTCTACCATTCTTTTTCTTGGTCAGGGCCCCAATACATACTACAACCTCAGAGGTTCTGCTCTCCTTGCCATTTCAAAAAATTTGCTCAAATCTCCTTTGAGTTTATATTATGCACCTGCATATACATGAACCCACGAGCCTTATGCTTCTTACTTAAAAGTCACTAGTTGTTGTCACTGCTTCCTACTAAAGCCAAAATGTAAGTTCTATCAGTACATGGATATTTGTCTTTTCTCAGGTGAACTGTGGAAAACAATACGTGATATATTTTCAGTTCACTTTGATCTTTTTTTTCTTTTTCACTTTCTTCTTTTTTTTTTTTTTTTTAATAGGAAGTAACAAAGTCTTGCTCTGTTGCTCAGGCAGAAGTGGCAGGATCTCGGCTCACCACACAACCTCTGCCTCTTGGGTTCAGGCGATTTCCTGCCTCAGCCTCTCAGTAGCTGGGACCACAGGTGCCCACCACCCGACCTGACTACTTTTTTTTGGTAATTTTAGTAGAGATGGGGTTTTGCCATGTTGGCCAGGCTGGTCTCGAACTCCTGAGCTCAGGTGGTCCACCCACCTTGGCCCCACCAAAGTGTTTGGATTCACCCTGAGTCCACCGTGGCTGGCCTGATCTTTATTCTAAAAGGTTCACAGACTTAATTTCTGTAACAGGCTTACTATTCGGTCTTCTTATTAAACTAAGGAGACTAAAGCAAGAAAAGATTAAGTAATTTGACTTGATTCTTTATCCTGGTGGTTTTGTTATCAAAATAGAAAACTCTGTTTGCTTATATGTATGTATAACATGAACTAAAATGTAAGTTATATTCTTCACGTGTACGCTGAACAATTTATAATTTAATGTTGGTACTGCCAACTCCTTTCTAGATTCTGAACTTCACTTTCTTATTAAAAAAATGATTTAATATGGCCGGGCACGGTGGCTCACGCCTGAAATCCCAACACTTTAGGAGGCTGAGGCAGCAGGATCACGAGGTCAGGAGATGGAGACCATCCTGGCTAACATGGTGAAACCCTGTTTCTACTAAAAATACAAAAAAATTATCCCAGCATGGTGGCGGGCACCTGTAGTTCCAACTACTCAGGAGGCTGAGGCAGGAGAATGGTGTGAACCCGGGAGGCAGAGCTGGCAGTGAGCTGAGATCACACCACTGCACTCCAGCCTGGGCGACAGAGCAAGACTCTGTCTCAAAAAACAAAACAAACAAAAAACAACAAACAAAGACAAAACAAAAAAAGGTTTAATATTTAGGGGCATATTTACAGGCACTTGTTATAAGTGAAAAATTATCCAACTACATGGCCACTTCCTCCAGTTTTTCCTACATAGACTGGAGAAAGCATGCTTTCATACTCAATGCCAAATTTGAGTTTAGCTCTCACTGTTTTCCAGTTGTTCACTTCCCTGCCCCTTTATGTCACTGGGGCACATTCAGTACTTTTGTTTGTGTGTTTAACCCGCATATACATTCCTGTTAAGGCTGGTAGTGCACACAACTTTAACCAAGATTTAAACACTTTTTGGATTGAGAGATAACTCACATAGTATAACATTAGCCATTTTAAAGTACACACTTGCTGGGCGCGGTGGCTCACGTCTGTAGTCCCAGCACTTTGGGAGGCTGAGGCAGGCAGATCACGAGGTCTGCAGTTTGAGACCAGCCTGACCAACATGGTGAAACCCCGTCTGTACTAAAAATAAAAAAATTAGCTGGGCATGGTAATGTGCACCTGTAATCCCAGCTACTCAGGAGGCTGAGATAGGAGAATCACTTGAACCCTAAAGGCAGAGGTTGCAGTGAGCTGAGATTGCACCACTGCACTCCAGGCAGGGAGACAGAGTGTGAATCCGTCTAAAAAATAATAATAATAAAATAAAGTACACACTCGGTGATTTTCAAGGTATTCACAAAGTTGTACAAACATCACCACTACTTACATACAGAAGATTTTCATCACCTTAATGAGAAACTCTGTACCATTAGCATTCTATACCAGCTTCCCCCTTTCCTAGAGCCCTTGGTATCCAATAAGCCATTTTCTGTCTCTGTGGATTTGCCTATTACAGACACTTAATATAAACAGACTCATACAATATGAGGCTGTTCGTGACTTACAGCCTTTTGTTGTAGATTATCTTCATGGAGCTGTGTATAACAATCACTGTAGAAGATAAAGATAATGGGCCGGGCGCGGTGGCTCACGCCTGTAATCCCAGCACTTTGGGAGGCCGAGGCGGGTGGATCACGAGGTCAGGAGATAGAGATCATCCTGGTTAACACGGTGAAACCCCGTCTCTACTAAAAATACAAAAAATTAGCCTGGCGTGGTGGCAGGTGCCTGTAGTCCCAGCTACTCGGGAGGCTGAGGCAGGAGTATGGCGTGAACCTGGGAGACGGAGCTTGCAGTGAGCCAAGATTGCACCACTGCACTCCAGCCTGGGCGGCAGAGGAAGACTCTGGCTCAAAAAAAACAAAAAACAAAAAACAAACAAACAAAAAAAAACAAGAAGAAGATAAAGATAATGCCTCTTTCTAAGGCATAAGTTAAGCAGGTTTGCTGTTACCTCCCTTTAAAAGGCTGGGGGTTCCTAAACTCGAGATTTCTATAACTGGCTTGCCATTCTGTCCGATTTTTAAGCCGAGCATACTGAGGCAAGAAAGTTTAAGTAATTTGTCCAAATTCTTTATCTTGGTGGTTTTATTATAGAATATGTGGATTTGCACCAATTATATCAGATATATGGTGAGTGAATGTATGATGCAAACCCACTGCAAGGGTAACATCAACCTAGGCCCACCTCCACATCTGGAAACATTTATATTGTGAATAATGCTACTAGTAACATTCATATACAAATGTTCACAATTATATCTTAATTTTAGGAACATATGGTGAATGTATGTCCAATCTTTTGAGAAACTACCAGACTGTTTTCTAAAGAAGCAACCTCACTTTATGTTCCCACTAGCAATTGGATGAGGTTCCCAATTTTTCCATATATTCACCAACATCTGTTATTTCTTTCTGATTACACTCCATTCTATTCAATATATCTCACTGTGGTTTGAGATTCATTGTATCTCATTGTGGTTTGATTTTCATTTTTCTGATAGCTAATTATCATTTCCTATGCTTAGCTCTAGATATGATGTGACAATATTTTTCTCCCATAGTGTCATTTTACTTCATAATCTCTTTGAAGCACAGAAGTTTAATTTCAATGAAGTTCAATTTAGTTGATGTTTATTATTTGTGTTTTTGGTTACATATTGAAGAAACGTTTGCGTAATCTAAGGTCACAAAGATTAACGTCTACCTTTTTCTAGAGTTTTATTTTATTGTGTTCAGCTCCTGAATTTAGGTTTTTGATACATTTTGAGATAACTGTGGTAAAAGACAGGGTTCCAACTTCACATGAATATCTAGTTGTCTCAGCTCCATTTCTTGAGATTTTGACTATGTTTCCTCATTTACTTATCTTGGTACCTTTGTTGGAAATCAATTGCACACAGGTGGGAAGGCTTCTTTCTGAACTCTCAATTCTATTTCATTGGTGTATTGTGTCAGTACCACACTATCTTTACTGCAGCTTTGTGGTAAATTTTGAATGGAAAGTGTATTGTTTTGGCTATTCTGCATCCTATGAAAGTCCATAAGAATAGTAGAATTGCCATAGCTATTTTTATAAAGAAGCCACCTGGGATTTGGTAGAGACTTAATTGAAACTGTAGGTCAATTTTGCGGTGTTGTCACTTAATGTTATCTTCCAATCCATGAATATTGGATATCTTTCCATTTATTTCAATTTTCTTTAATGTCTTTCAACAATATTTTAGAGTTATTAGATTATAATGTTTGCACATTTGTTAAATTCATTCCTAAGTATTTTATTCTCTTATCTTTGTGAAATGTTTTTCTTAATCTCATTTTATTTTTGGATTGCTCTTTGTTACTGTGTAGGTATATAATTGACTTTTGTATACTGATCTTGTTATCTGCAATTCTGCTGGACTTAATTATTAGTTCTGATTTATCAGAATTTTTTGTATACAAGATCATGTCATCTGCAAACAGAGGTAGATTCACTTTTTTCCTTTCCAATTTAGATGGCTTTTTTTTTTTAATTTTCTTGCCCAATTGCCCCTCATCAAAATCAAACTCCCAGTAAAATGTCAAAGAGAAGTGGCAGCAGTGGACATCCTAGCCTTATTCTGGATCATGAGGAAAATGCATTCAGGTTTTTGCATTAAGTTTCATGTTAGATTTGGGGTTTGTGTAGATGCCTTTTTTCAGGCTGAGGTATTTTCTTTCTATTCCCACCTAGTTGAGTGCTTTTATCGTAGAAAGGTGTTGGATTTTATAAAATATTTTACCACATCTGTTGAGATTGTCATATGGTTTGGGTTCCTTAATTGTATCAGCATTGCATAGCTGATTCTTGAATATTAAGCTAACCTTGCATTCCTGAGATAAATCCTACTTGGTTATGAAATGCACCTCTTCTCATATATTGCTGGATTTGAATTGCTAGTATTTCCTTGGGAATTTTTGTCTGTATTCATGAAATATATTTGTCTGTAACATTCTTTTCTTCTACAATCTTTCTCTAGTTTTGTTATCAGAGTACTACTTGCCTCATAGAATGAGCTGGAAAGTCTGTTAATTTTATATTGGTTACCTTTAACCATAAAATCAGATCTATATGAAATTATCTATCTAAAACTTGTTGAGATCACATTTTTGAACCAAGTAAATCATCATTAAAAAAGAATGTTTTCTTGGTAAGTAGAAGGTATATAGTGGTTAAGACACATATTTACTTTTTAAGAGTGAAGGTAGCAACATTTATATACATATAAAAGGATTGTTAATTGTTAATTGCAAAGTATTCCTATTAACAACTAAATGTCTGTATACTCATCAGTCTAGATGATTGATATATTAATCACCTCTCACTACAATTGTGATTTGTCAATATAAATAAATATCCATCAAATTTAATTCTGGCGTATATTGTGACAATGCTACTGAGGCATTTAAATTTGTGACTGTTATATATCTTTAAAATTTTTTCACATTTTGATATTTCATATTTTGCCTGTCACCTCTTCTGTTATCTATTATTGTCCCTCCTTATTGCTTGCATTTTTTCTAAAATTCTCTTCTGTCTTATACAATTGTAGTGGCCTATCTTTTTAAATAAATATTTGTTAATTTTCTCTACACCTTTGTTTTAATATTTCAGTGTGATTATTCCCAAGTAAAAGCATATTTTCTCAATCCAGTGTTAGAGTATTTAATATTTTAACACATAATTTGGAAGCATTTACATCTAATATGATTACTCTCTTATCTACATAATATCTGATTAGATATCTTTTTATTTACCCAAGATTTTCTGTCTCTGCCTTTGCCGCCTCTCTTTCAGCCTGTTGTTCAATCCCTCTCCCTACCCTGAACCTTTTTTTCTAATTGTATTATTTTTCTTGCAGAAATTTATTTTTTCCTGCTTTTGACATTAATTACCATATTTTTACACTTTCTGTAGTTATTCATTTTTTTGAAAAAATATTCATTTTTCCTGGTTTTGACATTAACTACCATATTTCTACACTTTCTGTAGCTAATCAAAAGGGCCCAGTTAGTTGATATTTTTTTCCTAAAAATGTAAAATGTATTTCTAGCCCCCACAAAAAAAAACCCACACAAATTCCTACGTACCATTTTAATTTTGATATTTGTTTTTGTCCCTGCTAAAAAATAAAAATAATAGGTTTTATACTTCTTTTCCTTTGGCTTTCACTAAGTCTTTAATATTTGCTTAATCTTTGTGAGTTGAAAAATGTATTTTTATTAAATGACAACTTATGTGGAATAATATCCAGTGTAGAATTTATTTTCATATTCTGCCTTTTGGCCCTTCTATACATGTTTTCCTTCTGGTGTATCTTGTAATTTAATATGAAAGTTGTCTACTCTGAGCTCAATTTTTATTAACTTATCTTTCATGTATGGTCATCAGATATAACATGGAATTCCCAGTTGCATTTTCATTTTAAATAAACAATAAATAGCATTTTAGTATAATTATATTCTCAATATTGCAAGGAAGAGACTCATACCAAAAATAAATTATATGTTGTTTGTCAGCAAACTATCAAATTTCAAAATGAAATGTGACATTTACATTTATGTATTTTCCCCCACAACTGGCAAACTTACTTTCAGATCCACTTAGAAAATTACTTATTCTTACTATATTTGTGCTGAATCTACTATACAAGAAACAAAGAAACAAAAATTTGTTTGACTTTTTACTATATGGTTCATTTTTCAATGAGATATAATTCTCTATTTAAAAAATTTATTTTTGTCCTCCTACTCACCTGTTTTGCCTTTAGATTCCATTTATTCATCTCAGAGAACACCAAAACCTACTTATTATGAAGAATCTTTAAATTCAACTTTTTATCCTTGAGTGTTCCCCTTAGTGTGTCTTTTTTGGCTGTTTCTTAGGGCATCGAACGTCCACCAATCAGTTTCTGCTTTTGAGGTAGTTATATCTTGTACGTAATATAAAAAATCTGACCTCAGTCTTGAATATCACATAGGATGGAGGTTGAGATATGAACTTTCCCCTCATGGCTTTGAATAAAAACCTCATTCTGTGTTAGATCCTAGTATCTGTGGTCAATGGCTTTCTATATTGGCTCAAATATTCCAGCTAAATGTCTAAACAACACTTTCTTTAACAAATTATTTAGGCAGGAAGCCAAACCCCACTGGACTCAGAAATGGTCTCTTCCCTGGGAATATATCCACATTTACTCCTCAGTTGACTATTTCAATGAACTATCCAGTTTATCCCAAATTAGTGATATTGGAGTTCAAATCTCACAGATGTTTTCTTTCTTGACAGCCATTTTTATTTTTTTAAAAAGAATATTATATTACACTTTTAATCTTTGGTTTTCATAATATTTGGTTTTGCAACTGCTCACATTGCCCCAGAGAACTAGAAACAAGTGCTTGATTTCAATTGAATTATTTGTTACTTAACAAATAAAACCTATGAAAAGCCATTATTACTATATCCCTTCTGCAGTTGAAAAAGAACATATTTTTGATAATATTTTCTGGAAGCACTGCCAACTTTATTTTTTTTCCAAAGTGTATGGCAGGTATTTCATCTGTTCTTCATTGACCTATATTATTTATATGCTATAAATCATTGGCTTTTTCACATATATTATAAAACTTCTTCGAGATTAATTTTGGTGAAAAGTTTATTCTATAAAATCACTTTATTATAGGTAAATCATATCATTTCATTCTCTGCAATCATACCTCCCCATGTTTTGCTTTATGAGATTTGGTTTGCTTTGTACTTTAAAGCCTTCCTCAAACTTTGACTTCCTAGGACTTCCAGGTACAATGCAACACCCCAGTGTTTCCTCTGAACAACTAAAACACCACGGACATAATGACAAGAAACAAAGACAGACTCTGAAAGGTCTTGTCTAGGGATTTCAGGACTTGAAGAGTGATACTATGGTAAAGATACTGGGTTTTCTTATTGCCTTCCATGTATCCCACATAATGGACTATAGAAGTTTCCAATTCTGAATCTCCAATAGGCACAGACAAAAAGAGCTTCAAGAAAATCCTGTTCTCTCGCAGCCCAAGGACCAGGAGAGGATAACCTAACTACAAACAACTACACAAAACCGTTCTATGGAGAATAACCAAACTACTCCAGACGAACACCACAGAAAAAAAACTACTACTTCAGTTTCTCTGCAGCCATGTACAGAGACAAGCTTCTCCCAGGTCAGTGATGCTCTGATTCCCTCTAAAGTCAGAGGAGGCAGCTAATCTTCTATTTCCCAACCAGCTAAAACAGAGGACAGCATTCCAATTCCAATTCCCTAACCAGTGTCAGCAGAGTCCAATAGCAAGCTGAGCACCCAGGTCCACCCAACAACAATAGTGGTTAAAGAGCCAGATCTAAGTAGAGATGATTGCACTGTGCTTCTTGACTGCTCTTTCCACTACCCTACCCTATTCTGTCAGTGGGCTCCACTGGGGAGTTAAGCATCTACCACCACCCAACCCCCTATCCTCTGAACAGTTGAAATGAATCTAAACTAGTCAGCAATCTGCTATTTCCCTATGCTACAGGTCAGGAGGACCCCAAATTTGCAACAGAATCATCCACAACTGCTCCAAAAAATGTGATATGCTCTGATATACATTAAAAAAAAACAGGTATGGGCTGGCTCTGTATGCTGAAACATATAAAACACTGGTGAAAGAAATCAAAGTAGTAATAAAGAAGGATACATTGTGTTAATGTATTGGAAGACTCAATATGTTGTGTTAATCTTCCCCAGCTTGATCTATATATTTGATGCAATTCCTATCAAAATCTCAAAAAGGATTTTTTGAGATAAAGCAAACTTACATCCTTGGATAGCTAAGACAATTTTGAAAAAGAAGTATATAATGGGAGGAATCTGTCAACAATGTTTTAAAGACTTATTACACAGCCAAAGTAATCATGACAGTGTGGTATTTGCCTAGGGATAGATTCATAAAAAATGTAGAAAAGGAAGCCCAGAAATAGAGTCACACTGATTTGAATATGATGCAATATCTCACAAAGCTGGCAAACACAAATCAGTGGAGGAAAAATAACCTTTTAACAAATTGTGCTAGGGCAAGTGGACATCCATAGGTTAAGGAAAAATAGCCTTAACATAAAACTCACCCTACAGAAATTAATGCAAAATGGTTCATGAACTTCAATGCAATCTGAAATTCTAACACTTTTTAGGAAACTTTAAAAAATAATAAAGAAAATTCAACCCTCTTAGGCGTGGCAAAGAGTTATTGGATTTGATACCAAAAATACAAGCCATGAAAAAAATCTGATAAATTAGATCAAATCAAAACTTAAAACTTCTGCTCTGTGAAATAACTTATGAAGAGACTAGAAAGCCAATGTGCAGATGGAAGAAAGCATATATGAAATGTGTACCCAATTACTATACCTAGGTAAAAATTAATTAGCTAATGAACAAAGGGTACAAAGACATTTCATTAAGAAGGATATAAGCATGGGAAATAAATGCACAAAAAGTCACTGAACATTACTAGCTACATCACTGCATCTATTAAAACACCTACAATTTTAACAAGTAATGACAACACCAAATGCTGGTGAAGATGTAGAAATAACAAGCCACTCATGCGTTGTTTGGTGGCATGTAAAATGGTAGGGTCAGTCCAAAACTGTTTGCCATGCAGCTGTCAGACAACCTTGCAACTCAGTGCAGTTATCCTACAGAAAATAAAACTTACGCAAAAAAACTGTACATGAAGGTATAAGGCAACTCAACTAAGAACATCCCTTGTGTTCTTCAATTGTGAATGTTCAAACAAGCTGTGGTACATTTATACCATGGGTTGCTACTCAGCAATAAAAATGAAATAGACTATTAGCAGGTATAATTGGAAGAATCCCAGGGAGTTAAACTGAGTGAGGAGTCTTGGCAGGGAAGTGTTCCTCCTGTTTCTGCCACACTATGCAACACAGGGAGATGGAAACAGATCTACTGACAAGTAAAATGACATGAATGTTCATACTCCTTTTGCTGGATTCCTTCATATTTAACATGGACCTGGGTGCTGCAGCTTCTCAACTGGTCTCTGGAGCTCTCACAAAGGTATTGTGGTCCAAATATTGTTATTAATTCACTGACTCTGTGAAGGCATGAAGGCCTGACACTTCCTAGTACGCCATCTTGTTGACATACATAGTCTCCATCTCCAGTACACAATACAGAGACCATTCTTTCATTCAATCACTTACTATGCTTACTTAACAAAAAAACAGTTGCATAATATCTAAGAAATGACAGAGTAATCAGGAAATAATTGTGATGACAGGTAAATAATATATTCATTTTTTAAAAAAGATTTGATGTTACCCCTGAAATGTCATGCACAGTTATAGATGAGAAAGCAAACCTAACAGATGCTAGAAATAGGATGACTGTTTCACGATCTCTTGTAAGTTATAACTCCTTCATGAATACCCCTCTTTTGTGATAGAATACCCTTTTTCCCATTTGAAAACTAAAACACAAACTATTATCATCCATAAAACAATTATGACTAAGACAAACAAGATATATGACTGACATAGATTTCAAGTAAATGGAAATATTATACAAAGATGTTAGAGTTAAGTCTTCAACTCTGATGTTATCTGATGCTCAAATTTAAGACTAATAATATTAAGCAATATCTTCATGTTTAAGAGTCACAAATCAGACTTTCAACCCACAATTTAAAAATAAAATGTAATTTTCTATGATAGCATTGACCTTAACTGAAAAAATGTATATATCAAAGCTGTTAAGCAACTTTACTTGCTTTCCTTCTAGAAAGCTCTATTATGACAGTACAGCCAAACTTAAGAAAAATATCAATAGAAAGAATACTTAAAATAATTCTAACAGATTATCTTAAGAGTACTATAGAAGATAAACAAAGCATCTCAAAAATCAGGAGCCTAATTATAAGGAGTATTTTTATTGGTTACTGTGTTTCAAGTACCTGGAAACAGCTGCAACTTTGTACACAAAGTGAATTTGCTTTCCAGGTATATTGGCAATAAACAGGTACAACTGATGAGAATTTTTTTTTTCATTTGTTGAACAGTAATACTCAGCAAGATTTCGAAGGTAAAAAAATAAACACAGCAGAATTTTTTTTTACCTTATTTTTTCTCGCTTCCTTGATGCTAATACAAGAGACAGTGGGAGGGAGTTTCACTGATACGTTCTGCATCAGAATTTAGAATTTCAAAAGATTTTGTTACAAGAATAATCAGAAGAATTAGATTCTAACTCTGTAGGCAGCAGGTATCTAGGAAACCTCGTGCTTCAATTTCATATAAATTGAATTTACACTACATCTTTAAATTTTTTGGACTTCAATATGATTATTTTATGTGAATTTCAGTTCAAACAAACTATGCTATAGCTGTTACATGGAGTTACAGTTTAGTTTTATAACATACTCGTTCTGGGCATTTATTTTTATTATTTTTTGCCACCTAATAAGAAATTTTAAAATCACTATTAAAAACTTTAATAAATACATGACATTCTTACTGTATCTACAAATTAATTTATCAAATGGCTGTGATAGGTGCCACAAAGATATAATAGATCTTATAAAATGACAAAAACTGAAAATGGCAATTTTGTATGTTAATTTTAGACTTTTTTCTTTAATCAAATCTTTGAAAAATGCAATTGACTGTTGAAATAATAAAATATTGTGGTTATATAATTTTAAAAATGCATGTAGCACAGAGGCTGAGAGGGGATAATGGTACATGTTATTTTAGTGTTTTAACATTGTCCATAGAGAAGTGTAATACCTCTTCAAGGTAGGTTGTGGTAAATTTGAGATGTACACTACAAACCTCAAAGCAAGAACTAAAGTAACAGTAACAGCTAAGAAACCAACAAAGGCCATAATAGGAAATTAAAAAAATAAATAAATAATAGAAAAGAAGACAGATAAGAGAAAATGGAACAAGTAACACATGGAGAAAACAGAAAGCTACATCAATCAGCACATTAACTGTAAATGGCTTATATACCACAACTAAAAGGTAAAGCCTATAAGAGAAATAAAAATAGTAAAATCCAGTTATATGTTGTCTCCTGGAAACCCATACTTGACATAAAGACACAATTACTACGGAAGAGATGGAATAAAGCTGTGCACTACTAACCCTAGTGATAAGACTGCTGGAATGGCTATATTAATATCAGACAAAGTAGAGCAAAAAAAATGGAAAATATCAACTGATGCTCAAGTTGTTCTGGTTAGCAGTACAAACTCTGGAACCAGACTTTCTGAGTTACAATACTGTCACTTCTATTTTTTTCTTTTAACTATAAAATAAATGTCCACATTGCTAACAAGCATATTAACTAGCTTATTATGCTTGCTTCCTTTGCTTTTGGTTGTGGTGGGTATTTATTTGTTTATTTTTTAAGACATGATCTGCCCTTGTCACCCAGGTTGGAGTGCAGTGGCGTGACCTAGACTCACTGAAGCCTCAACCTCCAGGACTCAAATGATCCTCCTGCCTTAGCCTCCCAAGTAGCTGGGACCACAGGTGCATGCCACCATGTACACTAATTTTTGTGTTTTTTGAGGAGATGGGGTTTGACCATCTTCCTGGTCTCAAACTCATGAGCTAAAGTGATCCACCTGCCTCAGCCTTCCAGTGTTGGGATTACAAGCATGAGCTACCACACTGCCAGAATCCTGTCATTTCCTTGAATTGCAAAATTAAAACCTCATAAGCTACAGTTTCCACATCTGTACAATGATAACATCATTAGAATCTTCCTGGGGAGATAGCAGTGTAGAGAAAATAATACATCGGCAGCAGGAAGAAGAGTTCGTGGTACACAGTGAAGTTTGGAAAGGTGTTCCTATTGACATCATTATAATCATGACCACCATCATCATTTCTTAGAAACACAGAATTGACAGGACTCACTGATTAAGAGTATTTGACAGTGAAATATGAGAGAAGAGATTGCCTTGGTCAATTCTTGAGTATCCATCTGGTAGAGCTTGGAAAAGTGGTGGAAGCAGAATTTTTGGGAAAAACATTTAAAATAAACTTAAACACCTTACTTTTGATCTGCGTGATGTACAGAACTGGTGATGAACAGGGCAACCTTGTCACTTTAAAATATATCTGATTGCCAATTTGCAGCATCACAAGACTAGTAAACATTTACTGTGAAACATTCAGAAAATACAAATTACCAAAAGAATAGAGTTTACCTATTGCTTAGTTTTCTCCAGCAATGGAGAGATCAATAATAATAAATCTGACACCAATTCAAAATATGAAACTTTAGGGTACTCAAGTACTAAAAGGTTTTTTTTTTTTAATGTAAACAAACTCACAGGTAACAGTGTCCAAAGTAGAACATTAGAAATGAGAGATTCTTGATGTAACAACAGGTCCAGGTGATGATAATTCAAGGCTGCTGAAACAAGTGAATGAAATCTTGAAGGGATCTTAATGATGAGAACTAATTCTTGCTTGTTGGAGTGATGAGACAAATGGTCCAAAAATTAAAAAACAAAACAAAACAACAACAACAACAAAATAATTTGTTGCTTGCAAATAGGCCCTAGAAGCAATATGAAACAGTCTTCAAATGAATAGATGAGAAAAATCGCATCTGACCTAATTAATTCAATGTCACAAAAAGAGAGACAATGTGTTATTTAAAGGGATGAGACAGAAAAAACACTCTTGTAAATAAAGAGAGAAGAGTACAATGAAGTACCCATTTCCACCTACGAGGAACGGGCATGTAAGAAAATACGGGAATCATGTGCAGATGATATAATTACTTATCTAGAGGCACCATAAAAATGTTTTTCCCCAAATAATGTCCATTAGGGATAAAATTTTAAGAAAGAAAGGATGTTACTTTTAAAGACAATTGTTAAATACCTAGTAAATAGAGTAAGTGAGTAAGAAAAGCAGAAAGAAAATAAGTTGCAGCTACCAGATACCCACAAAAAGAAAGAAAAGGGAAAAAGAAGGAATGGAGGGAGAGAGCACAAATGGAAAGAAAAAGGGTGGGAAGGAGGAGGGAGAGTAGAGAGAGAAATTACAGAAGTAGGCGAGGGGTATAAAGGAAAGCATGGAAAGACAACTGCAGAGACATCAGAGTTTCTGGGCCTCAGGATAGGGGAAAAATACATCCAACATTATAAGAAATATATCCCACTCTCTCCCCAGCAATCCATACATCGAATATGATATTAATGCAGATTGCACCTTTCTGGCTGCCCCAACCACTTCCTTCTCCTTTGGACTCACAGAAGGACCTCTATAATTTATTTCTGGAAAACACTTATGAAAATATGCACATATGAAAAGGGCCACAGAGTTTAGAAATGGGTCTTCCAGAGTCTAAAATTCAAGGTAGAAAGTGAAAGTGAAGTCACTGAACAATGGAATTTAGGCATGTGTTTGTGATTAAGTGAACTTGTTTCTTGTACTCACATAGCCAGTGCATCACTGCATCTGAATAACAAAAAATATGGTAGATTTCTGCCCCTTTGAGATTTCACTTAAATACGAAGCACTTTCTCCTTCTGATGTTTAAAAACATGCTGAAATTTGTAATATATTAGTAACAACCACTGTCCCACCCAAATGCTAAGCAGCTGCTTCTCTTCTCTGAAAATCAGAATCAAGAGAGGGAGTTTCTAGGCTCAAGACTCGGGAAAAGCCACCCCTGATATCCAGAGATTTATGTTAAGATCCCCAGCTGAGACAGGCAGAGGTCAAGGTAGGCTGAAGAAGCTGATCTGAGATGGTCGAGGGCTGCTCCTACTTACCTTGCCTATTTGCCACCCTCACAGTTTTGAAACTCGTTCAAAAAGTAAATGCTTTTGTTCACCTCTTTAACAGCACCATTTCTGGTCTCGTTTTCAACACTACGTCCTTTGCTTTGCAGGTAAAATTGCTTATTTTCTTGCCTTTTTATGACTAAAGTAGGCTTGCAGTTTGGAGTCAGGTGACTGCACTAGCTGAGTCATCTTCCCTTGAAAACACCAAGGCATTCTTCCTCCCTACAGAGTCACACATCTTAGTTCCCCAAAACGCTCAGCCACAATTTGACTTCGATTGTCCTACATTTAAGGTGATATTTTTCTGATTCTCCCATTAACTCCCTCTTCTCTTCGCACCCATGGCCCATCTTTTGCTGCTGTCTAGTAGCCATTCATCCCCTCCCATCACAAAAGAAGTCTGTACTTCCTTCAGACAGAGCAACAAGAAAATTCCCCAGAAAGCAAACAATTAAACAAATTTTAATTTTGCCTTTTTTAAATGAAAATTCTGTCAAAATTGATGAACCACATCTGGTAGGAGCACCTGTTTTATTTTCACAAAGAGTTTTCTGATCTGGACATTTTTGTTACTTACTGCTAATATGGAAAATTTTGAACTAAACAAAATACACCCCCAAAACTTAAACTATGTTAAACCAAGACAAGCTTCTAACAATGACACCTCTTTCCAGTATGAGAGAACTGCCTCCTACAGTATAAGAAATATCAAAATCATTATTTTTTTATTCCACACATATTCAACACTTAAAGCCAAGGCATTAGAATTTTAATATACCACCTCTCAAGCATGAACATATAAAAATTCTTACTGTAAATGGGGCATGATTATTTTTCAAAGAGAAGAAATATTTTATTCAATTCTAAGATTAATTCACAAATTTGACTCCTGTTTTATAATGATAACTTTACGTTGCAGGACACAGAGATTATTCCTTAAGAAATATTTTTTAAATAGATATTTGGCTCTTGGAACCAAATAATAAAATTTTCTGCTTAGACATACATACAAATTTACTTTACTTAAAACACTTTCTTGTTATTATTACATTTTTAAATCTCCCACTCTTTGGGATCTCCTTATAAGTAGGTCACTTGCTTTTAAAATCTTACATAATTAACATGTCAGATATTTACAGACATACCAAATGAAAGTATTATTTATTCTATGATATGAATAAAAAATGTTTTGAATAGATACATACATGAATAACTTTTTATTCTGAAATCTAATCAGTTTTATTCATATTTGATTTTATTTTAATTTTTTAAGGTATGTTTCACATAATACAAAATTACATTATTCAAAATTATATTATTAAAACATTTCTATCATCAAACAGGAAACCCCATTATCTACTTAACAGTTCTTTCTATTCCCCAGCCCCTGACAACCATTAACCTACCTTTTGTCTATATGGCCATGTCTTTTTACCATATATGTTTTACACTGCATCAGTTTTCAATCCAACATGCCAAGCTGAGAGAGTTTTTAAAATATTTATTTTTATTTTTTTGCACCGTCCAATTACCAGGCCCTATGCTCCTCGCACCAATCTAGTAAGACTGTGTGTGTCAAGGAGAAAATTATGTTTATTTCAGGGATTGAGGATATTAATTAATTTATTTATTTATTTATTTATTTATTTATTTATTATTTTCTTAAGACAGAGTCTTGCTCTGTTGCCCAGGCTGGAGTGCAGTGGCACAATCTCAGCTCACTGCAGCTTCCGCCTCCTGGGTTCAAACGATTCTTCTGCCTCAGCCTCCCGAGACCTGGGACTACAGGCACATGGACCACACCTGGCTAATTTTTGTATTTTTAGTAGAGACAGGGTGTCACCATGGTGGTCAGGCTGGTCTCGAACTCATGACCTCATGATCCGCCTGTCCCGGCCTCCCAAAGCGCTGGGATTGCAGGCATGAGCCACCATGCCTGGCCCTCCTTATTAATTTAAAAGATTCTGCAGGCATGAAACTTTTGCAGAATAAACTGTGTAAGTAATCATTCTATATTTTATTTTTACCAGATACATTTCTGAGACTGGAAAGTAAACAGTCTTGGCCAAATTTTTATGTTTGTTGCTAGGTGACCAAAGTCCTCTTGTGATGCCATTGCTACTCAGGTTGGAAACCACTGTGGTGATCTCAATTACTTTACCTGAGTAGACTACTGAAGCAGCATTTGAAGCTGCAGTCTTGAAACACATGCAGGCTGGAAAAGTCGCTAAAGAATTACTTATTTGAGATGGCACATGTTTCTGCAGAAACTCAAGATGTTTCTCCTAAAGATGAATCAACTGGTTCAAAAGCCTCCTCTGGGTCTCCATTGTGTGAACACATAATCCCTGGGGATTCAGACTTAAGGTCAATGACTGAATCAATGATTTTCAGGTTTTGCCACAAGGATCCTTGATAAAAAGGCCACATTATACTTTATGTCTCTGAGCCAGATAAAGATAATGATTTTCCTTCTCTGACCTTTCCCAGTAAACTTTGGAAAATAGCTGAAAGTGACCAATTCAAGTCTAATTCATAGGATAAGAATGAAACTTGCATAGTGACTAATGAAGAACTCTTCAAGAAAGAAAATTTGGAAATAAAGGCTCCTTACAGAATATTTCAAACTGACAGTATGAAAATCTTAATTTGACAGCTCAACCTTTATGGATTTAGTAAAATTCAACAGAATTTTCACAGATCTGCTTTTCTAGCCAACTTTCTGGCAGAAGAAAAAGAAATTTCTGTTTTAAGCAAGGTATTCAAAATATTTCAGTTACCACTTTGAGTATATATGTAATTTCATTTTATATATCAGTAACTATGTTAATACATGCAGTAAGATCAGATTTTAAAAATTATATCAAATATTAAGGTAAAAATTACTTAATTTTTTTGAAATTATTGAGTGCAGGTTGAGCATTAAACTTTCAGGTTTTAAGAAATGTTGCTAACAACATTCAGTCTTACCAGTGAACTCCAAATAAAGATACCAAAGCCACTTAGTGAAATGTTACTATTAAATGTATAACATGTTTTCACCAGAGGGCTTCAAAACTTGAGTGTTTTTTTTTCTCAACAAGCATGTTCTTAAAAATAGTAAACAATGTTCATTCATTATTTGATGATATTAACTTTGTGTGATAAAACAGAAATCTGAGATTGTATGGGTTATGTTTGTTATTGTTACTTGCCTCTTGGTTTAAAATGGCACTGAATTACCTTCTCCTTGGTTTTAGTTAAAGTTGTATTATCATCCGAATTTCAAACGTGGCTGTCCCCAACTTTTAATAAGAACGAAAAGAAGAATTAAGATTAAAAACACTTCTCTTGTATCTACTTCACTGAATATTTCAAGAAACACTTTAGAGCAGGGGCTAACACAGATAAACATAATTCTGTCTTAGCTGCTGAAACTAGTGAAGAAAGTTCATTTTCAACATCTACAAATTTAAATATGACTCTAACAAGGAAATCTTCTGTCAGCCAGGGCATTGCTGGTTCACCTGACCCAATTAGAAGTGGTTTCCCTCCTCTTCCATTTCAACCTCAGTTGGACAATCAGAACAAATTACAACAAATCAACATGCTATTTTAAATCAATTGACAAATATTCATATGCACTCTCATAGCACCGACATGTAAGCAAATGGCCACGTTGTGAATTTTGTTACAACCACAGCTTCTCAATACTACATCATATCTCCCTCCTTTGGGGCTGATAGTGAAACCACCTACTTTTTCCCACCAGATATCCTGAGGTATTAGCCAATGAGGCTCCTCATTCTAACCTGCTACCAGCAGGCAACCTGTGGTTGTAAATGACTGCGACAGCTGATACATCAGTTGCCTTTCGTTACAGGCCAGCTCTTCAACCATCTTTACTGGAAAAATATCACCCTAGTTACAACTGATCTTCCACCAAAAGAGTACCAGATTATGCATGACAACAGAGACTGAAATTTATGTTGACAAGAACATTAAAAATTCCTGCAATAATCTTACTGAACAATAAAATTACATGTTGACCTTTATGGTTGCTTTTCCTTTATTTCTAAAAATACAGTTAGGAGTAAAATGGGGCTTTGTTTTAGTGGCAGGCTACTGTACCGCATTTAAAAAAAAATATGTGCTTTTTTATCATTTGATGGGAAATTTGACATGGCCCTTTGTAAGCTAGTTTATTTAATTATCTAAAGAGGAAGAAATAATAGAGTGTTTTAGTCCATTTGCTGCTGCGACAACACAATACCACTGACTGGGTAATTTGTAAGGTGACTTATTTTGCTCATTATTCTGAAGGCTGGAAAGTCCAAGGGGCTGCATCTGGTGAGATCTTCTTTCTATGTTGCAACATGGCAGGAGGCCATCCTACGGTAAAGGACATGTGATAAACAGAAAATCAGGGCCAAACTCATCCTTGGTTCCAAAGCCCACTCACACAATAACTAGCCTGTTCGCCAGATAATGCTATCAATCCCGCCATGAGGGTGCACACTCACGATTTTATGGTTTCTAAGTCCACAGTCAACGTTGGCTAATTCACATACATATGTTTATATATCAAAACCATGGCAGCAGGCAAGGGAAAAAGAAGGAATTGGAGTTAGAAAAGAGTAATAACTGACTTCTCAAGTAGTCTGGCATAAATCAAATGAGGGCCTAAATTACAATGGCACAAAAAGAATAGATATGCACACACACACGCACACACAGAAAATCTAGAGAAACATTAACACACACTATATACTTCAGTATTTTCTCACTTTTTCTCAGTTATTTTAAACTTGGATTTTAGTTGGCAAAGATTTTCTTCATTACAATTCATACCTAGCGAGCTCAGTAACCATGATCACAATTATTTGTGTCCTCACTTGCGCAATAAACTTCACATATTTTACTCATGGATTGTATCACTGTAGGCACATGGTAGAATTTTATAGCTGGCATTATCAATAGACCTTTTTGATCTTCCATCAAAGCTTGTGGCTTTAATTACTTCCTGTAAGAGTCCACCTTTCATGTTTTCTAATGCACATTTTCCTTCTTTTCTTTTGAGACAGAGTCTTGCTGTGTTGCCCAGGTTGGAGTGCAGTGGCATAATCTCAGCTCACTGCATCCTCAACCTCTGAGTTCAAGCAATTCTGTGCCTTAACCTCCTGAGTAGGTAGGATTAGATGTGCACCCACACCGTGCAAAATTTTGTATGTTTAGTAGAGATGGGGTTTCACCATGTTAGCCAGGCTGGTCTTGAACTCCTCACCTCAGGTGACCCACCCACCTCAGCCTCCAAAAGTGCTGGGATTACAGGCTTGAGCCATGACACCCGGCCTCTAAATGCACATTTTCATCACACTGGTTTCATGCTCCATCCAAAATCTGATTTAAATTCTTTTGTTGGCATTTAATACTTTCTAGATTCTGAGCCTATATCCCCAGCATAACTGAACAAATCCCTTCAAGACCTGATATTTGTCTGCCTTGCAGCTTCATGTGTTTCTGTTTCATCACCGTCCTATTTGAAGCAACATTCAGGCAACTCCACTTTCAGCCATGCCTTTTATCATCTGGTAACTTTGCCCCCATTTCTTTCCTGGAGATAAAAACTCTCTCCCTCTTTGCCTACTTAAGACTCCTATAGCACAGACATCACTTCTTCCAGGAGGTGCTTCTTATCTATCAGATTAGTTTTCTCGTCTGTCTTGGACACTCAGTACTGATGTAACACAGTACCTGATGTATGTATGTATGTGTATTAGTCAATGATGACTGTGGACTTAAAACCATAAAATCTATCTTTATTGTCAAAAACAAACATTCCTGGTGTTGCGGCATTACACTTTACTCTTCGTTCTTCACCAGAACTTTTCTTTAGAGGTTAGGTCACAGTAGTGTTCATTAGAGAGGCAATAATTTTGACTTACTAAAACTACTATCACTGTTTATCACTTCAACTATCACACTTTCTTTTTAGGTCTAGTTCTGATTTTCCCCTGCTTCTTCTAAAATTTCTTTTTCATCTTCTGCTTTGACTCGCAGTCTTTGCCTGAAATAACTAGGTGGGTGCTTACTACTCCTTCCTTTATTTGCAGCAGAGATTCCCAGCTGTTGTGCCGAAATGGATTACACTGAGAATCCCAGCTGCGCAGCTTTTCAGAAGCAGCATTCATGGTGGATTTGGTGTACTATACAACTTCTGGTGTCACAAGCTAAGGCCTGACATGATTTATCACTCAGTTTTCTGGGAAAGCTGGGGTTGGAATGGGGTTGGAATTGGGTACGAATTTGGACAGCCAGATTCCTCAGGCTGGAAACCTACTGCCGCCATCCTACCATACACATATATTTTCAAGTTATGCCTAAGTAGAAAAAGTTCAGAATCAATTATGTACACGGGGAATACTGATTCTTTATCCTGGCATACCATGACACAAGACAATGGTCATTTCACCTATGTCCACAGGGTATTAAGATATATACCACATTTTAGTTCTCAAAACTGTATTTTCAGAGGGTACTGTGATATACACGGTTAAATGCTGAACATGAAGAATGGTAAAAAGAAAAAAAACTGGGACAAACACGGTGGCTCACAACCGTAATCCCAGCACTTTATGAGGCCGAGGCGGGTAGATCGCCTGAGGTCAGGAGTTTGAGACCAGCCATGTCAACATGGTGAAACCCCATCTCTTCTAAAAATACAAAAATTAGCCAAGCATAATGGTGGGCACCTTTAATTCAAGCTAGTCAGGAGACTGAAGCCAGAGAATGGCTTGAACCCAGGAGGCAGAGGTTGCAGTAAGCCAAGACAGAAATTTCCCCTAAAAGCCCAATTTTTATAGCCAAAGGCTAGGAAAGGAACATTTTACTAAGACAAAGATAATTTTTATAATAACCATCCTACTTTAGCCAAACTACACAGCACAAAACAAAGGAAAATAAAAAACCTAGCCAGGACAACAAAGTCCAAGTCAGAACATCCATTGTACCAGGCAGTAATGAAACATCCCAATCCCCTGCTGGAGTGGAATTAGAGAAGGTAGAGTAAAGAGCTAGAGTTTTCAACCCTGCCATGTAGTAACAAGACACCCTTCCCCTCCTAGACAGGGAGGTACAAGTAAGGCCTAGGGTGAAGCTAGAATCTGGGTATTTATTTGTCAGTAATGAGGAGCCCTGCCTTTTGTGTCAAAGAGAAAAAGGGAAATTGGAATTGTGCCCCTACTTGACAAGCATACCCTTTCCTCTGTTAGGTTGGTTTCAGACAAAGCCAGCTACACTGAAAAATAGAATGTCATAATAAGATCCAGAGTCTCCTAGTAGTCTCCCAAATGTTTAACTTGGAAATAAAAATCTCTCATCTTGGCAAGAAAGAGGAAGCCCTGCACATCAATGAAATAACATGATAAATATAAACACAGAAATTTCAGTGCTATTGTTACAGGATCCCTGAGATGTTGATTTTTCTGGCAGGAAACCTCTGTGGCCATTGCGCCTTTGCCTAAGTTCTTGTCCTGCATGCAGGAAGAATGAGGTACACAGACAAGCAGAGGGTGAAGAAGAAGAGTTCTATTTAGTGTTAAAAGAGCTCAGAGGAGTGGGTAGCTCGTCTCTATAGGCAGCTCCTCCCATGGAGCATTCAGTTCTCAGCAGAGAGGAGGCCCTGGAGAGGGTGTCTTCTCCCTGCAGGCAAGTTCTTTAAATGTCTCTGCAGGTCTCTGAAGCTCTCTGCCACAGCTGCTGCTCTCAGCAGAGAAGGTACTGCTCTCTGCGGCTGGTCCTCCCATTGTCCCCAGCTATCAGCAGGAAAAGTACTCTTTTCTGTAGCAGATTGGCTTTTTAGTCTCTTCCTAAGTTCTTTCACAAAGCGAAGTTTTTAATTTAGATTTGATCCAGTTTACCAGTTTTCCTTTTATGTCTTATACCTTTGGTATAAAATGTAATAACTCTTTGCTACACCTGAGAGGCTTGAATTTTCTTTATGATTTTTTTCTAAAATGTTTCATAAAAAGTGTTATAATTTTATATTACATTCAAGTTCATAAGCATTTTGAGTTAATTTCTGTAGTGTGAGGTTTATGTTAAGGCTTTTTTTCTTTAGCCTATTGATGTTCACTTGCCCTAGCACCATTTGTTGAAAGGCTATTTTTCCTCCACTGATTTATGTTTGCCAGCTTTGTGATGTATCAATTGGTAATAGCCATACCAGTGTGGCTCTATTTCTAGGCCTTCCCTTTGGATCCATTTTTATATGAATCTATCCCTATGCCAATACCACACTGTCATGATTACTTTAGCTGTGTGTAAGTCCTTGAAATACTGATGGATTCCTCCCACTCTATATTTCTTTTTCAAAATTGTCTTAGCTATCCAAGGATGTAAGTTTGCTTTGTCTGCAAAAATTCTTGCTGAGATTTTTATAGGAATTGCATCAAATATATAGACCAAGCTAGGGAAAACTAACACAACATATTCAGTCTTCCCATCCATGAACATAGTGTATCTCCCTTTATTTCTGCTTTGATTTCTTTCACCAGTGTTTTATATGTTTCAGCATACAGATCCCATATCTGTTTTGTTTTGTTTTAATGTACAACAAAGCATTTCATGTTCTTTGGAGCAGTTGTAGATGGTACTGTTGCTAAATTGGGGTACTGCTGACCTGTGGCATGGGGAAATAGCAGATTGCTGACTAGTTTAGGTTCACTTCAACTGTTCAGTGCCTAGGAGGTTGGGTGGTGGTACATGCTTAACTCCCCCACTGGAGCCTGGTGACCGGATAACACAAGATAGTGGGGAGGGCAGGTAAGAAGCACAGTGCAATGAACCCTACTTAGATCTGGCTCTTTAAAAACTGTTGTCGTTGGGTTGACCTGGATGCTCAGCTTGCTACTGGACTCTGCTGACACTGGTTAGGGAACTGGACTGTTGCCCTCTGTTCATGCCAAGTGGGTAATAAAAGATTAGATGCCTACTCTGCCTTTAGAGGGAATCAGAGCATCACTGATCTGGGAGAAGCTTGTCTCTCTACATGGCTCCACAGAAACCGCTGTAGTAGTTTTTTCTGTGGTGTTTGTCTGGAATAGCTTGGTTGTCTGGAATAGCTTGGTTATTCCCGTAGAAGGGTTTTGAGTTGTTGTGTGTGGTTAGGTCATCCTCTCCTGTTCCTTTGGCTGGGAGAGAACAGGATTTCCTTGAAGTCTGTGCCTAATGGAGATTCTGTATTGGAAGCTTCTATAGTCCATCACCTGGGATACACTGAAGGCAATAAGAAAATCCAGCAAATTTACCATAATATCACTGTTCAATTCCTGAAGACCCTAGACAAGCTGTCTTCCTCTTTGTACCTTTCAGAGTCTGTCTTTGTTTCTTGTTGTTATGTCTGTGGTGTTTTAGCTGTTACAAGGAAACACTGGGGTACTGCATTGTAAGTGGAAGTCCTAGGAAGGCGTTTAAAGTACCATGCAAACCAAATCCCATAAAGCAAAATGTGGGAAGATATGATTACAGAGAATAAAATGATATATCTACAGTGAAGTGATTTTATAAAATAAAGTCTTCACTAAAATTAAAAAATCTCAAAGAAGTCTTTATAATATATGTGAAAAAGCCAATGATTTTTAGCACATAAATAATATAGGTCAGTGAAGACCCGATGAAATACCTGCCATACACTTGGGAGAAAAAGAGTGTCAGCACTGCTTCCAGAAAATATAACCAAAAATGTGTTCTTTTCAACTGCAGTAGAGATATAGTAATAACACCTTTCTCACAGGTTTTATTTGTTAAGTAACACATGATTTAATAGAAACCAAGCACTCATTTCTAGGTCTCTGTTGCAAAGTGAACAATTGCAAAAGCAACTCTTATGAAAGCCAGAGATTACGAAAGAAAATTCTTTTTTAAAAAATCAAACTGGGTATCAAGAAAGAAAACAGCTCTGAGGTTTGGACTCCAATACTATTAATTTGAGATTAAACTTGGCAGTTCATTGAAATAGTTAATTGAGAAGTAAATTTGGATATATTCCCAAGAAAGAGACCATTTCTGTGTCCAATGGGGCTGGGCTCCCTGCCTAAATAATTGGTGAAAGAAAGTGTTGTTCAGACATTTAGCTGAAATATTTGTGTCAATTGGAAAGTCATTGCCCATGGATACTAGGATCTAACACAGAAAGAAGTTTTCATTCAAAGCCATGAGAAGAAAGATTCATATCACAACCTCTGACCTGTGTGATATTCAAGACTGAGGTTAGATTTTTCATATTACCTGTATTATATAACTACCTGAAAAGCAGAAACTGGTATAACATACTAGATTGAACAATTAAGTTCTTAAAAACCTGGAAAGATTAACATAAAACTGCCCCCACCCAAGAATAAATTTACATTTAAGAACTTAAGATTGCTTTACCACCTCAAAGGCAACATTACTAATTCATGGATGGACATTCCATGCCCTAAGAGATAGCCAAGGAAGACACACTTAAGGGTCACACTCAAGGATAAAAAGTGGAGTCAAAAAAAGTCATCATAATTAGTAGTTTAGGGGTTCTCTGAGACCAATAAATGGGATCTAAAGGCAAAACAGGTGGGTAGGAGGACAAAAATACATTTTTTAAATAGACAATTATACGTCATTGAAAAATGAACCATATACTAAAGGAACTCAATTTTTGCTTGTTTGTTTCTTATATAGTAGATTCAGCACAAATATAGAAAGAACGAGTAATTTCCTAAGTAGATCTGAAAGTAAGTTTGCCAGGTGTAGGGGGAAAATTCAAGAATTTAAATATCACATTTCAATTTGAAATTTGATAATTTGTTGACAAAAAACAAAGAATTTATTTTGAGTATAAACCTGTCCCATGCAATATTTAGAATAGTGCTAAATTACTAGAATATTGAAAATTATATTAAAGGCTATTTGTTGCTTATTTAAAATGATAATGTCACTGGTAATCCTGTATTATATCTGGTGACCATACATAAAAGAGAAGTTAGGAAAGATGAACTCGACACTTTTATATATTCATAAGAAACAATAGAAGACAAAAATGTATAAAAAGGGTAACATGCAAATTATGAAAATAATCTCTACCCAGGATATTATTCCACATAAATTATCATTTAATAACATTTAATAACATTTTTCAACTCACGAAGATTATGCCAATATTAAAGACTTATGAAAAGGCCATGGAAAACAAGTATAAAAGTTTTTTTTTTTAGCAAACAGAAAAATAAATCTCAAAATGAAAGAGGTATGCAAGAATTTTTTCTAAGAGGGCTAGAAATATGTTTTAGCTTGTTTAAAAAAAGTCAACTAACTGGGTCCTTCTGATTAACTACAGAAAGTAGAGAAATATGGTGATTAATGTCAAAAGCAGGAAAAGAAATAAATATGAGTAAGAAAAGTAAATCAATAAAATTAGAAAAACAGGTGGCAGGTGGGGAGACAGAGAGAAAAACAAAAGCAGATAGACAGGAGGCAAAGGCAGAAACAAAAAAATCTAGGGTAAATAAAAAACTGTCTAAGCAGGTATAAGTTATGTAGATAAAAGAGTAACCATATTAGATGTAAACTGTTTAAACTTATGTTTAAACATTAGATTGGTAAAAATTTTCTTCTGCCTAGGAATAATCACACTGAAATATTGAAAATAAAGGTTTAGAGAAAACTAACAAGTATTTATCAAAAAAGTTAGGCCACTCATATTATATTAGGCAAAAGAGAATTTTAGAAAAAATGCAAGGAATAAAGAGGGACAATTATAGATAACAGGTGACAGACAAAATATGAAATATCAAAATATGAAAAAAATTTAAAGATAATATAATAGTCACAAATTTAAATGCCTCAGTATCATTGTCTCAATATATGCCTGAGGTAAATTTGATGGACATCCATTTATGTAGACAAGTCCCAATTGTAGTGAGAGGTGTTTAATGTATCAGTCATCTAGACTGACGAGTATACAGACATTATTTAGTGGTTAATTAAAATACTTTGCAATGTTTGTGTACTAACTTTTCATCAGCCATTTAATGTGAAGCTAACTAGTATAGCATGCTTTAATGATTTGACAGCTCTGCTAGGAGAGCAAGTATTAACACAGAGTAGCCCTCATCCTCTTTAAAGTCAAGTCCATCTAATATAACTAGCACCTCGCTTTGCCTTCTCATATGCTCACTAGCCATCATGCTTACCCTTCCCTTCAAGATCCACTTTCTCATGATACAGTTTTCTAACTGGGCTTACTTGGATGCTAGCAAAATGCAGGCTTACCAGGATATCAAAGCAAAGAAAGAACAGGAACTGCAAGATATCCAGTCTCAGTACAAATAATAACTTAATTTTTACACACAAATATTTGCCACAGTGTTTCAGCCAATGCATTTACAGCTCTGACACATCATCAGACAACTGCTCTGCAGTACAGATGCCTATCCCACCAAACTAACGTAGACGTTCAAACACCTCGCTTTATGTCTCAAGCTGCTGGGCTTTTTCTTTAGAGCAAATACTGGCAGTTTCATGTTAGTCATTTTAAAAGGCAACACTTTGACAAAATAATTGTTCATACCTTGGAAATTTGTGGAAGGTTCATATTTATTGCTAGAGGATTTCTACCAAGACACTCTATGGAATATGTTATACTCCTTGAATAGGTACCTGTGACATGCCAGCATCAAAAGATGAGACCATAAATTCACATATATGCCATCTATCCTAAAATAAGTATTATCTACATAGAAAATAAAATGAAATTGGTGTGAAGTTCCAATTCTGACAGCTGACATTTGTTAAACTTTGGCTCAAAGATAATGTGATTCTCATACTGACTTTACAAATTATCTTTTCTTCCCAAGTCCAGGGCCAATTAACTTCCTGAGCCAGTAAGAAAATATTTTTCAATAATGCTAATATTAGCTACAATTCTGCTGACTCGACTACTAAAGAACTTGATTATGACTCATTGACAAGCTTTCCAGAAACAATTTTATAATCTATTACTAAAGAATCTGGATTCTGACTCATTGAAAAATCTTCCAAGTGCAATTTTATAATAGGTCTTATTTCAACAAAATACTGATCCAGTTTTCATTATCCTTCGGAAATACACGTCAGCTCTGTCTTAAGGAGTATTTGTTTTAAATTTCTAAGAATTTATATTATAACCAGAGACCCAAATATCTTTCACAGAATTTTGTCCATAAATGTTTTTCTTAATTAAGAAGTGTTACCTTATTAAAATGAGCACCATTTTAAACCATTTTTCAGTGGTCTGGGTAAACAGTTTCATACCAACTCTCTAAAACCTAATTTCAAACTGACCACAGACTTCTAATCTTTTATTTTTATAGATTTGAAGACATAATTTAAATTAGGGTTGGTATTTCTTTTTGTCTTATCTAAATCTTAGTTTCCTGGAATAATAAAGTTTGATGTTCAGCAAGAAAACTGCTTGACTTCAAGCCATTTTCAAAAGAAACTTTACTTCTTCATTATTGTGTTCCAGACATTAAGTGACTATAGGTACTGGGTATTAGTGTTGATCTTTCAGAGTGTATCTAACTTAGATTTAACAACAAATTGGTAAAGGCTGTTATGGTTCATTTTTCTATATTTAGAAATAACTCTGGAATCACAACTCCAATTGAAGGGCTAAAACTTAAGCTGAATACATGCAGAGACAGTTTTTGTGATCTACATGCCTAAGCTCTTTATGAACTGTCTCCATCTCAGTCACCTTTACCAACATGGGCCTAAAGAAATTAGGATGCTATGTTTGCATTTTCTTTGAATAAAATTTCAATATCTCAGTTTCTCTAGACTTCAGCTTCTTCACTTCATGCAAAACAGAAATAACATGATATGACCAAATGTTATCGCTGGGCTATTATGAGTGGCTTAAAATTATAAAAGTTTTACAGACAGACCAATAGGATAGAGAGTTGAGAAGTAGACCCCAAGAGATGACAAACACGTGACTTATATAGCCCTGTTCCCATGCTGTTAATTGGTATCATTCATCAATCACAGCATTCTTCTTCAAAGACAAGATACAGCCTCAGAAATCCTTCTCAGCACAGCACTCCAGGAAGCCACTACCAACAGAACAAAGGTGGCATCATAGATAAATCCTATCTAGCCTTAACTGTCCTGGTACATATAAAAACTGTATAGGAGTGGCCGGGCGCGGTGGCTCACGGCTGTAATCCCAGCACTTTGGGAGGCCAAGGTGGGTGGATCACGAGGTCAGGAGATCGAGACCATCCTGGCTAACATGGTGAAACCCCGTCTCTACTAAAAATACAAAAAATTAGCCAGGCGTGGTGGCGGGCACCTGTAGTCCCAGCTACTCGGGAGGCTGACGCAGGAGAATGGCGTGAACCCGGGAGGCAGAGCTTGCAGTGAGCCGAGATTGCGCCACTGCACTCCAGCCTGGGCGACAGAGTGAGACTGTCTCAAAAAAAACAAAACAAAACAAAAAACAAAAAACACAACTGGATAGGAGAAATCAAAGGATTATTTAATGATGCTACAATAATTTGTTTAACTATTTGGGATATGTTCCTAAAATCAAGAAATACTTCTATGCTTACAGCACCTCCCACTCTAACATCTAGCAAATCTATTAGACAAACAAAAAAAGCAAGATCAGTGTGGCAGACTGGGAACAGAAAACCCGTACTGAATGTGTATTCTTTTATAAATACAAACCATATTCTAATAATCTATTCTAATTTTCCCTAGGTAGCCAGACTAAGGTAGAAAGGTGTATCTGGGCCAGGCATGGCGGCTCACGCCTGTAATCCCAGCACTTTGGGAGGCCGAGATGGGCAGATCACGAGGTCAGGAGGTGGAGACCATCCTGCCTAACATGGTAAAAACCCCGTCTCTACTAAAAATACAAAAAAAACAAAAACAAAACAAAACAAAAAAAATCAGCCAGGCGTGGTGGCGGCACCTTACCAGCTACTCGGGAGGCTGAGGCAGGAGAATGGTGTGAACCCAGGAGGCGGAGCTTGCAGTGAGCCGAGATCGCGCCACTGCGCTCCAGCCTGGGTGACAGTGCGAGACTCCAGCTCAAAAAAAAAAAAAAAAAAAAAAAAAGGTGTATCTGAAGAGTTATGCCAACAGGACACCCCAATTCTCAGAGTTCCACATATAAATATATTGCCTAATCTACCTTCTTTTACCCTAGAGGCTTAATCCCTCCATCTTCTAGACTCTGATGAGTTGCCAGCTGTAATTCAGAGGGACCATCACCAACATCTTACAGACAGAGTCCTTGTTCTCACTGCCTGACAAAAAGAGCAGGCAAAATCCATAAGAAGCATGTGGAACCTCAAATTGCAAGTATGAATGTATTTTCAACATTAAATATGGTATTAAGTAATAAAAGCAACTCTTGGGGGGAAAAACTTGTTTCTAGACTCATCGCCTCAGTATAACCTTACAAAGAATAAAGATAAATGACATTTATTACTGTCATTGCAGATTACTATTTACTAAGTATCCTACTTTAAATAAATAAACCAAAAGTCCTCTGCTTTTAATGTTTAGGTGTAGAAGAAAAATGAATTGTGTTACCACTGGAGAACAGGATTAGAATAGGAAGGGGTAGAGTTTGTAATAATAAGCATGTATTACTTTTCTTCCTGACATAGAAGGTTCCACTCCACTTCTACCTTCAATGAGCTTATAAATCAATTTAAGAAATTAATAGAAAACCAAAGAAGTTATGGGTTGCATAGGATGCCTAAGTAGATTAGAAAAATGAATAAACTGTCACTTCAAAAACCATTAGGAGGGCCACGACACAAACGGACGTGGGATTCTTTATACTGTGGCTAAAAAAATAGTTAATAGCTCTTAGTTCCATTCTTTTTCCTCCTAAAGTTCCTGAATGTGGAGACTAAATGCTGCTGCAGAAGTTAGGCTTCACACAGTTTGAAACTGATCACTTTTTACATGCATGTATAATCTCAGGGTTGTTATTACACTTAACTGGTGATGACGAGAATACTGATAATAATGATGGCAAAGAAAAATAAGGGCCAAGTGCAGTGACTCGCACCTGTAATCCCTGCACTTTGGGAGGCCAAGGCAGGCGGATCACCTGAGGTCAGGAGTTCGAGACCAGCCTGACCAACACGGAGAAACCCTGTCTCTATTAAAACTACAACATTAGCCGGGTGTGGCAGTGCATGCTTGTAATCCCAGCTACTCGGGAGGCTGAGACAGGAGAATTGCTTGAACCCGGGAGGCGGAGGTTGCAGTCAGCTGAGATTGCACCATTGCACTCCAGCCTGGGCAACAAGAGTGAAACTCTGTCTCAAAAAAAAAAAAAAAAGAAAAAAAAAGGAAAAGAAATAAAATAAAATAACATTTTTAAAACTTGTTCTACTTGACATTTTAATAGGATAACTTTCAGCTTTCCCTATAGAATGCAATAAGTTATGCTTATTCACTGCTACACAGAATTAGGTTGTTAAAGTCCTTTTCGGCATATAGCTATTTGAGTATAGCTGTGAAAATTAATGTAATATAATGTAAAAAATAAGCAAAACTGTTAAAACCAGTGATTTGCTTAGAAATATTTTTTTCCAAAAAAACTAAAAAAAAAAAAATTTTTTTTTTTTTTTTTTTTGAGAGAGAGTCTCGCTCTGTCACCCAGGCTGGAGTGCAGTGGCGCGATCTTGGCTCACTGCAAGCTCTGCCTCCTGGGTTCACGCCATTCTCCTGCCTCAGACTCCCGAGTAGCTGGGACTACAGGCACTCGCCACCAGGCTCGGCTAATTTTTTTTGGATTTTTAGTAGACACGGTGTTTCACCATGTTAGCCAGGATGGTCTCGATCTCCTGATCCATCTGTCTCAGCCTCCCAAAGTGCTGGGATTACAGGTGTGAGCCACCATGCCCAGCCAAAACTGAAAAAATTTTTGAGTGCAGTGGCATGATCATGGCTCACTGCAACATCAAATTCCTGGGCTCAAGCAATCCTCCTTCCTCAGCCTCCCATGTAGCTGGAACTACAGGTGTGTGCCATCACACATGGCTAATTAAAAAAAAAAATTTTTTTTTAGATATGGGGTCTTGCTATGTTGCCTAGGCTGGTCCCAAACTCCTGGCCTCAAGTGATCCTCCCACTTCAGCCTCCTGAGTAGCTGGGGTTACAGGCACAAGCCACTGCACGCAGCACAGAACTGCTATGATCTGCACTAATTAGAAGACAGTATATTTATTATGTTGTTTACTTAAAAAGACAACAGTCTATGGTTTAGGAATTTCTAGTAAGATCATATGTAATAGTTTTAATAATTAGTTTATAATTTAAATTGATATCACTAACAGAAACATATAGCATCATGATTCAAGGCATTATTTAATACTGAGCTATGAATAAAGTATTTTGATGGAAAAATAATATCTCAAGCCAGCATCCCACAGAAATCACAAGGGACTACACAATTTCTAGATGATCAGGACACAGAAGAAGTGTCATAGAAATTTAGGCTTTTCCTTTTACTATGGTAAATTAAGAAACATGCTATTACTACTTGTTTGGATAAGAAAAATTGGAAGTTACTACTTGAATTTCAAATAATTTCCATGGCAGGGCTTTACCAGTAGAGTACTACTGAATAGTGGTGATGGAAAACAATAATCTGGAAGTAATAATTTGAGTCTCTGATGGAGCCCAAGAAGCAGAAGGCATAAAACACACAGAGGTTACACTTAGAAAGCACTTTATAGTTAAACAGATCATTTTTGCACATAGTGTCTCTTTGTTCCTTACAAAATCCTTCATGGTTAAGATGGCTATTTATAAGGATCCTCATTTTACAAATGAAAAAACTAAGCCTGAAGCATTAAGAAACACAAATAGTGGCAGAACTGGAGCTTAAACCCAAGTCTTTTAGGTCCAATCTGCTTTATATTACTTTACTTTCCTCCTCTCTATTCATAAACTAATGTGAAAGAGAAAATGCAAACATTTTCCTAGACAAAGCGAAACATGTCCTCATATCTTACTTAAAAAAGAAGGAAAAGGAGTAGGAGGAAGAAGGAAGGAGAGAGAAGGGAGAAGGGGAAGAGGGGAGAAAAGCAAAGAGAGAGGAAAAAGGGGAAAGAGGAAAGAAGAGAAGAACATGGAGAAGGGAAGAGAAAGAAGTGGTTACTTCGAGACATTTCTCATTCCAAGAAACTGCCATGGGAAAGTCAATAAGCTTATAAACATCTGAACAAAACTTGAGAGGAACCCTAAACAATTTTGAAGAAATCTAATGGAAGAGTTCTGAAAGTTTGCCTACCAAAACAATCCTGACGAGAGAGACAAAAACTGCATATATTAGAGCTGATGCTAGTTGCCATCAGGCACCATGATGTGTCTGTCAATTCTATTCTCTTGTAACAACCAATAACCCTGCATTGTTATAACACACAATATTTACTATATTCATCTGCCCCATAGAAAACTTGTCCTGTTCAATGAATGAACAAAAAGTCAAACAGTGAGGAATTTCAAGAGAAAGCTACTATATTAAAAATATTCTCAACTTGAAATCAATATTATAAAGTCTCATAAATGTCTCCAAATTCATGAAAAAGAAAAAGCTAGAAAGTCAGCTTCAAATAAAGACCCTGCACAAAGCCTCCCATTCACAATTGTTACAAAGAGAATAAAATACCTAGGAATACAGCTAATGAGGGGTGTGAAGAACCTCTTCAAATAGAACTACAAGCCACCGCTCAAGGGAATAAGAGAGGACACAAACAAAGGAGAAGGCCAGGGCATTGACCATGATCACCACGAAAGGTGTGGTGCCTGGTGGCTCTGCTGAGAGCATGCTCTCTGTGTGCCAGTGACCTCTGTAGGCAGAGGGAGGAGGGCTTGCCCTGGCACCAAGATCATTAAATGCACCATCACAGGCATGACAGGGTGAATCGTGTCATCTCATGGGAAGCATACCTCAGTTCCCCTCACTCTTCTGAGGACAGATACTGGGTCCATCCCTGGACCTGAGTTGCTCAGCAGTGGGGCTGAGATGAGCTCTGGAACCTAGCCCAGCCCTGCATTCATCCCCCAGACCGCTCGGCCAGCCACAACCCCATGTACCAGAAGCAGCATCTGTTCAACAGCAACCTCCACTGGGACTCCAGGGCCTTCCGCAGACTCAGCCACCTGGTGCGAGAGACTCACCTCAACTTCTCAAGGTAACACAGCTGAGCTCCCTGGAGTTTGGGAGGTGGGAGGGAAAGGGGTGAGGTTCCTCCGTGCAACTCACAGCCTCTCCCTCGACGGGCCAATAGGAGAACACAGGAGACTGCAGACCATGCAGGTGACCAGGCCAGAGCCCAGGGGCAGGAGAGGCCTCCTGTTTACGGGGCAGAGGGGAGCTTGGCAGGCGGGGCCTCCTGGTGCCCAGCAGGGGTCATGGCAGCTTCCCTGGACCACGTTGTTCCATATGCGGGGAGACATTGAGAGTTGGCTTGGTGTGAGTAGCCCACTGCAGGTGAACCTTCACATTCTGACTCCTGATCTCTGCTCCTCAGGTTTGCCCACCAGTTCCTAGATCCAGGCACATACATGTTTCAAGACAATGGGCAGCCAGAGAGCCTGGCCGTGGTGCTGGTGAAGGAGGAGGGGGTGGCCTGTAGTCCTGGCCTGTGCCCTGTGCAGCCCTCATCCCCATATCAGCTGGGCAGGCAAAGCATCCTCAGGCACAGGCTGCCAAACCTGGGCCCAGACTGGGCAGTGATCACAGGTACTGATTGACAGGACATAGCAGCCAGGACTTGAGCAGGCAGGGAGGAGTGCCATGCCACAGGGCCCTGAGTGTCTGTCAGCCCTGTCCGAGTTCCTGGGCCCCTAGTGTGTGTCAGCCCTGTCCGAGGCTCTGGGCGTAGCCACCAAACTCCAGATATGATGACAGTGACAGTGGCATGGTGCAGCTTGTCCTTGACCTGGGACTTCATTTGCAGGCAAAAATTTTCTCCATTTGGGGCCTCCTTTCTCACCTCCCCTTCCCCACTTCTCATGCTCATTTTTCCTGGAAGCTGCCCCAGTGGACAGGGTCCCTGAGTGGAGTCACAGGATCACAGACATCCTAGACTAGCCCCCAGTGTGGGTTTCCCATCTTCCTTCCTTCTTTTCTCCAGAGGTCAGCAATCCGCACTGAGCTCTTCAGGCTGGGGCCTGCCCAGTGGGCAGAGAGGACACAGCCCTCTGACGGCTAAGACTCAGCCCTGGGCACAGGGCAGCAGCTCTTTCTTTCACACACACACACACACACACACACACACGCACACATGCACGCATACATGCATGCATGCACACATACATTCAGAACACAGGTCACATGTGGGGCTGTCCCAGGAGGGTCCTCACACAGAAGGGCACAGGGTAGTGGGGAGGGCCTCCCAGAGGGAGACTAATGGCCCAGAGACAGGAAAGGAGCTGTGAAGAATTCAACCGCAAGGGCAGCAGGGCAGAGGCCAGGGCCACTGAGGCAAATGCAAAACAGCGGTTCTCACGTTCCCAGGCAGCCTGGAGGGGCTCTGAGTGGCCACCATGTAGCCCCATTCCCCTCTCCCGCCCACCTTCCAGGGGTGCTGCTGGCTGTTGGCTTGGCAACTGTGCTGTTGATGGGCCTGGGCCTCCTGCTGAGTCCCTCCCTGCCCCACGCCTGCCCCATGCAGGCTTGGAAGACTCGGTGGAGAAGGCTAGGACAGCCTCAGGTGCCTGCTGAGTATGTGATCCTCAGAGACAGGTGAGTTCCCCCTGCCCTCCACACACCAGGCCCAGCCCTGGCCAGCCCGGGGACTGCTGTGGCAGGTCTGGCCACTCCCCAGGAGCCCGGGCACTGACCAAGCTCCCCCTGTCCCTGTGGACTTGGGACAGATGACCTTTAGAGTTAACCTGTGATGTGGGCTCCACGTGGGGTTCAGCACTGCCGCTCATGTCTAGGCACTGAGGTTGGTTCTTCCTTTCAGCCTCCTGTTCTATGAAGACCTTGGCCCTTGGGGATCTGGGGAAGGAGCTGACTCCAAGAAGGCCATGAGCCGGGGCACAGGTACCATGCTGGTGTGCAGCCAACCCCTCCTCAACAATACTTGTTATTTTCCCTTTACTAGATAGTAGGTATCCTACTGGGGACGTATACATTGATATCTTTTTGTAGTTTTGATTTGCATTCTTCACTAATGATTAGTCATATTGAGCATTATTGAGCATCTTTTTATGTGCTTATTGGCCATTTGTATATCTTCTTTTGAGAAATATCTATTGAAGTTCTTTGTCCAGTTTTGAATTAAGTTGTTTGGTTTTTGTGGTTGTTGTTGTTGACTTTCAAGAGTTCTCTATTTATCACATACATGATTTGACAATATTTTCCGTGGTTCTGTGGGTTGCCTTTTTACTCTGTTTATAGTGGTTTTTGATGCACGAAATGTTTTTTAAGTCATGAAATTCAGTTTGCATATTTTTTCTTTTATTGCCTGTGCCTTTGGTATTGAATTCAAAAATTCGTTGCCAAATCCAATACTGTGATGTTTTTGTCCTGTGTTTTCTTCTAAGAATGTTATTGTTTTAGGTCATACATTTAGGTCTTTGATCCATTTTAGTTAATTTTTTTGTATGGTGTTAGGAAAGAATCCAACTTCATTCTTTCGCATGTGGATATCTAGTTCTCTCAGCACAATTTATTGAAAAGACTGTCCTTCTTCCCCCTGAAGGGTCTTGGGTTCCTTGTCAAAAGTGATTTGACTGTATCTGGAACAGATTATTTCTGGACTCTCAATCCTTTTACCAGTTATAGGTCTATTCAGATTTTCTATTTCTTCATGATTTAGTCATGGTGGGTTTCGTGTTTCCAGGAACTTGTCCATTTCATCTAGGTTGTCTTAATTCGTTGGCATACAATTGTTCATAGTACTCTTATAGTCCTATTTTATTTTTGTAGACTTGTCCGCATTTTCACTTCTGATTTTAGTAATTTGAATCTCCTTCTTTTTTTCTTAGTTCATCTAGCTAAAAATATGTCAATTTTGTTCATCTCTCCCAAGAAACAACTTTTGATTTTCTCTATTTTTTTCTATTTTTTGTGTTTATCTCTGCTCTAATCTTTGTTATTTCCTTCCTTCTGCTAGCTTTGAGTTAAGTTTGTTCCTCTTTTTCTAGTTGCTTAAGTTGTAAAGTTAGGTTGTTCATAGAGAGATTTTTTTGTTTTTTGATACAAATATTTATAGGTACACATTTTACCCCTTGGGTTGGTAGGTGGTGCTTTTTTATGTTCATTCATCTCATTATTTTCTAATTTCCCCTATGATTGCTTCTTTGATCCATTGGTTGTTTAAAAATGTGTTGTTTAATTTCCAAAAGTTCTTGGATTTTTTTAGTTTTTCTTCAATTACTAATTTCTAGCTTTATCCCACTGTGGTTAAAGAAGATACTTTTTATGATATCCATCTTTTTAAATTTATTGAGACTTAATTTGTGGCCTAACATATGCTCTATCCTGGAAAACATCCCATAAGCACTTTAGAAAAATATGCATGCTGTTTTTGTTGGGTAATGTTTTCTATATGTCTGTTAGATCTAGTTGGTTTATCGTGTGTTTAAGTCCCCTATTTCCTTACTTATATGCTGTCTGGTTGTTCTATTATTAAGAAGTGGGTATATATACACCATGGAATACCATGCAGTCATAAAAAAGAATGAATTCATGTCCTTTGCAGGGACATGGATGAAGCTGGAAGCCATCATTCTCAGCAAACTAACACAGGCACAGAAGACCAAACACCACATGTTTTCACTTAAAAGTGGGAATTGAACAATGAGAACACATGGACACAGGGAGGGGAACATCACACACCAGGGCCCATTAGGGGGTGGGGGGACAAGGGGAGGAAGAGCATTAGGACAAATACCTAATGCCTGCGGGGCTTAAAACCTAGATGATGAGTTGATAGGTGAAGCAAACCACCGTGGCACATGTATACCTATGTAACAAGCCTGCACATTCTACACATGTATCCCAGAAATTAAAGTAAAATTAAATACATAAATAAATAAGTGGATATTGCAGTCTCCAACCATTATTGTAGAACTATTTCTCCCTTCAATTCTGACAGTTTTTACGTTGCATATTTTAGTGGTCTGTCATTCAGTGTGTCATGCATATCTTGACATATCAAGCATATCCTTGCTGCATTGAACCTTTTATTAGTATTAATATATAGTGTACTTCTTTGTCTCTTGTAAACTTTTTTTATTTAAAGTTTATTTTGTGTGATACTAATATAACTATCCCTGCTCTCTTTTGGTTACTCTTTTCATGGAATATCTTTGTCTGTTCACTTTCAATCTAGTTGTGTCTTTGAATGTAAAGTGAGACTTTGTAGATAGCAAATCTACAAAGCTGATCATGTGTTTCTATGATCATGTGTTGGATCATGTGTTTTTATCCATTCTGCCAATCTCTGTTTTTTTATTGGAGACTTCAATCCATTTATGTAGAATCTTCTAATTCCTCTCTCTCTCTCTCTCTCTCTCCCCTACATTGAATTTGCTGACTTTTGTGCTGCTGTTGAGATAAAATGCACTGCTGATGCATGGTATTGCTAATCCAAAACTACTTGGGTATTTTGTTTTTCTTATACAATTCAGCCAGTTCTAGCTAAAATGCAAAAATTGAAAATTTAACCCTAAACTCATTTGAAACTGAAGGTGAAAAAAATATATGAAAAGAGTTTTGTGGGTTTTTTTAAATCAAATTGCCATGGAAACTGCTTTTTTCAAAACTTTGTTTCATAGCCTTCATTACATTACCCTCTGGGGCAAATGAAATTTAGCCATCTGAACAGGTTCCAGTTTTGTCAGGAATACAATTTGAATCCAGCCATCTTTGGTAAACCAGTGAGTTTATATTACCATCTCATGACAAAATTATAGAATGAAAGCTATAAGATATTTATGTGTGTGTATGTGTTTAGATGTGTTTATGTAGGTGTACATGTATTTTTCATGTTTTGTCTATATGGTATCAAATTGACTTATAAATAAACATGCATACATTAGGAAGTACAAATATTTTCCAAGTTCACATGACTTAAATCTTTAATAAGTAAGCTGGTTTTAGAATTATTAATAAAATATACATAGAAATGTTTTCAGAAATGTCAGCACACATTTTTGCCTGCATTTACTGATCTAAAAGTCTTATAGTTGTTTCTGCTAGATATTTTAAAGTGTCAGGGGGCTGGGCGCGGTGGCTCACGCCTGTAATCCCACCACTTTGGGAGGCCGAGGCGGGCGGATCACGAGGTCAGGAGATCGAGACCATCCTGGCTAACACGGTGAAACCCCGTCTCTACTAAAAATACAAAAAAATTAGCCGGGCGTGATGGCGGGCGCCTGTAGTCCCAGCTACGCGGGAGGCTGAGGCAGGAGAATGGCGTGAACCCGGGAGGCGGAGCTTGCAGTGAGCTGAGATTGCGCCACTGCACTCCAGCCTGGGCGACAGAGCAAGACTCCGTCTCAAAAAAAAAAAAAAAAAGTGTCGGGGTTTGGTATGAAGGCTATAAAACTATAAATCAAGCCAAAAACAGAATGATCTTTGTGTGTTTTTTGATAAGTAAGGCTGATTTAATGTTGTTTTCACGAAAACAGACCTATCTTATGAGTTAGAGGCAAAATACCCATATATGTAACTTTCAGGTTCTTATTTAAATGAACATTTGATATTCATAGGCTATAAAAGTTGTTAACAACAAAATAACTTGAAATACTTATCAGCTTTGTCTAATATCTCAGTTTGCATAAGTAATCTTGTTATACTGTTAAAAGTAAGTAAATTAGGCAAATGTAAATAAAAAATGCTTATAAATAAACCTTTTATGTAATTTGAAATCTTAAACTTATGATAAATTAAATAATAGAAACTCATTAAGTGTCATTTTCAATTAAGAAAATATTGTAAGAAAACGTTTAAAAAATGATGAAATGGCTCTTTTCTATAAAATACTGATATGTGGCAGACAAGTCAAGATCTTGCTTACTAAGTTTACACCAAAATTTAAGGTTACTAAGAGTTAAAATTTCTAACTAACATATAATTTTGTATATAAAGTATGCCAAAAAATAAGTTGTATTTTTGATAAGAAAAAATACAAGAAAGGCATGAAATGTGTTCTTATTGAGAAAAGAAAATTTTGTCTAATTCAGAGGTTATTTAAAGGTTATTTATGAAATAAGACAGAAAGAAACAAGTAATTGGAAGAGAAAGTGAAAGAAGTTATGGATATGGAAATGTACTTTTTTGTAAAAAAACAAAAAGAGGTTAAAAAGAAAAGAGAATAATTTTGTATAAGAAAGAATCTTGTATAGTAAATTTTTTCCTACAGTGAAATGACTGGGTATTTAAGAAAAAGGAAATATAAGAAAGAGCAAAAAGTCCCAGGATGTCTTAAGTAGTCTGTGTAAGTCACAATAAGATATTTGAAAAGACATTTATTAAAGGAAGTTTGTATGTGATTAAGTTTGCTGTAACACAAATATTTATCTTTCTAAATATGGAGTTTTGATATTAAAAATACACTAATGCAAAACTAAAAATTGGTCCCCTATGTTAGAATAAGATTTCATGAAAGTATTTATTTGTTATTAATAAAATTACAAGAGGTTTTATCTGTTTCTTTTTGAAATTTCTCAAATTTATGTCCCAGAAGTTCAAATTCTGCTCTATCTCACTAAATGTGATTTGCAGTTTATATGTCATTGCCTTCTGTTCTTTATTCCCTTAAAAGGTAAATCTTTTTGCTTACCTGGGATGATAACTCTCTTCTTCAATCTTTTTATTAACTCCCGTAACTATTTTCTTCCACTCTACCTCTGATGTTGTGGCTGGACACTAAAATGCTTATCTTGAAGGTCTAGAATAGCAGTGTTTTCCTCTAGAATAATTTGATTCTGTACTCTTGGCTTTTCTTCAATAGAGGGGAATTCTCATGCTGTTACTGACAGCCATGTGTTTCTGTGCTCAAGGTATGAGTTTTCCTGTTTACATTCCTTTATACAATCGTGTACACATATAATCATGGACACACTGTTCTTACATCTGATTAAGGTCCACTACCCTTTTTATCAGGCTTGACTTCCAGGCTATCTAAATGGGCTTCCCATAAGGAGAATTAGTCATACTTGTGTTGCTCCATTTTGCATTGCTATAAAGAAATACCTGAGACTGGGTAAATTATAAAGACATTTATTTTGGCTCACAGTTCTGCAGACTGTACAAGAAGAACAGTGCCAGCATCTGATTCTGGTGAGGGCCTCAGGAAGATTACAATTACATTTATGGTGGAAGGTGAATGAGGAGCAGGCATGTCACATGGCAAGAGAGGGAGCAAGAGAGAGGAGGAGGTGCCAAGCTCCTTTAAACAACCAGCTCTTGCATAAACTACCAGAGCAAGAACTCACTCATTGCCATGGGGATGGCAATGAGTCATTCATAAAGTATCTGCCTCTATGGCCCAAACACCTCCCACTAGGCCATCTCCAACACTGAAGGTAACATTTCAACATGAGATTTGGAGGGGACACACATCCAAACTAAATTAACACTATAGGAGGTTTTGTGGGGATTTTTGTTTATTTGTTTGTTTACCTTTATAGTAGCTGGTCTAAAAAGCAAAGATTTTATGTTTTATTAAAACAATTTCTGCATTATTCTTATTAGGTTTCATATTACTTAGGAAAACTGAAATTTAAAAGGGTTAAGGATTTTACATTCATAAAAATTTCTGTATTTCTTTCAAAGTATTTTGATTACCACTCTACGTATATGAATAACTTTTATTTTCCAGTGACCTATGGTTTTATTTTGATCTAGTTTTTTGAAACTTTTGACGTCTTTGTCATGTTCCCCCAGGATGAAAATCGTAAATTAAGTCTTTTTGTATTAAATAATTAAACTTATTTGGTAGATTCTTTGTAAAGTATTATCAAATGATAATTGATATTAGATCTTTCTGTTACAATTATGGGTACATTATTGACATAAATGTTCCAAAACTTATATAAATTTACAAAAAGCTAATTTGTTATCAGTCATAATTTTGATTACTATGTTAAATCTTAAGTTATATTTGTATGGGTATGTTATTCATGTGAATATTCTAAAGACGATATAACATTTATGAAAGCCTGATGTCTCTAACATGACACTGTCATAATGATTCTGGTTGTTATCTTAAAATGCTGCAAATAATAGAAATAACAAAATTTCCTTGTCTATTGGGAACTTTCATCAAATCTTAGCCATAGCTACACCGAATTTTGGTCATCCAGTGTTATTATTCTCAATTCTTCTCTACAAACATTTGCAATCAGCTCTAGTCAAAAATTGCTGCCATGTGTGGTGGCTAACACCTATAATCCCAGCACTTTGCGGGGCCAAGGTGGGAGGATCACTTGAACCCAGGAGTTTGAGACCAGCCTGGGCAATATACCAAGACCCTGACTCTACAAAAATAAAATAAAATAACATAAAATTAATTGGGTCTAGTGGCACAAACTTGTAGTCCCAGCTACTTGGGAGGCTGAGGTGGGAGGATTTGCTTGAGCCTAGGAATTCAAGGCTGCAATGAGCCATAATCACACTACTGCACACCAGCCTGGGTTGCAGAACAAGATCCTGTCTCAAAAAAAAAAACAAGAAAGAAAGAAAACTGCTTTTTTATGAAAAAGATTCTAATAAGTACGGGCACAAAAGGAGGAAAAAGCTAATACAATTAATGAAAGAATATACAAATGTATGTTCTAGTTTTTTTGAATATTTATCATGGTTTTTTGCCAATGTGTCACTCCTTTGATGATATTATGTGTAAAACTTGTAGTATTCTTGTAATAGTCTTCTTGAAGTGTTGTGATAGGTGAAGAAAACTGCAATGTCAGAAAAAAAAAACTGAATCATACTAATTAGAAAAATAGATGAGTGAGGCAGAAAACTAACAAGGAAATGCTGACTTAAATTCAACACTTCACCAATTGGACCTAATAAAAATTGACAAAATGTTCCACCCAACAACCACATAAGATACATTCTTTTCATTTGCACATGGCATATACTCTAAGATCAACCACATATTTGGCCATAAAGCAAGTCTCAATAACTTTTTTTAATGAAGAAACAACACCAAGCATATTTTTGGGCCACGAAGAATAAAAATAGAAGGCAATATCAAGAAGATACTTCAAAATCACACAATAAAATGGAAAACTAAAGAACTTGTTTCTTAATAACTTTTGAGTTAACAAAATTAAAGCAGAAATCAAATAATTATTTAAAGTAAATGAAAACAGAGACACAATTTACCAAAATCTCTGGAATGTAGAAAAAGCAATATTAAGAAGAAAGTTTATAGTGCTTAAATGGTTTGCCTACCTCAAAAAGCTAGAAAGATACCAAATTATCAATCTAACATCACACCTAAAGGACCTAAAAAAACAAGAACAAACTAATACAAAGCTACCAGAATAAAATAAATAACAAAAATCACAGCAGAAATAAAATTGAGACCCAAAAAGCCATATAAAAGATTAATGAAATTGAAAGTTGGTTCTTTCAAAGAATACGTGAGATTGATAGAATGCTAGGTAAACTAACAAAGAAAGAAGATTCAAATAAATACAATCAGAACTGATACCCACGGTAATACAAAAGAGCCTCAGAGACCATTATGAACACCTCTGTGCACACAAACTAGAAATCTAGAGGAAATGAATAAATTCCTAGAAACACAAAACCTTCCAAGGAAGAATTAGGAAGAAATTGAGATCCTGAACAGACCAATAGCAAGTTTGAAAAATATAAACCAGTAATAAAAAACCTACTAACCAAGAAATGTCCTAGACCAATTAGTTCACAGCCAAATTCTGCCAGACGTGCAAAGAAGAGCTGGTGCCAATCCCACTGAAACATTCCCCAAAAAATGAGGAGAAGGAACTCCTCCCTAACTCATTCTATAAAACCAGCATCATCCTGATACCAAAATCTGACACAAGCACAACAAAAAAAGGAAACTACAGGCCAATATTCCTGATGAACAGACACAAAAATCCTCAACAAAATACTAGCAAACTGAATCCAGCGACACATCAAAAAGTTAATTCACCATGATTGAATAGGCTTTATTCATGGGAGGCAAGGTTGGTTCAACATATGCAAATAAATAAATGTGATTCAACAAATAAACAAAATTTACAAAAAACACAAACACAAGTAAAAACTTCATGATCATCAATAGATGCAGAAAAAGTTTTAAATGAAACCCAACATCTCCTCATGATAAAAAACCCTCAACAAATTAGACATCAAAGGAGTATACCTCAAAATAATGAGTTATCTATGACAAATTCACAGCCAAGCTCATACTGAACTGGCAAAAGCTGGATTCATTCCCCTTAAGAATCAGAACAAGACAAGGTTGCCCATTCTCACTATTCTGGCTCAACATAGTACTGGTAGTCATAGCATAGCAGTTATGCAAGAGAAAGAAAAAGAGGAAATTCAAATAGGAAAAGAATAAGTCAAATTATCTCTCTTCATAGATGATATTACTCAATACCTAGAAAAACTTAAAAGACTACCAAAAATTCCAACAACTAATACATAACTTCAGTAAAATTTCAGAATATATAATCAATGTACAAAAGTCAGTAGCAGTTGTATACACCAAAAACGTCCAAGCTGAGAGCCAAATCAAGAATGCTATCCCATTTATAATGACCACACAAAAAAAATACCTAGGAATATATCTAACCAAGGAGGTGAAAGAACTCCACAAGAATAACAAAAATTTCTGCTGAATAAAATCACAGATGACACAAACAAATGGAAAAACATTCCATGTTCGTGGATGGGAAGAATGAGTATCATTAAAATGGCCATACCACCCAAAGCAATCTCTAGATTTAACACTATTCCTATTAAATTACCAATGTTGTTTTTCACAGAATTAGGAAAAAAAACTACTCTAAAATCCATATGGAATGAAAAAATGAGCAGGAATCACCAAAGCAATCCTAAGCCAAAAAAAAAAAAAAGAAAAAGAAAAAAGAAGCCAGAGACATCACACTATCCAACTTTAAACTATATTGCAAGGCTACATAACCAAAACACTACAGTACTGGTACAAAAACAGATACATAGACCAGTGGGACAGAATAGAGAACCTAGAAATAAAGTCACACACCTACAACCAAGTGAACATCCATGAAGCTGACAAAAATAAGCAATAGGGAAAGAACTCTCTATTCAATAAATAGTGCTGGGATAACTGCCTATCCATAGGCAGAATGAAACTGGCTACTGTTCACTGCTCTGTGTCTTCTGTTCCTAGAAGCCCAGTCTCTATGGCCCTGTGACCAGCAGGTATTGGGAGATCCATAGCTAAGACACCAGAGCCTGCTGCAAGCCTAGAAATGGAACGGTTGACATTCAGGGATGTAGCCATAGAATTCTCTCCAGAGGGGTGGCAATGCCTGGGCACTGCACAGCAGAATTTGTATTAAAATCTGATGTTAGAGAACTACAGAAACCTGGTCTCTCTGGCTTTGTGTTCTCATTTCACCCAAGATTATTGACCAGAGCAGGGCATAAAAGATTCATTCCAAAAAGTAGTACTAAGTAGATATGGAAAATATAGACATAAGAATTTACAATTAATGAAAGGCTGTAAGAGTGTGGATGAGGGTAAGATGCAGAAAGGAGGTTATAATGAACTTAGCCAATGATTTTCAACTACATAGAACAAAAAATTTTTTCAAATGTCCCACGTTTATTTACATATGAAATGTGTTTCATACAGTTATGATGGATGGAGTGTATAACACCTGACAGCAGCAAGACCTTTCGAGGAACTGAACATTGACTACAGTATATCATGCAAGTACCTACATATATACACAAAAGAATTCCTTTTCTTAAAAAAAAAAGTACAAAACATGTTCAGGGATAAATACAAGATATAAGATGCAAAAGAAAACACAAGACGAAACCAAAAAATATAACTCTCTCAGAGAACTATAAACAGAAGGGACAGAAGAGTACCTCTACTGCATTTTAGTAAAGCAGAACTACCAACATTAAATATACCTCTTGAAATGGCTGAACTAATCCCATGTGGCTCAGTGCTTAAGGTAACGGCCAATTGCGATACACAGCCGGCTGCATTGATAAGTCGGTGGTTGACGTCGTGCATCCCAACTCTAAGCACCAGAACGTTTGGCAGTAACACCCAGAACAGGAAACGCCAACTCTTTTGAAAACAAAGGATTAAGTCAGCTGATTTTTTTTTCTATCAAGAGCCAGAGAAATACTTGATATTCTTAGTTGTGTTTCTGTAATAGTTAATAAATTACATGACAAAAACCTGACTATGTAGATCTATTGGTCTAACTACGTATTTGTAACTTTTATAGTAGTCCAGCCGTTTTGTTACTTTCCCTCCTTGTGCTCCTAAAGCCAGCCTTGCAGATCTGCCCAGAAAACCAGTCCCATTCTTTTTTTCTTTAGAATAACCTTCCCCATTCCTCAAAATGGAATTGAGGAAATCAGCATTCCTTATTAGATTCCTGGCTTCAGTTTTTATCCACGGCTGGGAAAGGAGCGACCTGCAAGGCTGCTTTAAACACCCTTCGGCGTGGCCTGAAGACAAAGGCGCGCCCACGCTGGAGTGCAGTTGTCTCAAACGTGCACTCACTCCCTCGGGGCAGGCACATCCAGAAGGTGCTAAGACATTTAGAAGTTCCTAGTGTTTTTGAGACCCACAATTACTTCCAATTTATGTAGTGAATTTTAAAAATTAAAAACACTAAAAAAGGCATTATTTTAGCCTGTAATTAGTTAAGCCATTCAAATTTGAAACATACAAAATGATTTATTTGAATTCAGGAACTGCCCCTGTTCCTAAGAACTCTGTTTTAAAGAAACAGGACAAAAAGAAAAATTCTAACCCAAAACAACTCAAAACGTTTTCCACTGAATACTGATACAAACATGTAACAAAGAGTATAAAAAGTTATTCACTTAAATATATACAAACTCTTTTAAACTCAAATTCTGTTTTAATACTTAATGAGGATATATATGACAAGATGAAGAAGGAAGGCACATTGAAAGAGAATATATAGCAACAGCCTAGACAGTACTGTTAACTCTATTATACTGCAAACTTAGTGTAACAAAAGTGTCTTTTTTATCCCAATGTGGACAGGGATTTTCCTCATGGAGCGTCTGTGACTATTTCTCGTCTGAGCTCATCCTTTTGGATTTGATGAAGGCCATACCATGTGTCTGCATGTGAGTGTTTAAGGCAGCTTTAGTTTCAAAAGTTTTTGCACACACTTTGCACTTTCTGTCTGACATGACGCCATTGGGAGATTCGTCCTCGTGGCTGGGTTTGTTCTCCTGTTGGTTATCTTCCCCAGCCCCATTTTGCTTGGGCACTGGCTGAGGTTCCTTTAACTTGTGTACAACAAAGAGGTGCCTGGACAGAGAGACGTGAGACATGTAGCAGAGGCCACACTCCCAGCACTGGTAGGAAGAACCATCCTATTTGTGCTGAGGGATGTGTTCGTGGAACTGCAGCAGGTTTTCGGTGGTGAAGCAACACAAGGCACACTTGTGAACCTTAAAAACATTGATTTTCAGCTTTTTCAGTGGTTGAGTTATTGCTCCTCTGGGAGGCCTGTACTCCAGAACCGGTTCTTTCAACTTCCACTTGGGACTGCGGACCTTGGCGTCTACTTTTATTTCTGTTTCCTCCTCATTGGTGGTGTCTGTCATTTCTTTCAGGTCAAGGTCTTTGATGCCATGCATCAGCTGGACATGCTTCTCCAGCATCAACCCTTTGGTAAAAGTACCTCTGGAGTCTGGGCAGTGTGAGCAGGCATACACTTTCCTGATGCCTTTGTGCTTGATCCGGTTGTGCCAGCACAGTCTGTGGGATGAGCTGAAAGGCTTGTCACACTGGCGGCAGGGGTGTTTCTTCATTTGCTTCCCATGCTCCTTCCTCAGGTGGGATATGTACACATCTCTCTGCATGAACAGGTGGTCACACTCCCAACACGTCCACCCAGGACTGGCCACTTTCTTGGTTTCCATTGATTTTTTTTCAAAGGAGATGGAGATTTCTTTTCCGGTTTCTCTTTCCCACTCATGGATTTGCTGTCCTCTTTTTTCTGATATGCTGAATTATAAGTTGCAGGCTTAAAGCTCAAAAGCAAGTTTACACCCAAGTTGGCCCTTCAATACTTTTCAATGTCCCATGCATAGACTTGATATGGTCCATCATAAGTTGCTTCTGTACGTATAAAAGAGAACAGTCCAGACACTTGAAAACAGATATTTTCTGGTTTTCAATATGTTAGTCAAAGTGGCGATACAGCAAGGCTTGCAGGGTGAACACAGTGTTGCACATGGAACACTTATATATTATTTTTGGTTCTCCTATCTTGATGCCAGGATGCTGTGTTAAGTGCTTGGGGCGGACTTAAACACCATTGGACAAATAGGACACTTGTAGAAGACTTCACAGTGAGAACCTTGAATGCGAGACTTCAGAGCAGCCACATCAGAGTTCACAACATTGCAATGTACACGTCAAAAACCAACTCTCCTTGTGTAGTGTAGACAGTTCTTGGTGACATGGGTCTGGAAGTGCACCAACCTGCAGATGGCCCTGCACTCAGGGCAGGTGTAGGGAGATTTGTGCTGATGGATTCTCTGCACTGGTTAGGAAGCAGCATCTGGCAGATAGTACAAGTCTTTTGTCCACTCATATCTGCAGCCTGCTGGAAATGTGTAGCCAGGGATCTCTTGTCCTGGAAGATTTCATTACACTTCAAACATTTTAGATTATGTCTACACAGTTTGGAGGGGTCTTCATCTAGGGGCATGGCTGTGGTGCTGGGAGTGCTTGAAGGAGCCGATATGACTGTCCCAGTTATGCCAGACTGAATTTTTGTGACAGTGTGTATGCCAGTTCCCACAGGGCTCTGAAGAGTGGAAGATGAAGAAGAACTATTGCTCGATGGAGAAACTATGATATGACCTGCTGAGACTGGCTTTAAAATTGAGTAGGAACATTGCATTACCACCCCCTTCTCCTTATGCCCACGGGCTTGGGAAAGGAGGTTGCATTTGTTGTAAACAATGAGGTTCTTTGTACAATGGTTGCACGTTACTTCGATGCACATGCTCCATCTGTTGTAGTGCTGGGTCAGACTCTTCAAGTGCAAAGGAGTCCCTACACTCCAAGCACTTGTACCCATGCATCAGTAATGTGATCCCTGCATTGGCAGGAGGACTGAGGTTTAGGATGTAAACAGGGACTGGATTGACACTGCTCAGCACCTTGTTGAAAGTTTCCACCACAGAATTCTGCAAGGACGACACCACCTGGACTCGAGACACCTTTTTGGGGGGTTGTGAGGCTGCTGCATTGATTAGTGCCTTCTTTATTTGTTGCTGAGTTTTGGTTAGCACTTGGTGGAGTTCAGAGGTGGCCTGGGCACCCTAAGCCAGAAGGTTAAGGTTGGCAAGGTGCACAGTCTTTGGCACAAGTTTGGCATTGGCCAGGCTGGATGCTGGCATCATGACAGCTTGCTCCTGTATAGCATTGGCAGCTTTAATGATGATGCTGCTGGCACTCTGGACAGAGGCAGCAGGTATGACCGTGGCTTTCACCGTGGTGTTGTTAGCAAGCTTCAAATTAATGACTTGGGATCCTGCTGTCTTCACAGCAGACACTGGGAGGAAAGCAGTAGCCACAGGCTTGATTGTGACCTGTTTAGGGGTGGGCTCTGCAGGGAAAACTGCATTGGTCACCACTGCAGACTGGAGAGGCACCCTGGGGGGAGAGGAAAGGGCAGCGGCTGATGCTGGAGATGACAGAAGGGATGTCACAGAGGCCATCACAGACACCATCTGCTCGGAAGGTTTCTTCCCAGAGTCAAGATCCACTTCTGGAAATACCCTGGTCTCTGTTCTCTTGATTTCCCCAGAAGATGTCTTAATGGTTTTTATGCGGACTTTGGGGATTGCTGTTGTGGATCCTGCAGGAGAGGACGGGGTTCCCTTGCTGCTGTTGTCACTTGAGATGTTTCTGGGACTGTCTGGTTGCTTTAGGGATGGTTTTTTTGTCCCATCGATGAGATTCTGGGATTCAGGAGACTTGGTGGCGGCTCTCGGACTGTCGTTTACTTCTTTTGGTGACGGGGAGGATTCCCTCGAATTGGCCACTTGTTCTTTGGAGGAGTCTGAAGCCGCCTTTTTAGTTCTGAGAGCTGCAATGGCAGCAATGCAGGATGAGAAGTTGGAGGACAACTTTGTCTTGATGGTGCAATGCCGAGGAGGCCAAGAATTTCATACACGGTCAAACAAACTTCATAAGCAAAGGAGAAGATACTTTTCAGACAAGCAAATGTTAAGGGAATTTATCACCACCAGACCTGCCTTAAAAGAGGTCTCTAAGGGAGTGTTAAATATAGAAACAAGCCAGGCGCAGTGGCTCACGCCTGTAATCCCAGCACTTCAGGAGGCTGAGGCAGGTGGATCACTTGAGCCCAGGAGTTCAAAACCAGACTGGGCAACATGGTGAAACCCCGTCTCTACAAAAAATATAAAAATTAGCTAGGAATGGTGTTATGCGCCTGTGGTCCCACCCACTCAGGAGACCAAGGCAGGAGGATGGCTTGAGTCCAGGAAGCAGAGGTTGCAATCAGCCCACATCATACCACTGTACTCTGCCTGGGCAGCAGAGTGAGATCCTGTCTCAAAATAAAATAAAATAAATATGAGAACAAAAGACCATTACCAACCACCATAAAAACACACTTAAGTACATAGACCATTAACACTATAAAGCAACTACAAAATCAAATCTAGTCTGCATAATAACCAGCTGAAAAAAATATAAGGACAGGATCAATTCTGTACATAGAATTTTTAACTTTGAAAGTAAATGGGCTAAATGCCCCAATTGAAATGCACAGAGTGGCACATTGAATAAAGAAGCAAGACCCACTTGGGTGCAGTGGCTCATGTCTGTAATCCCAGCACTTTGTGAGACCAAGGTGGGCAGATCGCTTAAGCCCAGGTGTTCGAGACCAGCCTGGGCAACATGGGAAAACCTCATCTCTATAAAAAATGTAAAATTAGTCAGACATGGTGGCATGCGCTTGTAGTCCCAGCTACTCCAGAATTTGAAGTGTAACGATCACCTGAACTCAAGAGGTTGAGGCTGCAGGAAGCCATAATTGTGCCACTGCATTCCAGCATGGGTGAAAGAGACAGATCAGTCTCAAAAAATTAAAACAAACAAACAAACAAGACCCAACTGTATGCCATCTTCAAGAGACCCATCTCACAAATGCAATGACACAGATAGGCTCAAAGTAATAGGATGGAGGAAAACTTACCAAGCAAACAGAAAATAAAAACAAAACAAACAAAAAAATAGCAGGGGCTGTTATTCTAATTTCAAACAAAACAGACTTTAAGTCAACAACAATCAAAAAACTACAAAGAAGGGCATTACATAAGGGTAAAGTGTTCAATTCAACAAGAAGACTTAACTCTTCTAAATATATATGCATCCAACACAAGAATTATGTGTGTACCCAGGGAGCACCAGGGAGCACCCAGATTCATAAAAACAAATTCTTAGAGACCTGTGAGGAGACTTAAATTCCCACACAATCATAGTGGGAGACTTCAACACTCCACTGACAGTATTAGACAGATCATCGAGGCAGAAAACTAAAAAATATATGTGGGACCTGAACTCAACACTTGACCAAATGGAACTAACAGACATCTACAAAATTCTCCACCCCAAAACAACAGAATATATATTCTTCTCATCACCACATGGTGCATACTCTAAAACCGACCACATAATCAGACAAAAAACAATTCTCAACAAATTTTTAAAAATTGAAATCATACCAATTATGCTCTCAAACCACAGCACAATAAAAATAGAAGGGAATACGAAGAAGATTGCTCAAAACCATAAAATTACATGGAAATTGAACAACCTGCTCTTGAATGACTGCTAGGTAAATAATGAAATTAAGGCAGAAATAAGCTTCAAAACCAAAGAAAAAAAGATAAGATATACCAGAATCTCTGTGACACAGCTAAAGCAGTGTTAAGGGGAAAGTTTATAGCATTAAAAGCTCACATCAAAAAGTTAGAAAGATCTCCAATTAACAACATAGCATCACACCTAGAAGAAGAACTAGGAAAACAAGATCAAACCAACCATAAAACTAGAAGAAGGCAAGAAATAACCAAAATCAGAGCTGAACTGAAATAAAGTGAGGCATGAAAAAACATACAGAAGATCAATAAACCACAAGTTTTTTAAAGACTAAATAAGATAGATAGAACACTAACTAGACAAACAGCAGAAGAAAGAGAGAATATCCAAATAAACACAATCAAAATTGACAAAGGAAACATTATCAATGACCCTACAGAAATACAAAAGACTCTGAGACCATTATGAACACCTCTAGACACACAAACTAGAAAACCTACAAAATGTGGAAAAATTCCTGAAAACACAGCTGCCCAAAATTGAACCAGGAAGAAACTGAAACCCTGAACAGACTAATAATGAGTTCTGAAATTGAATCAGTAATAAAATAGTTTCCATCTAATTTTATGATTTTGAGCAAGAAAAAGCCCAGGATCAGATGAATTCACAGCCAAATTCTACCAGACGTATAAAGAAGAGCTGCTGCTATCCCTACTTGAAACTATTCCAAACAATTGAGGAGCAGAGACTCCTCACTAACTCATTCTATGAGGCAAGCATCATTCTGATACCAAAGCCTGGCAGAGACACAACAAAGAAAAAACTACAGGCCAATATCCTTGATGAACACAGATGCAAAAATCCTTAACAAAATACTAGCAAACTGAATCTACCAGCACATCAAAAAGCTAATCCACCTTAATCAAGCAGGGTTTATCCCTGGGATAAACAAGCAAGGTTGGTTCAACATATGCAAATCAATAAATGTGACTTATCACATAAACAGAACTAAAAACAAAAACCACATGATCATCTCAATAGATACAGAAAAGACTTTTGATAAAATTCAACATCCCTTTATGTTAAAAACCCTTAATAAACTAGGTATTGAAGGAACATACCTCAAAATAATAAGAGCCATTTATGACAAACCCACAGCCAACATCACACTGAACAGGCAGAAGCTGGGTTCATTCCACTTGAGAACTGGAACAAGACAAGGATACCCACTGCCATCACTCCTATTCAACACAGTACTAGAAATCCTAGCCAGAGCAATCAGGCAAGAGAAAGAAGTTAAAGCATCCAAATAGGAAGACAGGAAGTCAAACTATCTCTGTTTGCAGATAACATGATTTTATACCTAGAAAACCCCATAGTCTCTGCCTAAAAGCTCCTAGATCTAATAAACAACTTCAGCAAAGTTTCAGGATACAACATCAAGGTACATAAATCAGCAGTATTTCTATACACCAACAATATCCAAGCTGAGTGCCAAATCAAGAATGCAATTTAATTCACAATAGACACATACACACACAAAAATACCAAGGAATAAAGGGAACCAGGGAGGTGAAAGATCTCTACAACAAGAAAACAATAATTACAAAGCACTGCTGAAAGAAATCAGAGCTGACCCAAACAAATGGAAAAACATTCCATGCTCAAGAATAGGAAGAATCAATATTGTTAAAATTGCCATATACTATCAAAAGCAATCCCCAGATTCAGTGTTATTCCTATCAAACTACCAATGTCATTTTTCACAGAATTAGAAAAAAAAACCTATTCTAAAATTTATAAAGAACTCAGAAAGAGCACAAATCACCAAAGCAATCCTAAGCAAAAAGAACAAAGCAGGAGGCATCACACTACCTCACTTCAAACTATACTATAAGGCTACAGTAACCAAAACAGCATGGTGTTTGTACAAAAACAGACACATAGACCATTAGAACAGGATAAAGAACCCAGAAATAAAGCCACACATCTACAGCTAACTGATCTTTGACAAAGGTGACAAAAATAAGCAATAGGAAAAGGACTTCCTATTCAATAAATGATTCTAGGATAACTGGCTATGTAGATGCCAGAATGAAACTGGACCCCTACTTATCACCATATACAAAAAGTAACTCAAGAGGGATTAAAGACTTAAATGTAAGACCTCGAACTATAAAAACTCCCGGCACTTTGGGAGACCAAGGCAGGTGGATCGCCTGAGCTCAGGAGTTCAAGACCAGCCTGGGCAACATGGTGAAACTCCGTGTTTACCAAAAAAAATACGAAGAATTAGCTGGGCGTTGTGGCACATGTGCCTGTGGTCCCAGCTATTCAGAAGGCTGAGGTGGGAAGATTGTTTGAGCCTGGGAGGTGGAGATTGCAGTGAGTCAAAATCTCACCACTGCACTCCAGCCTAAGGGACAGAATGAGACCCCACTCAAAAAAGAAAAAAAAATTCTGGAACTAGAGAGTGTTAAGAATGTCCTAAATGTCAGTGAATGATACACTTTAAAGAGCTTAATCTTACATAAATTTTTCCTCAATTTAGAAACTTTTTCAAATTCTTGAAAAAAAAAACTATGCAACATTTAAATATATACATAAACATAAATATATACTATAAACATTTATAGCATACATATGTAATCTCTCTGCCATTTTGGGCTACCTTACAAATAAGGCAGAAGCAAACACATAAAAATTAAATATACATATATATATACATATACACACACACATAAATATGCATATTTATAAATTTAGAAATAGAGAACATAGCTGACTATTCAAGGAAATATATATTTATGAGCATATAAATATATAGGTAACATACATAAATATATTTAATATAGAAATTTACACATATGTATGTAGCACTCTGCCACTCTGGCATACTTCGCTCATACAGGTGTCCTAAAGCAGCCTCCATACTTATTTTAAGTTTGGCCTAATGAGTTCTGTATACATAGCTAGTTGTAACCTAACTTAATGTGTAAAAATAACTGTAACTTAACCCAAGACTATAGTCTTATAACATGTAACTATGTCTTAGCCAATGAAAACAGCTGAGCCTTCAGCCAATCAGAGGCTGAAAGCTGCCAAAACATGACTATATGAGGTAAATGCCAACAGCAGCCAATCAGGCTGTTTCTGTGCACTTCTTTTTCTCTAGCTGTAAATGTAACCTGCACAAATGGTGGCATGGAGTGTTCTGAGCCATTTTTGGTGCAAACTGCTGCCTGATTCCTAAACGGTTTCTTTGCTCAAATAAACTCTGCTAAATTTAGCATATGTAAAGGTTTTTTTTAACAGATTAGTGTAGGAAATGCAATCTGAAGTAGAACGTCCATCAAACCCCAGAAGCATGGAGTGCCCAAGCACAGCGACCCACCAGGTCCATTGTGCACACAGATCTCTCACAGCAGCAGGGGTCCTGGGCAAGTTCTCTCTCAAATTTTGAAGCTCCAAGGATTTGTGTTTTGAGCTATGCATTTGTTTACCTTTGTAAGGGTTTTTATTTTTATTTTTTTATCCAGACTGGGTTTCGAAGTTGATTCTGAAATAATAAATAAAAGCTAAGTTTCATTTATTTATTTTATTTTATTTATTTAGTTTAAAGTAAATTTGTTGTAATTTTGTCTTTTGAGAGTTCTGGCAAGCTGGATGGGATCCACCTCCCAAGACCCCTTGAGGAATTCAGGAAAGACACTGCTGGCCCCTTTGCCCTCCTTCTGAGGTTGTACATTCCTCTTAGGCCAGACTCTGCTGTTTTTGCATTGAACCTTGATCCTTTTGGGTTTCGAATCCAGGGTTTTGTGCTATGAGAGGGCAAATAACCTTGGGGTGGGTGCCAGTGGCCAGTTTGTGCTGTGAGATGACATATGGCCTTTTGAGGTTTGGGTAGCTGATGAGTCATTGGTAAAAACTTGACTCAGTCCAGCATCAAATTGGATTTGATTGGTGAACTGTATTGGATCGACGTAAGAGGTCACTCAGTCTGATGATCAGATGGCAACTGGACTGGGTTCAGTAGATAGATAAGTTTGGCCTCCCTAAAGATAACCTAGAATTACAGTGGTGACAGTGGGGAAACACTTACAAAGGTAAACAGGTGCATGTCCTCCCAGTTACAACAACTGCAGGGATTGGGAGTACTTCTACTTGTGCATGCAAACTAAACACCCCTGTGCCCTAAGATGTCTGCCTTTTTTGCAAATAGCCAGGCCACTGGAAAAAGAATAGTCCACTTTTACAGCAGCCATCTCACGGGTCATCCCTTTGGCCTGGACTCTTTCCCCCCTAAGGGAAGCCCCCAAAGGCGTCGCTCTTGGGACAACTATGAACTAATCTAATTAGCCCTCCCTGTTCTTTCTCTCTCTCTCTCTTTGATCCTGCTTCTCCCATGGGAACCCCTCAGTTGACTGAAACCACTCTTTTCAAACGCTTGCTGCCACTTCTTTCTTATTGTCATGAACTTTGCTATGTCCCCAAAGTCTTACTAAGGGAAAATAAGCCTTTCTGACTTAATTTCCTGGTTGAGAAGAGAAGGGTGGCCAGTAGCCAGGCTAGTGATAGAATTAATTAAATATGCTACCGAATTGATTAATTCCTACAGTGTTAAAAGAGAAGCACTAACAACGCCAGTGACCATGTAACACGGATTTAAGCTACAAGTCATAGAACTGTGATGAGAAGCCTCAGCGCTGTAAAACAGAGGGTGGAGGAAAGCTTTTCCTCTCTCAAATGAGCTTTGCCGGGTATACTTCTTGAAGAATAGGAAGTTGAAGTGTTCAGGACTTTTATGTCTATTCTACTTTGGCTTAGTTTACATAATTCTTAGTTTATTAGCCTAGAAATGGCCAAGAAAACTTAAGGCTCAATAATTAGTTATAAATATGAAATATCCCCAATTTTTCAGATAAAAACAACTTATAAATGTATTTGTCTGTAAAAATTGTCTATATTTTTACAGAACATCTATTTCTTTCTTTTTTAAATTTTTATATATATATTTTTTTTTATTATACTTTAAGTTCTAGGGTACACATGCACAATGTGCAGGTTTGTTGCATATGTATACATGTGCCATGTTGGTGTTCTGCACCCATTAACTCATCATTCATATTAGGCATATCTCCAAAATCGATCGCTCCCCCCTCCCCCCACCCCACAACTGGCCCCGGTGTGTGATGTTCCTCTTCCTGAGTCCAAGTGTTCTCATTGTTCAATTCCCACCTACGAGTGAGAACATGTGGTGTTTGGTTTTTTGTCCTTGCGGTAGTTTGCTGAGAATGATGGTTTCCAGCTTCATCCATGTCCCTACAAAGGACATGAACTCATCATTTTTTATGGATGCATAGTATTCCATGGTGTATATGTGCCACATTTTCTTCATCCAGTCTATCATTTTTGGACATTTGGGTTGGTTCCAAGTCTTTGCTATTGTGAATAGTGCCACAATAAACATACGTGTGCATGTGTCTTTATAGCAGCATGATTTATAGTCCTTTGGGTATATACCCAGTAGTGGGATGGCTGGGTCAAATGGTATTTCTAGTTCTAGATCCCTGAGGAATCGCCACACTGACTTCCACAATGGTTGAACTAGTTTACAGTCCCACCAACAGTGTGAAAGTGTTCCTATTTCTCCACATCCTCTCCAGCACCTGTTGTTTCCTGACTTTTTAATGATCGCCATTCTAACTGGTGTGAGATGGTATCTCATTGTGGTTTTGATTTGCATTTCTCTGATGGGTCTATTTCTTTAAAACAAAGGGAGGGGAGTCTCTCATTTACATTAGTTTTTTTCATAGCCTTTTGGACTTTGCAATTTCTATGTTTTGGAACCTATTTCTTACAGTTTTTCTATGCTAAACTCTGTCCTGGTCAGTTCCAGAGTGTATGAAGAACCAAATGGTGTAATTGTATGCCACCTGGCTGTAGTGGAACAAGTTTGACTCTTAAGTATGCAGGCTCTAATTTTCCTGTCTGGTTTCGGTAAGTATTCCTTACATAGGTTTTTTCTTTGAAAATCTGGGTTTGAGAGGTTGATGAATGAAAATTAATCCTTTCACTTTGTTGTATATAGGTTTGCAATAATTAGGTCAGAGTGGAGTTTTAAGGTCACGAAGGGGGCTGATGACTTACAACTAATGGGCTCTGATTGGGCAACTACTCATCTGAGTTCCTTCCATTTGACCTAATTAAGCTTGTGAAATATACACTAAGCCATGAGCTCATCTTTAAAAAGTTTTATTAAAAGATTTTCAGCTGTTCCAAATGGGACTTATTAGTGGAATGTGTTTTAAAGGATCATATCAGATGAATGAAAGGTATTTGATCCTTTCTTTCCTTAATAATAAAATGATGGTTTGGAAAAATAGGCTACAGTCTAACCACAGTGCTATTATTAGGCTTTCTTGTTAAACATAGGTCTAAGCCTAAGTATGTCAATACAACCAATACTTACTGTTTCATTTCTAGTAATGAAAAAAAAAAGAAGTCTTTCTGGCATAAGGATGATTTTCATCTGGTTATTTTGAAACATTTTTGTAAAATAAGTTTACATCTATAAAGAACATTTTTATTTGTAAGGAGGGGTATGTCTCTGTGCACTGGAAGAGAGGGAGGACTAAATCACTGGGAAGTCTTATGATAAAGAAGCCATTGGCTTAAATCTGCAAAGCAAGCCATCCCTTGGTTTAAGGTGTTTTTCCTGGCCATCCTGTCTTGACTAGAACTTTACCTACACCTTCCTTTTTAGTTTAGGCAATTATAGTATCTAAACCTGAAGTCTCAGCTCTGTGTCTTTGAGATATAAATGTTCTACCATGTCTTCTCTGGAACCTGATAACTATCTATCTCTTTAAAATGCAAGTCTAGGGAGATGACTCATCAGAAAAAGAAGAAAAAAGAGGTATTTGGAAATTGTGCAAATTAAAGCAGCCCCTGATGCCAAAGTCTACACATTCCTGAGTGAGTCAGTTCTGGCCAGTTCTAGCTGGATCAAGAGAGCTCTGCTGGGCAGGCCTGAAGAGCAGCTGGATGGCAGACACCTGAGGAGCCAGGTGCCTGAAACTTCCTCCACCTTCTTGAGGAGCACCAAAGCCCAGGTGCTGGCTGGACAACCCCTTCTGGCTGCCTAAGCAGGTGGCAGAAGAAGGAAACAAGGTCAGAGGCAGAGTATTGAACCCTGCCTCCCAGGTGGGTGGAAGATGCCTGTCGCCAAACTAGGGCCCAGCTTGCCGGGTGAGGTGGGTGAACTGGTGATCCCCTGAGAGAGTGGACGTCAGAACTTCATGGTCCCAGACTTCACCTTGGCCAGCGAAGGAGAGAGAGTGTTAATGTTAACTGCAGGAGGCCCACTCTAGCCTTAAATTCTGTAATTCAAACCATTCCCTTGGAGACAAAACAAACATGACAAGGAATTCTGAGGTCAGGGGACAAGAATAGCAAGTTCCCTAGTGGGAGACTGAGGAGGCAGTGTCCTTTCTGCCCTTGGTCTACTGGCTAAGAACCTTCCTCAGCCTGACCTTTCCACGTTGCACTTTCAGCTCTGTTTGCAATTTTCCTCCTTTAGTGCTGAGGGAATCCCAGTGTTCGATTCTGAAATCTATACGTTCCTAATGGGTGGTTAAAAAAAACCTCAGCAAGAGAAGCAGAAAATGTTTCCTCTTCCTGAAAACTGTAGAAAGGCAGGCACCATTCTGGGTGGGACATGGTCCTTGCAAAAGTCTTTATTTATTTTTTTTCTTTTGAGATGAAGTTTTGCTCTTGTTGCCCAGACTGGAGTGCAGTGGTGTGATCTCTGCTCACTGCAACCTCTGCCTCCTGGGTTCAAGCAATTCTCCTACCTCAGCCTCCCAAGTAGCTGGAATTACAGGCACCTGCCACCACACCTGGCTAATTTTTTGTATTTGTAGTAGAGATGGAGTTTTGCCATGTTGGCCATGTTGGTCTCCAACTCCTGACCTCAAGTGAGCCACCCACTTCTGCCTCCCAAAGTGCTGGGATTATAGGCATGAGTCACTGTGCCCGGCCAAGATTCTGTTTTGATAGAACACTTGTGTCTCTCTCACCTTGTATTTAGGAAAGTTAGAAAGTAAAGGATAATGTATATAGAAAGCTTTTTGAAGACTCTTAAGAAGTTCATAAATATGGGGCACTATGACTATGCATATGAAAATATTTCCTGTCAGTTGGCAGTTACCACCTCTTATAGTGGCATGGAACCTCTTGAGTTAAACCAAGGCTCAGTGAGATTTGGTGATTTAGGTAGTGTCATTTTATGAACAAGGAGGACCCTACTCAGGTCTTTTATTTTATTATACTTCTCTTTGACATTCACTCCAGTTAAAGAACTCTTTCAAAAGACCTCATGACTGGTCTCACAGAGATTCAAAGGTGTTTGAGTCCTTCCTTATTATGCCCTTGGAAGATGCTTTGAGGACCCCAGTGATGAATCCCAAGTACTCTGTCTCCATTATCCCTGGTATAGGGCACCTCATCACTCTGGTGTTATCCCTGAAGGGCCTTCATAATAATGTGCTTAAAGAGTCCCCTATTATGTCCTTCAGGATGGAGCTTGACTTGCCCAAATTGCTATGTACATGTTAAAGAGAGGCTGGAACTGAAGTTGGTCATTTCTCACTGGATCAGTCAACAAGATTTGAGTACTTTCTGTGTGCTCTGCATCATTCTGAGTACTCTGGGGGACAGAATAAGGCATGGCTCCTGCCTTCAAGGAGTATGGAATTTAATAGAAGATGACAACATACATGATCATAAATCTATCTACATGAGAGTGCCTAATTGTGAGATTCCTAATAAACGGCAAGATATGTTCTGAAAATGTGAAACATAAATGAGGTTGAAGAAATTGTGAAAAGTTTAGCAGAGGAGGAATAATTCATCAGGTTCTTTAAATACAAGTAAAGGGGAAAGGAAGGACCATTTTTAAGTTTAGATATTCCAAGGGTTAGTGGTGAGGTTGATTATGGTATGTCTTCTCGTTGATGAGGGAGGAGACTGGCGAATAGTGGAAAATAAAGTTAAATAGCTAGGGTGGGGCCAAATTATGGGTTTTAATAAAAGCCAGGCATTGAAATTTAGATTGGGGTGGTAGAAAAAGGAAGGCTTTAAAAGTTTTTGAGCCAATGAATGACATCATACAAGTTCTATATAAACAGCAGTGATTTCAGGATGGGAGAGAATGGCATCAGGAAGACCCACTTGAATGCTGGTAAGTAATGTTACTAACAGTGCCATTAGTAACATTAATGTTACTAGGGCCTGGACTGATATGCTGATGGAAGTGAGAATGAAGAATAAGATGGGATGAAAGAGATTTTGACAAGAGTTTTTTAATGAACCTGAAACGGGAAAGGGCGAGAGTAACTAACCTGCTTGCCATGGACAGCAACGGGGTTGCTAGAAGATTAGCTGTGCGGAAAAAGTTATGCATTTACCTTTGGGCATAATGAAATGCAATTGACTCTCCATATTCATGGGTTCTGCATCCACTGATTCAAACAACTGTGGAACAAAATTGTCAGAAAAAATAATACAATGATAAAAAATGATACAAATAAAAAACAACATGGTATACCAACTATTTACATAGCATTTACATCGTATTAAGTGTTATTAAGTAATCTAGAGATGATTTAAAGTATATAGGAGGATGTGTGTAGGTTACATGCAAATACTACACTATTTTATACCAGTAACTTGAGCATCTATGGATTTTGGTATACAAGGGGGATCCTGGAACCAATTCCCCATGCATATCAAAGGATGACTGTATGAGTTATCTGTAAAATGGTTTGGTTGAAATGTTTAGAAAACAGCTAGAAATACAAGACTGGCTGTTGGATGAAAAAAACATAGGACTAGGAAATTCAGGTATGCTAGTCTATTTGAGTATTGCTTAAAGCCATGGGAAAAGAGCTTCTGTGAGTTCCAAGGCAGATACAAGGACTGGCATTCATGCACAGCTTCTAACAGATAAATCTGAAGAGTTCTTAGTATGCATGTTGACTGAAATTACTTTAGAAGTAATTTTTCTCCTGGTGATAAAAGGCATGTAAGGCTATTTTAGGAAATTGAAAAATGCAAAAAGGTATAAAGAAAAAGAAAAGATAATCATTAATAGTACGTTAGCAAACAAGATTTGACTAAAGATATGACTTTCCTCCCGCTTGTTTTCTTATGCATATAAAGGGATAGGAAATATGTATGTATGTATGTGTGTGTATAGGATCATGCACTATATATAGCTTGCTTCTTTTTCCATCATGATAATTTTCCCATGTCATGAATTACGGCTTGCAAGTGCTTATTCTTAAAGGGCTGCATTATTTTTCATTATTTGGATTTATTGTTATTTAATTGGAGCTCTATTATTGAACATTTAGATTGCTTCCAAAATTTTTTGCTCTTGTTAATATATTGTAATAAACTTCTGTGAAACACATACTCTTCACCTGCTACTTACATATGACTTCTGTAAGCAGAGACCTCTGTATCCCCAGGACCTAGAAGGTTACCTGGACATAGTAGTTGCTTAATTAAAAAAAATTATTGATTGAATGAAAGAAGACTATTAAATGTTCAGTTCTTCTTTTTTTATTCCGATTCCCTGTGTATCCAGGGGCCTCTTATTTGGCTGCATGTATGAGTTTGGCTGTAGTGAAAGTATATGACCATAAACAGGCATTCCTATTTCTGTCACAGTTATATTTGTCATTCTGTACTAATACATCTATATCCTGATTTCTATTGAAGCATGGTTATTTTTGTTTGCTTCTAAGCAATGTAGCTACCCTATTGATGATGATAAAAATAAATTTCTGAGCCTATAAGACTGAGGATTGGGCCTAGGTTTTGGTAAATTGGCAAGATAATGGATGCTACCCTGTCAAGAGCCCTCTGAAGAGAAAAGTCTGCCAACCTTCACCAGGTAGAAACTCCTGGCAGTGCCACATTTTCCAGTTTGATGCCCTGTGATACCCTGAAAAGACAGATGTTTTACTCTTTTCAAATAATATTTTAACATGTTTTAAGACGCAAAGGCATTGTGTCGGACTTTTTTCTTAAGAATATATTTCATTACCACTCAGAAGTTAGCTTCCAAAAGAAATAAGTGTGTGCAAATGTTTATGATAGTGGTGTAGAGAAGTTTTTAAAATAAATGTGCATCTTTTATGGTAATAAAAGCACATTATGAAGAATTTTTTAGGTCCAGTTCACAGATTCCTTGTGCCTGGGGAAAACTTTATTAGAAAATTAGATAATTTCTAATTTGATTAGGGGAAGTCTAATGGAAAAACTTTTTAACTGAGCGGTCCAATTCAAAACATGAATATCTGTGCTGGAAGCTTCTATTGAACTTTACTTAAGTCACATCTAAGACCCTCTGCCTGTCAGTCCACCATTACCCTAACAGTGGTAGAAATTCTTTATATGACACCCAGATCTTTTTTTGTTGCACTTTTAAGCTGTGTAGGAAACACACTGCCCACATGTTCATACAACACAGAGTGATTATCCACTTAGTTCCTAAAAAGTTGTATTTGGTTATGGGGTTTGATCCCACTTGTCCAGGGTTTAGGTCAGCTACTGAAGATTAGGATATCTGGGTACCTCTTACTGGAGAATCCATTCCTGTTTTCATTTCATTCCTGGGGGCAATATTCAATCTGGTGTGGCCCTCTGTATTATAAAATGTTTCCCAGATTGTGTTTATCTGAAATACAAATCCAAGAAGAAGCATGGTGTTAATTGCCGTGTAAAAAAAATTCCAGAGTCAAGAGCTTGAGAAGTTCTATTCCTTCCTTCATAGGTTCAGTTGTTTAACCCAGCATTTTTCAAACATATTTTACTCCTAGAACCTGTTTTTCCTCAGACATATTTCAGAAAAAAGCGTTTTGTAGAACACATTTGGACAAATGATACTTTATATCATTGCTTTGTTTTTTAAATTTTAGTTTGACTCAATTTTACAGTTTCAGGATTTTGTTTCTGTTTCACGTTTTAAGCTTTTCTTTTATAAATAGTTACTTTCCTAGTCTGAAATCTATACATTGTTTCAGTAATGAATTCATTATGTAAATTTGCCCATCATTCATCTAAAGGGAATAAACGTTAAATTGTTTTTTTAAATTTTGACTTGTGTCACATATGAGAATATAAAGTATATCTGTACAATAAAGGAAAATGAAACATCAAAGTATCTACCTCAGGTTAAGAAGCAGAACTTGGCCGGGCATGGTGGCTCACACCTGTAATCCCAGCACTTTGGGAGGCAGAAGTGGGAATATCACTTGAAGCCAGGAGTTGGAGACCAGCTTGTTCAATAAAGGAAGACCTCATCTCTAACAACAACCACAGCAGCAAAAAATTAGCCAGGCACGGTGGCACATGCTTATAGTCCCAGCTACTGGTGTAGCCTCGAACTCCTGGTCTCAAGCCATCTTCCCACCTCAGCCTCATGTTCTAGTGAACTTTGTTATGCAGTGTCTCCTATTCTACATGTGCAGGAGTATTTTTACAGTATGTACCTGGAGTGGAATTGCTTGGTCATTGGGCATGTGTGTGTTCAGCTCTATTGAGTGGCATCAAACTGTTCTCCAAAGCAGTTGTACCAATCTACACCCTCACCAGCAGTGAATAGTCTTCCCATTGTTCTTCCTCAATGAAACTAGATATTCACAGCCTTTTAGGTTTTTCCTAGAGTATGAAGTGGTATCTCTTTGGGGTTTTAATGTTTATTTCCCTGATTAGAATTGTAGTCGAGCATCTTTTATTATGTTTATGGGCCATTTATGTTTTCTCTTCTGTGAAATTCCTATTCGGGTTTTTTGCTCATTTTAAATGTTGTTGTTTGTGTTTTTCTTATATAGGAATTCTTCATGCATTCAAGATGCACGTATGTTGTTCAGAATAGTACCTGAGACATAGAAACAACTTTGTAAGAGTAGCTATCATTATATTACCATTGTATTTAATCCTTTGTTTTTATGTGTTAACAATTATCTTCTGCTAGTTTGTGGCTTATTTTTCATTCTGTGATGCTAATTTTTTAACCTAGTATTCTATTATTTTAAAAATACACAATCTTGAGTAGTCTATATATTCATAACCATGACATATTCATGTTGCGTATGTTCTGTGTCATAACCCAGAACTTTCTTTTTTTTTTTTTTTTTTGAGATGGAGTTTTGCTTTTGTCACCCAGGCTGCAGTGCAATGGCGTGATCTTGGCTCACTGCAACCTTTGCCTCCTGGGTTCAAGTGATTCTCCTGCCTCAGCCTCCCGAGTAGCTGGGATTACAGGCACCTGCCACCATGCCCAGCTAATTTTTGTATTTTTAGTAATGACGTTGTTTCTCCATGTTGGCCAGGCTGGTCTCGAAATCCTGACCTCAGGTTATCCACCACCTTGGCCTCCCAAAGTGTTGAGATTACAGGCATGAGCAGCTGCACCCGGCCAACTTTCAGTCTTAAGTACCATTTTTTGCTGCTGTTTCTTTTTTTGAACCCCAGGAAAAAATTAACTCATTACCCCTATTCAAACTGCTACAATTTTATTTTCAGTGTTGTCGCCTGGTTGTAGATGCATTGTGATTATTTCGAAGACAAAACATTTTTGGCATTGTGAGATATATATGTATATATGTATGTATATATATGTATATAATATATATTGTATAAATATTTATTTATATTTTAAATGTCATATAAAAATTTTATATATATATATATATATATATAAAGGCCACTTATCCCTAATATAGGGACTCGATTAGTTTCTGCTAGTGTGGAGACAAGTCATATCATGGCTAGGGGTCATGATGGTAGGAGCAGTCAGAGGATTTCTTGCATTGTGATGAGTGCATATAAGTTAAATGAGCCACTTATCAGTAGATTTGATAGCAGGATAACAGTTATATCACTGATACCTAGGCAGTACATGACACTCGGTAAAGAATAGATTAATCCTCATGCTCTTCATCTTCCTCCTAATCTCTTTACCTGTGCTGCCCTCCAGCTTTCAAAGTGCTCTGAGTCACCACTTACACTGTGTTCCTTAGCTGCCCCTTCAGTGGGCCAGTGTTTCTGTGCCCCAGTGTTCCTGAGAGTTAGAACACAGAAAACAGAGCAAGCTCTTGTCCACATCACAGAACATCTTTGTCTCCCTGTGGATCCCACACATTTGTTCATTAGAGCTCAGGAATTGCCAGAGACTGGCTTTTCTGGCAATGGACACTAGATTCTTCAGAGGAATATTGGTTGAAATCTTCCTGCTGTGACAGTTCCCTGCATGCAGGGCAGGAATATGTGCTTCTTCCCAGCAAAGGCAGAGGCAGGGCCTACAGAAACTGTGCCCGCAGCCTATAGTGATGGGGTCTATGAGGTAATTCAGGCAGATGAGGCAGGCGAGTTCTTTCTGGAAGGCTTGTGGGAAGTCTAAGTCCATTTTTCTGAGGGAAGGAAATCAGAAGAATTTATTCTTATGCCATAGAGAGACAAAGATCTACGCAAAGTTTGAATCAGGTTTTGAGTAGGATCTGCTCACAGGTTTAAATCTATAGCAGGATATGATTTTATTTTGCACATAACAAAAATGAAAAACTGAGGCACAGAATTCAAGCTTTGCAGAAAAATGTGTTGGCTCCCTAACCAACACACACACACATCTACTTTCCCAAATTCTTTCCTCCTGTATGAAAAAAACTTAAGGCTGGGCTCAGTGGCTCATGCTTGTAATCCAGCACTTTGGGAGGCTGAGGCAGCAGGATTGCTTGATCCAAGGAGTCCAAGACCAGCCTGGGCAAGATGATGAGACCCTGTCTCTACAAAAAGAAAAGGAGGAAAAAATTAGCTGAGCATGCCAATAGTCCCAGCTACTAGGGAGGCTGAGGTGAGAGGATTGCTTGAGCCCAGAAGGTCAAGGCGGCAGTGAGCCATAATCCAGCCACTACACTCTAGCCTGAATGACAGAGCAAGACTCTGTCTCAAAAATGAACAAAGAAAGAAAAGAAAGAAAGAGAGAGAGAGAGAGGGAGGGAAGGAGGAAGGAAGGAAGGAAGGAAGGAAGGAAGGAAGGAAGGAAGAAAAGGAAGGAAGGAAGTTTACAGAGTTTTTTGAGGTGTTAGTGTTCCCTAAATTGTATGGTCTTCAGAGGTTTACCCTCCTATAGCTTCAAGGGGTGAGTCCTGACTGGTAGGAAAATCAATCACACTCTTACTTGCCAGTGATTCATTTAGGGAAGACAGCTAACTAAGCTCTTCCACTTTGATTATTTCATTTAATTGTAACAACCATCTTATCATGACTTCTTCAAAATTACCCTGCCAGTAAGTGTTGGAGGACTCCCCAGAAGCAGAAACCACCATGCTTCCTGTATAGCCTACGGAACCGTGAGCCAACTAAAGGTGTTTCTCAGGTATTTCTTTATATCTTTGGCCAAAATTAAAGAGTTAGGCTTTACTCTCCAAGATACTGCAACAGATAAAAACGAGCCACCACTGTTTTCTAATGTTGTTTTCTTGTTAATTCAATCAACAAGTATTTTCTGGTAAGTTTAGTGTTCCAGAGACTGTTAACCTGGTGATGCACCGGTTAATGAAACATCCTTAAGAGAAATAAAAGTTGAAAAATAAGCCAGATGATAAAATGCAGTAGTGTACACAATGCCACTTATCCGCATGTCTTCTGTCTGTCACCCATGATCCGGAAAATGTCTTTAGTATAAGCCATTGATAAAGATGCCTGAAAAATGTATGTATAGAAGACATAGTCACAAAATTACTTTTTTCCTTTGATATCCCTTGTTACCTCAAACAGAATTTACCACTCCAATTCGATTTCTGAATACATGGGAGTTAATAGAATACTCCTAATCCATTTATAGGATCTGCACTAAGTACAAAAATTAAAGACATCTGAAAACTATTTGGTGAGTCCTTATAATCCATATCAATAATTATGGAATATATTAAGTAATAGACCAAAAATTAATCATCATATTAACCAAAAACACATAGCAAGACAAGATAACTAAATATTTTCATTTGGAAATTGGGAAATTTAGTCAATTTTAAAACTCAGCAAATGAGATCATTTCACAGAAGCAACCTAGGTTTGCTGGTAAATTAAAATTATGACATTTTGTTTTGGTTTGGGAGGGTAGTTCCTCTTCTGTAAATTGTGTACTCACATAAGAAATATATCTATGTTCTCACGGACACTTACTGTAGAGGTAATAATATGAAGTTAGCTCAGGGATCAGGGCCTCACAGTGCAGTGCTGGTAGCTTTTTTTTTTTTTTTTTTTTTTTTTTTTTTTTGCCCTGCACCTTGAGTAAAAGTTTCCTGAGGCCTCCCCGGAAGCAGAAACCACCATGCTTCCTGTATAGCCTATGGAACCGTGAGCCAACTAAAGGTACTTCTCATGTATTTCTTTATAGCAATGCAAGAACATACTAATACAGCTAAGCAGAGGCCATCAGGACCAGCAACAGTCTGAGCTGGATGAGAGACAAAGCTAAACTTTGAGCAGCAGCAGGAGCTGCCAGGGAGACAGAAAGGAAGGACAGACTCCTAAATTCCAGGATGTCTCCTTTAAGTCTGTAAGAAGCTCAGCCACCGTCTCCTTACCTGACTCCTTTGGGAAAGAGTTTCCCTAGGTTAAGCCATACAGGGATAGGGTAGGAGATGCCATTTGGATCTAGGAGCAGAGGGCAGAGACTCAGCAGGAAGAGTGTCTCTTTGAGAAGGAGACACAGTGGAACAGCTGTGTAGGTTCACAGGGCCAGCTGTGGGTAGAGTTGAGTGTACATTTTTAGAAGCCACAATTCCCAAAAATCTCCTGACTATAACATCAGTGCACGGAGCCAGTCAAATGGAGGAGGAGTGGGTCCAGGCAATTCAGGAAGAAGGAAAGTAACAAATGAGTGGTTGCAGGAGGACACCCTTTCTGTCGAGGTCACTAAACAAAACATTGTCTCCTCCCCTTAACTTCGGAAACAAGCAATGGAGGGTAAAAGTGTTGCCTGGGCCCTGGGGGCAAAGGCAGTAGATAACTTCTCTGTCGTGTTCTCCAGAAGGGCCCATTCCAGCCTCACAGGCCGAGAAGTCTGTTCGGTTCCCAAGTACTAGAGATGCTGCTATAAGGGACTCCCGAATTTCCTTCCTGAACCAGAGGCTGCCCAGCCTTTTCTTCCTGTTTTATTTTTTCCCAGGAAGAAACTTGCCTGTACAATTACAAGGTTCTACGGTTCTAAATTCCATTCTAGTCTTCCACATCATTTTGAAGGTATAATATTATTTGTCAAAGTGGGATGATAGAAGATATGTGTGGACTTAAAATTAAATTGTTGACAAGGAAAAAAACTAAAATAAGAAAATAAGAGAGAAAAAATATATGCATGTACAGTGGTTAGCTAGAAATATGCCTTTTAAATATTTGGCATGTGGTATGTGGGCCTCAATGTGTACTATTGCACTAGCTTCCCAAATATTAAAGGATGTCTTTTAAAAGAAAAACCTCTTGCTAAAAGGTTAACAGTTAAAATAACCAGAGTGGCACAGGTACCAGTCATTAAGTGAAACCTTTCATCTTCCCAGAATAGTACCTGTTCCCAAGCCAGCTTCTTTGAAAATCACTTTTCTCTCCTTTACTATTTAGTTTACAGATTGTATAGTAACAATATAGAAACCACAATAGTAGCAAAAAAAATAAAGAATATTTTTAAATGAAAACTCACATCCTAACTCTAACAAAACATGAAAATTAAACCTGAATGCCTCCCATTCCTGATATATTTTTCACCTAAATATTCAGCTCTGGGATTGCATTGTTTTTGGATTGAGTGGAAATTATTGCCTGGTCTTGAAATCTTCCACAATGTGTGTGTGTGTGCGTGTGTGCATGTGTGCGTGTGTGTGTATGTGTGTATGTGTGGTGAATATATTTCTTTTTGTTCAGAGGAAACATTTTTTCAATATGTATATTTATTTTAGGCAGATTATGCTAGTAATTTTCTACAAATGTGCTTTTTAAAAAATAACCTTTAATTTAAAAAAAATTATTCTTTCTCAGTGGCCCACAATTGTTAAAAATGCTACTAATGGAGCTGGGTATGGTGACACACATCTGTCATCCCAGCTACTTGGGAGACTGAGGCAGGGATATTGCTTAAACTTGGGAATGTGAAACCAGCCTGGGCAACATAGTGAGATCCCAATCTCAAAACTCAATCATTAAAAAATAAAATAAAATAAAACACTACTAATAGCTTTTTAAAAAATAGTTCTTAACCAATTTTCCTAGCACCTTCCTTTCCTCAGTGAAGTATAGAAATATGTGGTCAGGCACTGTGGCTCACACCTATAATCCCAATAATTTGGGAAGCCAAGGCATGAGGATCAGTTCATTCCAGGAGTTCAAGACTAGCCAGGGTGACATAATGAGACTTGGTCTCTAACAAAAATTTTTTTTTCTTTAATTACCAGGGCATGATGGTGCATGCTTGTAGCCCAGCTACTTGGAGGCTGAGGTAGGAGAATCACTTGAGCCCAGGAGGTCAAGGCTGCAGTGAGCCATGGTTGCACCACTGCACTCCATACCTGGGTGACAGAGTGAGACACAGTATCAAAAACAAACAAACAACAACAAAAAGTATTTGTTTTAGAAAAAACATTTGGTGAGGTTTGGGCTTAAAAATATATTATTCTAAAATATTCATAAATATTCTCTAGTAATGATAAGATTAAAGTGACAAAGACAAACTTTTTTCCTGTGCAGGTCCATCTCTCGCCTTCCCGTAATTTGTCTGTCCCATCCAGCTTCCAAAGGAAATTATTTACAAAATACTGTCTGCATCCTGGGTCTATATATCTATCGCCTATGAGGAGAGCGTTTAAGATCTGAGCCATCTTCAAGTCTTATACTTTGTGTATAGCTCTCATGGTTTTGCAGGTGAAGTAAGTTTGTATACCCTTTCTTTTATGAATCTGTGTCTGGTCAGTTCATTTCGGGTAATCTTCAGAGGGTGAAAGGGGAAGCTTTGCACTTCACTCCTACTGTGACAACTAACTACCTTCTTACTTATTCAATGTTTTAGTCTATATCAACACTTTCATATACATTTACTTTTAAACACAATTTTGCATCATTACACTTAATATTTTATTTACCTTTTAAAAAGGAAATTAAAAATAAAATTAAAAATTATAAAATTTTACATAATAAAAATAAAATAAATGATTTATATACAAATTAATCTGACCTGTGAAAAACACTATCCAGAGGCCAGGCACGGTGGCTAACGCTTGTAATCCCAGCACTTTGGGAGGCCGAGGCGGGTGGATCACGAGGTCAGGCGATCTAGGCCACGATGAAACCCCTCTCTACCAAAAATACCAAAAATTAGCCGGGAGTAGTGGCGGGCGCCTGTAGTCCCAGCCACTGGGAGAGGCTGAGGCAGGAGAATGGCGTGAACCCGGGAGGCGGAGATTGCAGTGAGCCGAGATCTTGCCACTGCAATCCAGCCTGGGTGACAGAGCCAGACTCTGTCAAAAAAAAAAAAAAAAAAAAAGAAAGAAAGAAAAAGAAAAACACTATCGAGAGAATAAAAAGACAAATCACAGACTGGGAGTAAAAATTTACAAAACTATATCTGGTGAAGATACATTTGTCATCCAAAACATACAAAGAACTCTCAGGACTCAATAATAGGAAAACAAATAGTCTAACACAAATGTAGAGATCTGAACAGACATTTCACCATAGAATACAGATGGATGATACGTAAGCACATTGAAAGATGTTCAACATCATTCTTCATTAGGGAAATGTAAATTAAAACCACAATGAGATACTGCTACATGCCTATTAGAATAGCTAAAATTTAAAAGACTGACCATACTAAACACTGGTGAGAACACAAAGGAACAGGAATGCTCATACACTGCTGCTGGAAATACAGCCACTTTGTCAGTTTCTTTAAAAGTTAAACTGGCCGGGCGCGGTGGCTCACGCCTGTAATCCCAGCACTTTGGGAGGCCAAGGCGGGTGGATCACGAGGTCGGGAGATCGAGACCATCCTAGCTAACACGGTGAAACCCCGTCTCTACTAAAAATACAAAAAATTAGCCGGGCGTGGTGGCGAGCGCCTGTAGTCCCAGCTGCTCCGGAGGCTGAGGCAGGAGAATGGTGTGAACCCGGGAGGCGGAGCTTGCAGGGAGCCGAGATCGCGCCACTGCACTCCAGCCTGGGCGACAGAGCTAGACTCCGTCTCAAAAAAAAAAAAAAAGTGAAACATATCACACCACCTAGTCATTCAAATCCTGCTTATTTGCCCAAGACAAATGAAAGCTTATGTCCAAACGATTGGACAAACATTCGTAGCAACTTTATTTGAAATAGCAAAAACAACTGGAAGCAAACCAAATGTCCATCAAGAGGTCCATCAATAGATACACTAACTGTAGAATATCCATACAATAAAACTTTTTTTTTAAACTACGGGGCAAAAAACAAAAAACCAAAGATAGAATCTAACTTCTTGGTAAATACATTCACTATTAGGGTTTTTATAACAGAGAAGTCATTCTTTATTAACACTCTTTTGACTATGAAAATATTTTGACATCAAAAATCTGCAAAATATGAAGAAACAAAGGACACACAGCTTTTTCTATTTTCTATTTTTATTTTATTTTTATTTTTTTGAGAAGGAGTCTCTTTCTGTCACCCAGGCTAGAGTGCAGTGGCGCGATCTCGGCTCACTGCAAGCTGCGCCTCCCGGTTCGCGCCATTCTCCTGCCTCAGTCTCCCGAGTAGCTGGGACTACAGGCGCCCGCCACCAAGCCCGGCTAATTTTTTGTATTTTTAGTAGAGACGGGGTTTCACCATTAGCCAGGATGGTCTCAATCTCCTGACCTCGTGATCTGCCCGCCTGGGCTTCTCAAAGTGCTGGGATTACAGGCGTGAGCCACCGCCCCCGGCCCCAGGACACACAGCTTTAAAATTTCTCCTTGGTCTCACCCAGTGCCAACCACCTAAAACCTCTCATTTTCCCCCAGACATTTCTTCTGCCTCCAGGATGGAGGTAGAGAATCTTGGCCTTGGGCCACGCACTGGGGAGCATGCTGGGCTGCCGTGGTCAGTGACGGACTCAGGTTCTCACCAGGATCCCCAAAATAGGCCCCTGAAAAAAATGTTACCATCAGGGTGCGCTCCCTGATTCTTGTGTCTGCTGGAAGGAGGAAATCAAGCCAGGAACATTGTCAGGATAGAGATGAAAATGGGGCTTACTTTTCTGTCTCTTGTGATGTCAGACAAGCCTTTCAGCTCTGTCTCCTCAGCCCTCATGGAATTGTTTCGTGTGGACGCACCGAGATTCTGAACTGGGTCCCCTTTCCCTCTGCCCTTCTCTGGGGCCAGATTCTGAGCTCTCCATTCCAATTTTTCCCCCAATTTGCCCTTGCACTTATTTATCTGGATTACTGTCTGCCTGTCCCAAAGAATAAAAGCTTTATCACAGTGGGGACTTTGTTTAAAAAAAAATAATAACGGCTATATTTTTAGGATCCATGACACTGTCCAGCATATCGGTGGTATCTGATAAAAAATGTTTGTTGACTGAATGAACAAATATATTACTCACAATTCACATTATCCTGAACTGGCTAGAAAATTAAATATCTGATATCAGTATTGGCAACATTATGAAGTAAATATAATTCTGATACAGTGCTCGTGAAAGTCTAATATGAAATGCTCATTTTAGAAAACATTTTCTTGTAGATTTGAAAATGTTTCATCTCCATGAACTAGTTGTATATCTGCAAGTTGTGTATCTTTGGGTTAGGCAGAATAATTGCCCCCCACCAAAGACAGCCAAATCCCAGTCTTCAGATAAGGTGAACATTTACGTTAGCATGTTCAAAGGGACTTGGCAGATGTGATTACCATTAAGGGCATTGAAATGGGGAAATTACCTTGAATTACCTTGGTGAGTCCAATCTAATCTCATAATTCCTTGAGAGCAGAGAATATTTTCTGGATGCTGAGATTCAGACAGATGGCAGTATGAGAAAGGTGTGGCCTGCTATTACTGGCTTTTAAAACAGTGGTAGGGGGCCACAAGCCAAGGAAAGCCAGTGACCTTTAGAAGCTGAGAATGACCCAAAGTTTACAACCAGGAAGAAACTGAGGATCTATAACCACAAGGAACTGAATTCTGCCAACAACCCAGATGCTCTTTTAGAGCCTTCAGAAAGAAATGCAGCCTGCCAACATCTTGATGTTAGTTCAGTGAGAGCCATGCCAGATTTCCAACCAAAACAATTCTAAGACAATAAGTTTGTGTGTGTTTTTTAAAACTGACTCAAATCTTACAAAAATGTGTTCTTTTAAGCCACTGAATTTGTGGTAAATTGTTACAGCAGGAATAGAAAACTGATACAACCCTAGAGAAAGTCTTGTACATGTGCTCTATAAACACACAGCAGAATTTTTTTTAACTTTTTATTGAGTTAAAAAATATATATATAATTTACCATCTGTACATTTTTAGAGGACAGTTTAGTGGTGATAAATACATTTATATTTTCTTCTCTTAATCTCCTCTTCCCACTCCCCTTGCTGGCCTCTAGCAACCATCAATTTACTTTCTATCTTCATGAGATCCACTTTTTTACTGCCCACATATGAATGACAACATGTGATATTTGCCTTTCTGTGCTTGGCTCATTCCACTTATCATAATGGCCTATGTTCATTACGTTAAGCCAAATGGCCAGCGCCACCTATGTTGCTGTGAATGACAGAATTTCATTCTTTGTATCTGAGTAGTATTCCATTATGTATATATATGACTTTTAAAATCTATTGTTGATGAGCACTTACACTGATTCCATATTTTGTCTACTGTGAATAGTGCTGCAGTACACATCGGCATGTAGATATGTCTTTGATACATTAATTTCCTTTATTTTGGATATATATCCAGTAAAGAAATTGCTGGACCACATGGTAGTTCTATTTTTACTTTTTGAGGAACCTCCATACTGTTCTCCATAGTGGCTTTATTAATGTAGATTCCCACCAACAGTGTACTAGTATTTCCCTTTCTCCACATCCTTGCCAGCATCTGTTATTGCCTGTCCTTTTGAAACAAGTCATTTCAACCAAGGTGAGATGATATTGCATTGTGATTTTGATTTGCATTTCTTTGACGATTAGTGATATTGAACATTTTTTCATCTTCCTATTGGCCATTTGTATGTCTTCTTTTGAGAAAATATCTGTTCAGATCTTTTGCCCATTTTTAAATTGTATTTATTTATATAATTTTAACTATTATTTTTTTAGAAGCAAGGTCTTGCTTTGTCACCCAAGCTAAAGGGCAGTAGCATAATCATAGCTCACTGTAACCTCAAACTCCTGGGATTAAGAAATCCTCCTGACCGGGCGCGGTGGCTCATGCCTGTAATCCCAGCACTTTGGGAGGCCGAGGCGGGCGGATCACGAGGTCAGGAGATCGGGACCATCCTGGCTAACACGGTGAAACCCCGTCTCTACTAAAAATACAAAAAATTAGCCGGGCTTGGTGCCGGGCGCCTGTAGTCCCAGCTACTCAGGAGGCTGAGGCAGGAGAATGCCATGAACCCCGGGGGAGCAGAGCCTGCAGTGAGCCGAGATCGCGCCACTGCACTCCAACCTGGGCGACAGCGAGACTCCATCTCAAAAAAAAAAAAAAGAAAAGAAAAGAAAAAAGAAATCCTCCTACCTCAGCCTCTTCAGTAGCCCATTTTTCAATCAGATTTTTTGTTTGTTTATTATTGAGTTGTTTGAGCTCCTTATATATTCTACTTGTTAATCCTTTATCAGATAGATAGTTTGAAAATATTTTGTCCCATTCTGTGGTTGGCTCTTCACTTTGTTGATTGTTTCCTTTGCTTGAGGCTTTTTAGTTTGATATAATCCCATTGTCTATTTTTGCTTTTGTTGCCTGTGCTTCCGAGGTCTTACGCAAAAAAAATCTTTGCCCAGACTAATGTCCTGGAGCATTTCTCCTATGCTTTCTTTTTTTTCTTTTTTTTTTTTTTTCACGCCATTCTCTTGCCTCAGCCTCCCGAGTAGCTGGGACTACAGGCGCCCACCATCATGCCCCGCTAATTTTTTTTTTTTGTATTTTTAGTAGAGACAGAGTTTCACCGTGTTAGCCAGGGTGGTCTCGATCTCCTGAACTTGTGATCCGCCCGCCTTGACCTCCCAAAGTGCTGAGATTACAGACGTGAGCCACCGCGCCCGGCCTTTCCTATGCTTTTTTTTTTTTTACTAGCTTCATAGTTTCAGGTTTCAGATTCAAGTCTTTAATCCATTTTTATTTGATTTGATTTTTGTGTATGGTAAGATGGGTTTAATTTTATCCTTCTGCATATAGTTATTCAGTTTTCCCAGGATCATTTATTGAAAAGACTGTTGTTTTCCCAGTGTATGTTCTTGATGCCTTTGTCAGAGATGAGTTGTTTGTAAATGTGTAGATTTGTCTGCGATCTCTATTCTGTTCCACTGTCCTATGTGTCTGTTTTTATGCCAGTAGAAATATATTGGCAATAATTAGTACAGAAAAGCTGAAACAATGAAATGACAAAAGTGAAGTATACTGATATAATTCATTATGCTCACTAAATACAATAGCATACAGCTAGGAAAACAATGTAGTGCACACGGTATTAAAATACAACACAATTCAATATACACAGTGCTCACAGTGGCCATCGTTAGAGTGTTGAAGAAGGGGATGCAGTCAGCAAAAGTTGTACAGGTGACTTCAAAAGTAATCATAAGCACTTATGATTACTTTTGGCTTAATTTCTTAAACCAAGACTGGAGACACAGGTGTTCATTATGTGCTTATTATATATATAAAATAAATATTTTATAAATATATTGTTTCTATTCAGTATTTAATAAAGTAAATCAATAGAAAAGGTTAAAAAGCAATGCACACATATTTCAAATATTTTTTGCTCCAAATTATAGAAACATTGCATAGTTATTGCCCTGGGCCTGGCAAGGTGACTCACACCTCTCATCCTAGCACCTTAGGAGACTGAGGCAGGAGGATAGCTTCAGCCCCAGAGGTCAAGGCTGCAGTGAGCCTTAATTGCACGACTGCACTCCAGCCTAGGTGACAGAGCAAGACGCTGTCTGAAGATAAAAATAAAAATAAGTTACTAAATAAATATATGTTTATATATTAACTGATTTTATTAACTATATATATATATATATATATATATATATATAGTTGTTGTCTTGGTCTATAGGCAATCTTACAGTGCTTAAGACTTTGATACTGAGAACAGATCTCCTAGGTATATGCTGTGTTTCTGGGGTGACATGATGCTCTCATCTGGCCTCCATGAGCCTAATTCTATCTTACATTTACCCCACTCTTCAACAACAACTTGGGGATGTGTCCCTAAACATTCCTAGGTGAACCCAAACCTGTGGCCCTCAACACATTTCTAGGTAAAGCAAGCTCCTGACATATCTGTGGACATCCTCTCATTGGAAGAAGGGGGAAGAGACCATCTCAAAATAATTCATTTAATATAGCTTTTCAGCATTAATTTTATTTTGATAAAGAGACACACAGTAAATAAAATTTCTAAAAAACTATAAACTTTCAAGCATTCTCACGCTAAATCTAGCCCTGCTCACATGCCAGGGAAATATAAAGGTAATCTGTTTCTTAACCTGACCAGGATGCTACAGTAATTAAAAATAAACTCAATCCCTGGATCCCTACCAAAGGGTCATTTCATACGGATCAAAGTTCTGGTAAAATGGTAAAATTATTTGTCTGGAAATAGACTAATTCTCCAAAATATAATTGAAATAATAGCCTCTGGAAAGGGCCAAATACGACTCTTAATGATACAACAGCTAAATATAGGTCTGATGCTCATTCCGTGTGGACAATAGCAGCCATTCCCACAAATGGCTGATTTGTGGGAAGTAAACACTACTTTTGCAGAATCTTACATGATTTCAGTAGAAGGGCAAGGACATTTCAGTTGGGAACAGATTGCTCCATGGTAATGTGATCACTATGTACCCAACAATGGCTCTTTCTTCCTAGCGTCAATGCAGATGTTATTTTCACCTTAACTATTATCATTGCTGTTTCTAACCACATAAAAGTGTATCCTTTATATATCTGAAGTAAATTCATACTAGTGATGTAACATCTCCAGCCATATAAGTGTAAAAACAGAAACCGTATGATGTGTTTACTTACTGTTTTATACTCCTAACGCATGAAGAGAAGATCCTTTTATTCATTGCCTATACTTTTATTTCTAAACTTTCTGTAACACTTTATCTTATATCCAGCATAGAATTGAGATTTGCTCTTTGATTTAATCTGACAATATTTTTTCCTCTAGTAAGAGTCAAGCCCACTTACTTTTAATGATAAATTGTGTTTGGTTATATTTTGAATACTGTATATGATGCTATGATTTATATGCGCATATCTGTCTTTTGCTGTCTTGTTTTTATTGCTTTTGTTTTGATGTTGGATATTTGGAAGAGTTAAACTTTTATTCTGATGGCTACCTTATGTAATTTCATAAAATCATCTTTTTCTTTAGACAGTAGCTAATGTCTCTAAACTAAGAACAATGGTATTAGCTGTATTCTCTTTCTTGTCCTCCCTATGTGATTTTTCATCCCACAATTTGATTTAATCATATTAACTTTGTTTCCCCTGGTGCCATTAAGTATGCTTACATTTCTATAAACAATATCCTTTGACTCCCAGGCATTACAGATGAGCAGTCAGTAAAATCATTCTGAGGAATACTTTCTCTTTCCTTTTCTTCCATTTTTCTTAGTTGTATCATTTCTATATTGCCAGAGCACCTACAGTTGCATTTCTTTCTGTCAGCTTTATCCAACATTTGTTTTTGTCTTTTATTTGAAGTTAAATATATTCCTTGCTCACTACAGCACTGGGGGAAGGAAGGTTTCTGTTGTCATTGTTGCGCTTGTACAGTTGTTTATTTAAAAACATTGGCGAAAACAAAAATTGTATGTAGATGGAATGGAGATAAGACAGAAAATGAGAGAGACTGATGATGAGTGTGCTTATTCTAGACTGGGAGGCGTGCTACACTGAGCAGTGTCTCCCAGGCTGCAGGAAAGGATGGTTGATTGTGAGCAGGTGGACTTTCCACTGGAGGAGAGAAGTCGTGCGCTCAACAACCTGTGCAGAACCAGAAACTGGTAATGCTTCAAATCAACTTACAGACCTGGAGGTAGAAATTTAAGAAAACTCGTTTAGCACCTAGTTTCCTAGAAAATATTAGCTACTATTTGCTGAGCATCTGTCAAGTCTGTCTGTAGCATGGAAGATCTGAGTACAGGGGAAACTGGATTAGTAACAGTGGGTCAGAAAATTATATAATATTCAACCAAAATTCCTGCTTTACATACACAGCACCTGGTATTTCCAGAACTAGAAGGTAAAGAAATTATTTGTGCTTGAACTTGCAGAAAACTGCCTTTTCCCTTCTTCTCTTGCATCTTAACCTGGAGCTTCCCTTTTCTTGAGCCTCAGTGTGCTTCCCAACTCAATTTATAATTGACTTCCTGCAGTTTCTCCTTAGGACAGGGCTTTGTTTTGGGGGTGGTTAATTTGTAGGGTTCATAGGAAACAGACCACTCACAGCACCTGCTTTTTGCCATCCTCACTCTCAGCTATGAGCTGAGGCCCAGGAAGCTTTCTGCCAGCCTCAGCTGCTGTTCTCAGATTAATCTGCTGAGTTCTTTTTGCCTAGTAAGAATCTCTGAATTTAGGAATATAGATGTTAGCGCTTGCATTTCTAGGTTTTCCAGTTCCCAGGGCCATTAAACATTTTTTCCCTTTCCTTTCCTTCTTCCAAAAACATTGGTGATTCCCCTGGGTCCCTGTGGTTTAACCTCACAAATGGTCCATGATGACACCCTGTTACATTGTTTTGTCATAGTTAATACCTTGTTATCCCATTTGCTCAGTCAGTTTTTGTGAGAGATTCAGGGATATTAATAAAACTGTGCTGCTACTGCTACTAACATCTTGCGTAAAAGCCCTATTAATTAAAATGTTTATTTTGCATGTGATTTGAACTTGTAATTTGTATTCAAAGTTTTTCAACAGAGATCCAGAAAAGACCCTCCTTATATTTTTTTTGTGCATTGCAACACTTTTTAGTGAAAAAAAAAACATGAGAACAACACAAGTGATTTTAAAAGAATAAACCTACAATCCATTAATTATAAAATGAAATACTATGCAGGTGTTAAGAATGAGGGACTCAATAAGAACTTGTGTGGGGTAACTATAAACTTTTAAAAAATAAATTTAATGCTCATGTGACCATATTATCGTTAAAAAAAATACAAGCATACTTGCACACACCTTCAAGCAAAATGGGTACACGCATTTAAAAATATTTAAATTAAGTAAATGGCCCAATAATTTAACTTTGTACAATTCTATGTTCTCTGATTATTTTATATGCTAGAAACAGGCATTGCTGTTTTGCCTATTTCATTTGAAATAATTGTAGTCACATGAGGTTTAAGTTATAATACAGAGAGGTCACATATGCCTATTTTCTAATTGGATACCTTATTTATTACTATTGAGTTTTGAGAATTGTTTACATATGCTACATGTAAGTTCTTTGTCAGATATATGGTACGCAAATTATTTCTCCCAGTCTGTAATTCATTTTTTCAACCTCTTTACAGGGTCTTTCGAAGTAAAAAAAAAAAAAAAAAAGTATTTATTTATTTTAATGAAGTCCAGTTTTATCACTTTTTCCTTTTGTAGATTTTGTTTTTGATATGAAGCCTAAAAATTCTTTGCGTAGCCCAAGGTCTCAAGAGTTTTCTTCTATTTTAAAAAGTTTAATGAATTTATTTATTTATTAATTATTTTTGAGACGAGGTTTTGCCCAAGCTGTAGTGCAGTGGTGTCATCATTGCTCACTGCAGCCACTAACTGCTGGATTGAAGTGATCCTTCCACCTCAGCCACTTGAGTAGTAGCTGGGATTACAGGCACGAGCTACCATACACAACTTTAAGTTTTATAATATTACATTTTACATTTAAGCCTGTGATTTATGTGAGCTAAATTTTATATAAAGTATAAATTTAGGTCAGTCTTAGTTTTTGTACCTGTGAATGTCCAATTGCTCTAGCACCATTTGTTGAAAAAGATATCCTTCCTTTAAACTGATTTTGCATCCTTGTTAAAAAAAAAAATCAGTTGAATGTAGTGTGGTCTGCCACCTTTTAATAAGATAAAAACATTGACACTCACCAGATATCGAAGTTTAGAAATTTTTTTAAAGCTAAACTTCTGAAAATAGAATAAAAACACCTTCACATGTCAAATTAGTCACTTTGTATAGGACTAATTCATTTAAATATATTAAAATACAAAATAATTCAAACCACTAAAGTGATAATACAAGACTATAAATTAAAGGCTAATTATTAAGTCAAATTGCTGTATTCTACGTGTTAGAGTGAGTTCAAAAGATCCATTGTATTACTGAATAGGCAAAAGTTTTAATTTCAGAGGATGAAACTGATATATTACTGCCACCTTGTGGATATTCTGTTATTACAGGCTATTATAAAAAGCAATGCGGGTATGTAATCTGTTCTAACAAGAAGCATTTCCTTTTTTTGTCGTTTTTATTATTGTTATTATTACATTTTAAGTTCTGAGATACATGTACAGAACGTGGAGGTTTGTTACATAGGTATACACATGCCATGGTGGTTTACTGCACCCATCAACCCATCATCTACATTAGGTATTTCTCCTAATGCTATCCCTCCCCCAGCCTCCCACCCCCTTGACAGGCCCCGGTATGTGATGTTCCCCTCCCTGTGTCCATGTGTTCTCATTGTTCAACTCAAAAGAAAAACAGAAGCATTTTCTGCTTTCCCAATTTCTTAAATACAATGCAACTTTATGTTTAATTTAACTAACTTAATTTTTTGAGACAAGGTCTAGCTCTGTTGCCCAGGCTGGAGTGGCGTGGCGTGAATATGGTTCAGTGAAACCTCCACCTCCCTGGCTCAAGTGATCCTCCTTCCTCAGCCTCTCGAGTAGCTAGGACCACAGGCACGCACCACCATGGCCAGCTAATTTCTTTTTTATTTTTTGTAGAGATGAGGTCTCACTTTGTTGTCCACGCTGGTCTCAAACTCCTGGGCTCAAAGGATCCTCTTGCCATGGCCTCCCACAGCGCTGGGATTTATAGGTGTGTGCCATGGCACCAGGCCTAAGCAACTGTAGAGAAGCCTTTTTTTCTTTCATAAAAACAGTTGTAGATATTTTCCTTATGGAATTTATTTGTGGTGAAATATTTTAATAGACAGTTTAATTTGTTAAATAATTTGTCTCCGATAATAATAATTGATTAATATTAAAACTACAAAACAAGTAGGGTCTTCTTTTTCTATGAAAAATGAAAGTTGATTTTGACATTTATGTAAACATTTTAAATATTCAAAGTATATAAATGTGAAGTCCTATCAAGAGTAATTAAACAAGAGAAAGAAATAAAGGGCATTCAAATCGGAAAGGAGAACATCAAATTTTTCCTATTTGCAGATGACATGATCTTATATATAGGAAAACCTGAAGACTCTACCAGAAAACTTTTAGAACAAACAAATTCAGTGAAGTTGCAAGACACAAAACTAATACACAAAGATTGGTTGCATTTATATATATGAACAACAAACTCGCTGAAAAAGAAATTAAGAAGGCAAACCCATTTACAATAGTTACCAAAAAAAAAAACCCAGACATAAATGTAACCAAGGAGGTAAAATGAAAACTACAAAACACTAATGAAAGAAATTGAAGAGGATACAAACAAATGAAAAGACATTCACACTCATGGATCAGAAATATGAATGTTGTTAAAGTGACAGTACTACTCAAAAGCAACCTACAGATTCAATGCAATCTCTATCAAAATACCTATGAACATTCTTCACAAAATTAAAAAAAAATCCAAAGAGATTTTATGGAATCAAAAAATATCCTGAATAGCCAAAGCCATCCTAAGCAAAAAGAACAAAACTGGATGTATCATGCTACCAGACCTCAGAATATACTACAAAACTGTAGTAACCAAAACATCACGGTATTGGCATAAAAACAGACACATAGACCTATGGAATAGAATAAAGAACCCAGAAAATCCACATATCTCAGCCAACGGATTTTTTACAAAGGCGCCAAGAACACTCATTGGGGAACGGGTAGTCTCTTCAATAAATGGTGCTGGAAAAACTGGATATCCATATGCAGAAGAATGAAACTAGACCCCTGCCTCTCACCCTATACAAAAATCAACTCAAGTATCTCAAATACCCAAATATAAGACCCCAAATGGTAAAGCTACTAGAAGAAAACATAGGGGAGATCCTTCAGGACATTGCTCTGGGAAAATATTTTATGAATAAGGCATCAAAAGCACAGGCAACAAAAGAAAAAATAAACAAATGGGATCACATCAAGCTAAAAATCTTCTGCACAGCAAAGGAAATAATAAAGTGAGTGAAAAGACAACCTACAGAATGGGAGAAAATATAAACTACTCATCTGGCAGGAAATTAATATCAAGAATATACAAGGAATTCAAACATATCAACAGCAAAGAAGCACAACAATCTAATTAAATATAAACAAATGCTCTGAACAGACATTTCTCAAAAGAAGACATACAAATGACCAACAAATAAATGAAAAAATGTGCAACATCACTAATCAGCAAGGAAATGCTAATCAAAGCCACAGTGAGGCATCATCTTACTCCAGTTAGGATGGCTATTATAGAAGAGACAAAAATAACAAATGCTGACAAAGACGTGAAGAAAAGGGACTTTTTTTTTGACAGAGTCTCACTCTCCGTCCAGGCTGGAGTGCAGTGGTGGTGTAATATGGCTCCCTCTGCTCCTAGGGTTCAAATAGTTCTCCTCCCTCAGCCTCTTGAGTAGCTGGAGAAAAAGGAACTCTTATGCACTGTTGGTAGGAATGTAAATTAGTGCAGCCAGTATGGAGAACAGTATTGAAACCCCTCAAGCAATCCCACTACTGGGAATTTGTCCAAAGGAAAGAAAAGCATTATATTGCAGAGACATCTGCATCCCCATGTTTATTGCAACAGTGTTCACAATAGCCAAGATATGGAATCAACCTAGGTTTCCAACAACAGATGAATGGATTTTTAAAATGTGGTATATATACACCAAGGAATGCTATTTAGCCATAAAAAAGAATAAATAAAATCCTGTCATTCTCAGCAACATGGATGGAACTGGAGGATATTATGTTAAGCAAAATAAGCCAGGAATAGAAATTTCAACACCACATGTTCTCACTCACGCAGAAGCTAAAAAAAAAGTTGATCTCATAGAAGTAAAAAGTAGAACAGAGGATACTGCAGGCTGAAAAGGGTAGGGAGAAAGGAGGAATAGTAAGAGATTTGTTAATGGATACAAAATTACAGCTAGGTAGGAGTAATAAGTTCTAGTGTTCTATAGTACTGTAGATGGCTATAGTTAACAATACTATATTATGTAGTTTAAAATACCTAGGAGTAGTTTGAATGTTCCCAACACAAAGAAATAATAAATGTTTGAGATGATAGATATGCTAATTACCCTGATCTGATCACCATCTACATGTACTGAAACATCCCCGTATAGCCATGAGTATGTATAATCTTTGTCAATTTAAAAAGTAAAAAAAAAAATTAATCTTGGAGAATGCATTTGAAGAACTTGTACTCAAGAAATCAACTTAAGAACCTGAGTCTCCTTGGAATTTGTGTTTTCTAGACCAGTACTTCTCCAAATTAAAGCAAATTTAGGCTGGGCATGGTGGCCCATGTCTATAATCTCAGCACTTTGGAAGGCCGAGGCGGGCAGATCACTTGAGGTCAGGAGTTCGAGACCAGCTGACCCAACATTGTGAAACCCTGTCTCTACTAAAAATACAAAAATTAGCTGGGCATGATGGCATGTGCCTGTAATCCCAGCTACTTTGGAGGCCGAGGCAAGATAATCGCTTGAACTGGAGAGGTGGAAGTTGCAGTGAGCCGAGATTGCACCACTGCGCTCCAGCCTGGGCAACAGAGCAAGACTCTGTCTCAAAAAAAAAAAAAAAAAGCGAATTTAGTTCACTTTGGTATTGTGTCAAAATGTTGATTCTTTTAAAGTAAACCTAAAGAATTTAGATGTAGTTGAAGCTTGTCATCTGTTCTTAATTTTTTAATAAAAATATAATATTTAGATTCAGAGTAAATCTAAAGTGAGACCTGAAGCTGCTCCCAGGTGATACTGATGCTGCTTATTTTTGCCCAGATTTTGAGTCACAAGGTTCTAAATTATTGGTTTGAAGTCCTACATGAGTAATCACTTGGGGAGCTCAATTAACATCCAGCAACAGACTAATTATTAATAAACCAGAATCTTCAGTATTAGGCTTCAATCATTGGCAATTTTTTTTTTTTTTTTGACACTCAGTCTCCCACTGTCGCCCAGGCTGAAGTCCTGAGGCCAGAATGAGACTAGGACATGGTTCCTTTGCCTAAGTAAAGTGAGGCAGACAATGGAATACTTCAGACTTCAAATGAGTATGGTAAGTGCTATGAAGAGTATGATTAGAGTTCATTATTTACCCAGAAAAGGGTCACTCAGCCCAGCCTGGGAGTTAGAGAAGGTTTCCTGAAGTCTTGACATGTGAGTCATGAAAGGACATAAGGAGTTAACCATGTGACAAAATAAGCTAAGAGAATTCTCAACAAAAGACAAAATATTGGCAAAGGCTTTTAGGCATATACTAGCTTCGTATTATTGGGAGAATGTAATGATTTTCTGTATTTCAAAAGTGTGAAATACAAAGTGGGCCATGATATGAGATAAACCAGTTTAATATGTTCTGGGAACAGATCATAGAAGGGCGTGTATGCTGTCCTAAGGAGCTTAAACTTCAACTTCAGTTCACGGGAGCCAATGACAAGATCTGAGCAGGGGAAGGATGTGGCTAGAGGGGCATTTTAGACAGACAAGATCCTCTGTGGATTACACCTAGGCTAAGCAATGGGTTAAAGTTGTTGTCTTAAGACAATAGTCCAGGTAAAAGATAATATAGTTTTAAATTGGGATGTTAGTAGGAATGAGGAAGAGGGATGGATTTCAGAAATAGTAAGGAAATGTATTAGCAGGACTTGATTAGTGATTGACTTGGGGAAGGAGGGGAAGATAGAGTTCAGGATGACTCCGAGACTGTCTGGTGTCGGTGGCTAATGACTGAAGCTATTAATAGAGGTAGGAAATGCAGACCAAAAGCAGGCCCGGGGTGAGAGATGATAAATTTGAATTTTAACATGTTGAGTTTGGACATCCAGGGTGAAATAACCACAAAACATTTAAATATACGAATCTGAAAAGGTAAGCATCATAAGCATATTAGCTATTGGTAAAATTCTGATACTTAATGAAGTCTCGCAGGGAGGCAGTACAGAGGCAAGCTAATGGGCTGGGGATAAAACATAGGGAAATATTATTTAAATAAAGATGAAAGAAAAGGAGCCCACAAAGGAAACTGAAAAGGCATAGTCAAAAAAAGAGGCTTGCCAGAGTGCCACCTTTGAAGCTCTGCTGTTACACTTTATAAGGAAACTTTTGGTTACCTGGGATTGCATGCATTTATAAAAGTTTCTATTATTAGGAAGACAATAATAATGATAAGGCTCTTTCTCATTGTTGTCAGTGTAATTTATCTATTTAATTATAGAACCTAGTTCCAGGATGCTTAATCTGAAGTATATACTTGGGGCAAAATGAATTATATCTTAATAATAATCTGGAATTTTTCTCTCTAACTTGACATATTTTAATTCTTGCTAGATTTTCAAAACGTCATACCTCGAACCACCACCAGATGGCTATGAGAATGTTACAAATATTGTGCCACCATATAATGCTTTCTCAGCCCAAGGCATGCCAGAGGTAAAATAAAATACATTTGTAACTCAAGTCTTTAAATGGTTCTTTTGCTATATAAAACCTGTATAGAGGACTAAAACCAAGGAAATTAGGTGAATCATTCATGTGGATTCATTGTTTGATATTCAGTACTATGAAAACCTCATCCCTCAAATTTAAAAAATTATAATAAAATAGAAAAGAACACCAGACAGAGAAAAAAGAAACAAAACAAATACATTAAAAACTGACCCTGCTGAAGCAGATGCCACTCTTTGAAATAACAAAGAAACTGCTGAACACGCCTTTAATTCAGTGAGGCAGTAGGTGTTTTTTTGTTTGTTTTTGTTTCGTTTTGTTATTTTGAGACGGAGTTTCGCTCTTGTCACCCAGGCTGGAGTGTAGTGGCACAATCTGGGCTCACTGCAACCTCCGCCTCCCAGGTCCAAGCAATTCTCTTGCCTCAGCCTCCTGAGTAGCTGGGATCACAGCTGCATACCACCACATCCTGCTAATTTTGTATTTTTTTTAGTGGAGGTGGGGTTTCTCTATGTTGGTCAGGCTAGTCTAGATCTCCCAACCTCAGGTGATCTGCTCACCTCGGCCTCCCAAAGTGCTGGGATTACAGGCGTGAGCCACCACGTTAAAAAGGGAAACTTCCTATTTGCCCTCTAAAGGTTTGCAGAAAATGAATGGACAAAACATAAATTAATAGAAGAAAGAGGCAAAAAAAAAATTCTGTAAAATGTAGGGGAAAAATCACAGGGTCTCACTCAGTTACCCAGCATGAAGTGCAGTGGTGTGATCATGGCTCATTGCAACCTTGAATTCTCAAGCACAAGTGATTCTCCCCGCTAAGCCTATGGAGTAGCTGGGATCACAGGGGCATGCCACCATGCCCACATACATGGGTATTTGCTGGAGAGGAGATGGAGACTCTCTGTCCTGGATGTGAGACAGGTGGCTGGCATCTGGGTAAGGATGACATTCCCTCATTGCTAAAGAGTAAAAGAGGAAAGTGTCATGGATAGTGCAAGCAGGGACATGCCCTGACCTAGTGAGGTCCAGAGGCTTATATTGTCCTTCATAGGGGAGTGGGAAGAAGCGAGTGTAGGCAACCCAGGGGAAATAAATGACCTAAAATAAAAGAAATAGATCATCAGAAGTGTAGATGTATTAGTCAGCATTCTCTAGAGTGACAGAATTAGAGGACTATATACATATATATATGAAGGGGAGTGAGAGGGTTAATAATGAGTGTCAACTTGATAGGATTGAGGGATATGAAGTATTGATCCAGGGTGTGTCTGTGAGAGTGTTGCCGAAAGAGATTAACATTTGAGTCAGTGGGCTTGGGAAGGCAGACCCACCCTTAATCTGGTGGGCACAATCTAATCTGCTGCCAGCAAATATAAAGCAGGCAGAAAAATTTGAAAAGGAGAGACTGGCCTAGACTCCCAGCCTACATCTTTCTCCCATGCTGGTTTCTTCCTGCCCTCAAACATTGGACTCCATGGCTCTCCTTTCTCATCAGTTTGCAGACAGCCCATTGTGTAACTTATGATCCTGTAAGTTAATAAACTCCCCTTTATAAATAAATATATATATGTGTGTGTGTGTGTGTGCATATATATATGTATGTGTGTATGTATATATATATGTATATACCCTGTTCTGTCCCTCTAGATGTCACTGGCTAATACAGGAAGTTTATTAAGTATTAACTCACACAATCACCAAGTCTCACAATAGGCCATCTGCTGGATGAGGAGCAAAAAGAGCCAGCCAGAGTTCCAAAACTGAAGAACTTGGAGTCCATGTTTGAGGGCAAGAAGCATCCAGCATGGGAGAAAGATGTAGGCTGGGAGGCGAGGCCCGTCTCTTTTCACATTTTTCTGCCTGCTTATAGTATGGCTGGGTTGGCAGCTGATTGGATTGTGCCCACACAGATTAAGGGTGGGTCTGCCTTTCCCAGCCCACTGACTCACATGTTAATCTTGTTTTGGCAACACCCTCACAGACACACCCAGGATGAATACTTTACATCCTTCAATCCAATCAAGTTGACACTCATTATTAACCATCACAAGCCAACCCTTTGTGAACTTGAACCCACACACATCTCCTGAGATCATACATAATCTTAAAATACCAGCAACAGTAAGGTCATAATTACCCCTAACATAATAAACTATCCTTCCTACAACTGGAAATGCACCAATCCCCAACCCAAATACTATTACATAAAGTAAACAATACTTAAATGCTGATATGAGGTCAGCAAATCTATGTTACCTGATAAAGAAAAGGGAAATGAAATGAAGATATTTTCTTAGTACAAGTGCATACATGCACAAACATGTTTTTAACAAAAGAAGAAGGAAATACTCATGATAGTTCCAGTCCTCATTTCTGCAGCTGGTCAGGTGGTCGTAGCTGGTATTGATAACTACTTTCTTCCACTTTTCATTCTGTATTCCCTTTGCCTTCAGCAAGCACCTCAGCAGGTCGTGACCCAGAGAGGATCTGGACCATTTGTAGTCCTACCTGGATTGGGTATAGTTTCCCATTTACCTTAATCAGAGTGCATGATAATACCAAGAGACACCCTAATGGATCTCCTATATTCCATGCATACTCTTCCTCACTTCCGTTGTGGAGTAACGGACTGACTTCATCTTGATAGTCTGGGTCAATCACTGCCGCCAACACTGTAACTCCATTCTTAGCTTGTTGACTTAAAGGTAGGAGGACCCCAAAGCGTCCAAGTGGCCATCTTAACTTCCAGTTTAATGGAATCATTATTGTGTCTCCTGGTAGCAGCGTTCTTCCCTCTGGAGCTAAGATGACTAGTAAAGCAGAACCTAATGTCGTGGGAACAGAAAGCAAACATTTTGCTAGTGCATCATAGTGAGTGGTTCCACTTTCACATCCACCCCTTGAATCCTGGATCTGTGAATCCTGGCTATGGGAGAAACAATACCATACATTGGGCGCTGATTCAGAGCACACATGGTCTTCTGGAGTATGGTGCCCCGGCCCGGCAAAGTATTGTAACCTAGTTGACGTTGTAATCGCGACCTCAAAAGGCCGTCCCACCATTCTATCAATCCAGCTGCTTCAGGAAGATGGGGAATATGGTAAGACCAGTGAATTCCATGAGCATGGGCCCACTGCCTCACTTCTTTACCTGTAAAGTGAGTGCTTGGTCAGAGGTAATGCTGTGTGGAATACCGTGATAGTGGATAAGGCATTCCTTGAGTCCATAAATGGTAGTCTTGGCAGAAGCATTGCATGCAGGTAGGCAAACCCATATCCTGAGTAAGTGCCTGTTCCAATGAGGACAAACCTCTCTCCTTTCCATGGTGGAAGAGGTCCAATATAATCAACCTGCCACTGGGTAGCTGGTCGATCACCCCAGGGAATGATGCCATACAAAGGGTTCACTGTTAGTCTCTGCTGCTGCTGGCAAATTGGGCACTCAGCAGTGGCCACAGACAGTTCAGCCTTGGTGAGTGGAAGTCCACATTGCTGAATCCATGCATAGCCTCCATCCCTGCCACCATGGCCGCTATGTTCATGGGCTCATTGGACAATGACAGGGGTATCTGAGGAAAGAGGCTGAGTGGTATCCACAGAATGGGTCATCTTATCCACTTGATTATCAAAATCCTCCTCTGCTGAAGTCACTTGTTGGTCAACACTCACACAGGGTACAAATATCTTCAGTTTTTGACCAGAGAGGTCCATCTACATACTCTTTCTCCAAGTTTCTTTGTCACCAATTTTCCAATCATGCTTCCTCCAAGTCCCTGACCATCCAGCCAAACCATTGACTACAGCCCATGAATCAGTATATAACCGCACATCTGGAAATTTCTCCTTCCATGCAAAGTGTACAATCAGGTGCACTGCTCAATGTTCTGCCCACTGGGAAGACTGTCCTTCACCACTGTCCTTCAGGGATGTCCTAGAAAGGGGCTGTAGTGCTTCAGCTGTCCACTTTTGGGCAGTACCTGCCTATTGTGGAGAACCATCTGTGAACCAGGCCCTAGTCCTCCCTTCCTGTGTCAACTGCTCAAAGGCAAGTCCCCATGAGGTCATCAGTGCAGGCCGTGGGAGAGAAGGCAGGGTGGCAGGAGTAGAGACCGTGGGCAATTGAGCCACTTCATCATGTAACTTACTTGTGCCCCCCAGGACCTGCTTGAGCCCAATCACTTATACACCATTTCCATGTGATGATGGAATGCTGCTGTGCATGACCCACGTTATGGCTAGATGAGTCAGAAAGCACCCAGTTCATGATAGGCAGTTCAGGTCGCATGGTGACTTGTTGACTCATAGTCAAATGTTCAGTTTCCACAAAAGCCCAGTATAGGACAAGAGCTGTCTCTCAAAAGGAGAGTAGTTAACTGGAGAAGATGACCGGGCCTTGCTGCAAAATACTAGAGGCCTCCACCATGATTCACCTATGGAGGCCTGCCAAAGCCTCAAAGCAGCATTCCTATCTGCCATGGACACCTCGGGGAGACCCAGCCTCCCCTTCATTCAAGGGGTTCTGGGTCTGTAAACTGGCTCAAGGCTGGAAATTGATTGAGGGGCCATGAATCTCTGTTTTTATAATGCCAATTAGTCTTTTATCTGTTTGACCTTAAGTTTCCTCCTTACATAAATTAAGTAGGAATGCATTAGTCTTCCTGACAGTTTCACTTCTAGGAACACTGTGATTAGTTAGCCAATGCCAGAGCTCCACATGAGTCAGACTGTTCAGAATGCTGCTTTGTCTTTTCTGCCCATTACGGTAGCTATGCCCACCGTGCCTTTGAGGGTTGAGTGCTACCACTTGGTACCTGCCACTTCAGGATCCAATTATTCCAAATTGTATTTAACTTTTGTAACTGAGTGACTGCAGTCCTCACCATTAGATCTGACATACAGAGAAGAGCCTTTACAGGGCTCTTCAAAGATGCAGGTGCTGTCCTCACAAATCTATTTTGCAAGGTGTTTGTCAAGGGTATTAGGTACAGAGTCACTAAACTCCTTGCCTCTCATGAGCGATGATTCATTAGTGTCAAATGAATTTGTTTTGCATAGCTCTTTAAACCTTTCATGCCAAGAACTGTCAATGTTCTCTACACTATTAAAAGTAGAGTCCTTAGCATTTTGGGATCTAATCATATTTAGCAGCCAAATCCAGAAACCCCAAAACAAACAAAAGAACTCCAAACTTAATATTCTGTTCCTGCAGAACCATTCCTGGTACCAAAATCTGTATTAGTGAGGGTTCTCTAGAGGGACAGAACTAATAAGTTCTATATATATATATATATATATGGGTTTATTACATATTAACTTACAGGATCACAAGATCCCACAGTAGGCTGTCTGCAGGCATGAGGAGTGAGGAGTAAGGAGAGCCAGCTCGAGTCTCAAAACTAAAGAACTTGGAGTCCGATGTTCAAGGGTAGGAAGCATCCAGCACGGGAGAGAGATGTAGGCTGGGGGGCTGGGCCAGACTCACTTTTTCACTTTTTTCTGCCTGCTTTATATTCACTGGCAGCTGATTAAATGGTGCCCATAGATTAAGTAGGGGGTCTGCCTTCCCCAGACTACTGACTCAAATATTAATCTCCTTTGGCAACACCCTCACAGACACACCCAGGAGCAATGCTTACATCCTTCAATGTAATCAAGTTGACAATCAGTATTAACTATCACAGGATTACAGACCTGAGCCATCACACACAGTGTTATTGTATATTTCATACCATTTCCTGATTTTCCCATTTTATCTGTGACTTAATAAAGTTTTTCAGCTATGACTCCAAACTGGTAATACTTGAAAGCACATTCAGATATATTTTGCAACAATTCATAACTGGCAAAATGTTGAGCCTTGTGGAAAGAGTCACCTTACTTCCCCGTCAGCTGTCAATTCCCCATCATTACTATCACTTCTGGGAGCACATTTTCCAAAACTCCTTTTCTCTCTATGGTTTCTTTAGAGTTGCTCCATGAGGTTACAATAAGTTACAACTAATTACTGTCATGAAATTGGAAGTCAGAGTGGTAGATTCATGTACACTGACACCTGAAGTAAAACACATGCAGTTAGGTGTGGAGTGGAGAATCACCTGGAGATGTGCTGCAGGCAGCTGAGAGCATCAGCACCCCCAGCCCTGGGCTTCCCAGACAGGACTGAGGATCATCACATGGTGTTCAGCACATACCACCAGGGGCAGGTGCACCCTGGCTTCTGAAGTAGCACCTGAGAATCCCCTGTGTCTAGTACCTGCTTCATGAATAACACTCCATAGGCTTCGGAAAGACTGTGGTTTAGACTCTAATTTATTCAACTTGAATAATTTCTCCTTGAAATACTGAGAATAGCTTCTCTTTTGCTGTACAAATTCCGATTATCCCATAACACAGACTCCTCAGCAGGACTTATCTCTCTTCTTTATTCAGTCAGGACAGGCATTGTCACATCTTGTCTGCTGGGGATGAGGGCGAAAGAGGCTTAGGGTTCAGAGGAACCTCCCTGGCCTCCTCTAGGAAAATCTCCCAATGACTTTCCAAGCCTGACTGAGTTTGAGAACTTCCCTCAGCAGATAGAGGCACCAGAAGGAGCATTGGGGCAGCCCAGCCTCACACATCTGCTTCCTTGGGGTTTATGTTATGACTTGCAACACTGTGGGAGGGGTACTGTAACTCTGTTGACAGTAATAAGTTGTAAAATCTTCAGGCTGCAGGCTGCTGATGGTGAGAGTCTAATCTGTCCCAGATCCACTGTCACTGAACTGAGAGGGAATCCCACTTTGCAGACTGGATGCAGCATAGATCAGGAGCTTAGGAGTTTTCCCTGGTTTCTGCTGATACCAATTTAAATTATTGCTAATGCCCTGACTCGCCCGGCAAGTGATGGTGACTCTGTCTCCTACAGATGCAGACAGGGAGGATGGAGACTGGGTCATCTGGATGTCACATCTGGCACCTGCAGTTGGAAACATAAAAACAAATATTCTTGCAATTAATCATGTTATCAGAGGACTTCCCTGAGGTTCCAGACAGTACTGAGCACACTGACCGAGTATAATCCTAGTGTTCTCCTTCCTTACCTGGCAACCAGAGCACCAGGAGCCCCAGGAGCTGAGTGGGGGACCTTGCATCCGTGCTGTGTCCTGACTGGGGCTGACTCCTGCACCGGGTGTGACCAGCCTATAAAAAGTCTTCAGGGCAGGGGGCTGTGCTCTAGGAACAGGCAAATCAGCAGGGGATGGGGCAGGCTGAGCACAGCTGCAGGGCTGGCTCATCTCAGTAACTCAGCACAGGGACGCAGTATCCCCAGAGTCCCAGGTCAGACCAGGGCAGCACCAATTTACCTTGAAAGAATACACTTCTCATTAGTGGCCATACGGTTACAGAACATATTTTTGGAGTGAATTTTCAAAATTTTAAATCAACCTAAGACTAGGTTAAATAATATATTTATACTTGTATTAGGAGTGCATAGGAAAGCATCATTTTTGGCAGAAAATTTACAAGAAATTACAATAAAGTTGTAGAATGTGGGGCTGTCAGAAATTTCAGTTAGTCTCAAAGGAATTTGATGAGTGTAAAAGTATTTAGTGTTATAATAACAATGTCTCTGTCAGTGTGAAGTTGCTTCTTTTTTGAAATGATATAAAAAGAATTTATCAGAAGCATCTTTAATAAATTCAATAGAATTTACTAACAAACTTAAGACATTGTTCCTAGGAGTAAAAGGAAAAACAATTCTCTGAAGATGCACAAAGATGATAACTGTGTCACACATAGATCTGCCATTATCCAGAGCTATGGGTCTCTTTAAGACCCAGGGGCTAAATGGGCTGCACCTTATTCTTGGCGTGATGATCCCCATATTCTATCCCCTTTCCTGCCTTTGGTATAATTTCTTATGGTTCTCCAGCATGGAGAGCTGACTAGTAATACCAGGTCTCATTATTTCAACTAAAATCTCTGTTTCACTCGCTGACTATAGGAGCCTGGATTAAAATCAACTTGAAGCCCTGTATCAATCTAGGCTCAAATAGTCAATTGCTTCAAAGTAGGATGACAAAGGCCACATGCCCTGAGTAATGCTCTGAGCTGCGCTCCCCACCAGCCTGTTCCTGGGGTCTCAGGAGCATCTGCCCTAGAGTCTGGCTTTCTGGAGAGCAGGTGAGGGGGGAAAAGCCAGGTCAGTGAACCTCTCTCCTTAGCGAGGGCAGCTGCTGCCCAATGCATGTTCTTGCCATGCACCAGGGCATCATCCTGACCCAGATGCCAGCCACCCTGTCTCACATCCATTTAGAGAGAATCTCCATCTTCTGCCAAGACACTGCCCATGTAGATGAAAAAGTATTTTGCCTCCAAACATATCTTAAGCACTGATTTGAACCTCAATACTTCACACAGATGCCTTTGCCCAGGGCGTGTCGGCCTGGCTCAACAGCAGGGGAAGTGGAGCCAATTATATCAGTGTCAGTGGACTGAGAAATACTCCAGGGAGTAGTTCTCATGCACGACTACCAGTGGCCAGACCAAGGTAGTGCAGCCTGTGCACAAACCTCCTGCTGCTTTTCCAGAGGACTGGATTTCTGGGAAATGGCTACTGAACAGGCTGCCAGGATCCATATATCCAGATTCAGAGAGATACATCTCTGGATTCAAATGCGCTTTTTCTTTGTGCATAATTTTTGCAGTCATTGTTACTACGCCTTGGGGATTCTAGTCATTATACTTCAGCTCACTCTCTATGGCCCTTTCTCCCCTTCACTGCTCTATCTGAACCTGGGGAAGCAGCTCAGGCTGCAAATGAGGCAGACCTCATGGCCTGGAATTAGCATCCCCTAGGACGGCTGTCAATCAGTGATGACAAGGGAGGCGTACACATCCCCCAGCTCCCTCACCTCTCAGGTGGAATAACAGAGGCATTTTTCCTGTGTTTCTATGTGGGCTTGAGCTCTCGTCATCCTCAGAGGTGGCTCCTTCTGAGGCACCTTTCACTTTCCCTTTCCCTCCTCCCCTCCCTTGCTCACTTGCTTGTTTCTGGCACTTTGTAAATATACTGCCTGCATGCGAATCTTTGGCATTCTTCTCACTGAGGGGACCCAACCTAATGCATTGGAAAAATCCTCATTCTTGGAGGGCATCGTTGGTTTGAATTATTGCCACTTCTCATGTTTTAATGCATAGGGAAATTCCAAAACTTTAGGAAATCTTTCAATTCCCTTTGCCGATCTTTCTTAGATTTGATTTTAGCAGAGATTCATTTTCTCTAGGTCACAAAATCACAGAAGCCTTCCACAAATGTTTACACAGCATAGAGTCCACATAGAGCAGAGACTCAGAATCTCCCAGGATTTGACATCCACACATCAGACAGTCCTAGAGTCTCAGGTTTTTTCTAGGTCCATCGCCTCATAAATCTGCCTTGTGATATTTTTATTCTACCTTAGGGGAAGACCATGGTGTGGATGATGAGGGCTGTTTGTGGAATGAATAATACACCCACTAAAGACATCATTGTCCTAGTATCTGGAATCTATGATCATTATTTATGAATATGTCAAAAATAACTTGGCAGACATGGTTGAGAATTTGGGGGTCAGGAGAGTATCCTGAATTATCTGGGTGAGACCATCATAATCACAAGGGTCCTTACAACAGGGAGGGAGGAAGGTGACAGCCAGAGAGGACCTGGGACAACGGACGGGGAAACTGGAGTGATGGAGGAAGGGCCATGCTGCTGGGAATGTGGGAACATCAGAAAGATGGAATGCTCGACATTGGATTCTCTCTCTTGAAGCCTAGACTGAATAGAGCCCTATTACTCCTTGATTTTACTTCACTGAGACTTCTGACCTCCAGAAATGTAAGACAATACACTTGTGTTATGTGGAGCAGTAAGGTTGTGGTAATTTGTTACAGCAGCAACAGGAAACCAATGCAAGGGGAAGGGGTGTGCTTTACTTCCCTAGTGTATCACTGTCCTCTGTTCTCCCAAATAGTTCTGTGTTGTTGTGTTTGCTGTCAATTTCAAGAAGAGACAGACAACATTTTTCTATGAGGAGAGCTAGCACCACAATTCTTCTTACGTAGAAAGTGTCTTGAGTAATTCTCTGGGTTAGGTCTTGTACAACCTTGGTAACTGAGAGCCTGGAGGTCATCCCTCACAGCACATGAGAAGAGGAAGGGGACGCGGGTTTGCTGTTTTAACATTTGTAGGGCAAATTAGATGTACAAGACCCATTCTTTTTATTATTATTATTATTGTTCTTTAAGTTCTAGGGTACATGTGCAGAACGTGCAGGTTTGTTACATATGTATACATGTGCCATGTTGGTGTGCTGCACCCATTAACTCGTCATTTACATTAGGCGTATCTCCTAATGCTAACCCTCCCCCCTCCCCACACCCCACAACAGTCCCCGGTGTGTCATGTTCCCCTTCCTGAGTCCATGTGTTCTCATTGTTCAATTCCCACCTATGAGTGAGAACATGCAGTGATTGGTTTTTTGTCCTTGCGATAGTTTGCTGAGAATGATGGTTTCCGGCTTCATCCATGTCCCTACAAAGGACATGAACTCATCCTTTTTTATGGCTGCAAGCGAGGACTGAGTCAGAGAGATGGGGATGGCAGAGGAGATAAAATGTGGTCAGGGCCGTGTAAAATGTGACCCTGCTGCCATATCTGAAAGAAAGGCTGTTGGTGTTTGTAACGGCTTTGGGCAAATTGTGCTTTGTAGACAAAACTGTAGAAGGGTCTGGGTTTAAGCTTAGTGTCAGCATGATGAGGACTAGAGGTCGCAGTGAGCTTGTGTTAAGAAATCCACCCTGCACTTCTGGCTTTGTCTCTTTCCTGGTTTTTATAGGTGGTGGGTTCCTCTATGGAATGAACGTGGCTCTGTGGAAGGGACATAGTTAAGGTCAGACAGACCTAGATTCCAAGTTCAGCTTCAACAACTGCTGACCAAGTGACTTTTATGCAAATCAGCCATGTGCTGTCATGAACAGTTTCCTCATGTGTGAAATGGGGCACTGAGGATGTGAAGGGGTGTCCTGAGGGTTCCACCAGCTGATGCACCATGAAGTGTACATACATGTATAGAGAGACACACACACATACATGAGAAGAGTATCTAGTGCCCCTTTTATGCATTCTTGCGTAACTCAGAATGTTATGTGAGATATTAAGAGTCATATGTCATTTTCAACTAAAATTATCAATATTTATCTTATAACTAACAGATGCTTCTCTGTAAGCTGTAGGTTTCATGTACATCTCTTCAATCACAAAATTTTTCACCAACATATTTATGTCTAGTATCAGAAAGTTAAGCAAGGAGATTGCAAACCAACACAGCACCTTTAGTCTGGATTTTCCCGGAGCCCCATTTGTGTTAGTGTCCTCGGGCTACTGTAACAAGTTCTCAAAAATGTGGTAGCTTCAAACAACAGGAATGGAATCTCTCACAGTTCAGAAATCCAGATCAGTTTCACTGGGCTAAGATCTTGGAGTCATCAGTTCTGGCTCCTTCTGAAGCTCTAGGGAGCAGTCTGATTTAGCTCTTCCAGCTTCTGGTGGCTTCTCTCTCCCGGGATGTGGACACATCACTGCAATCTCTGTCTCTGTGTTCACATTGCCATCTCCACTTCAGTCTATGCTAAATGTGTCTCTACCTCTTGTTTTTTTTTAGGACACTTGAGTTTGCATTTAAGTCCCAGTTGATTAATCTAAGACCATCTCCCTGTTTCAAGCTCCTTAATTTACACCTGCAAAAGCTGTTTTCCCAAATGAGACACATGCATAGTCTTCTTGGAATGAAACCTCACTATTTGGGGATGATACTCAGTACTACACCATTACATAACCAGGTCTCAGTGTTAGTCCTGTACATACATCACAATCTCTCTCTCTCTCTCTCTCTCTCTCTCCCTCTCTCTCTCTCTCTCTCCCTCTCTCTCTCTCTCTCTCTCTCCACACACCCTGGCTTCCTCCTTTTCTCAATGTCATAAATCTCTTCAATTCCTTAAGTGTATCCAGTGATACCTATAAACAAATAAGTATCTGAGAAAAGTCTCAATCAGTTTAGAAATTTATTTGGTCAAAGTTACAGAAATATCAGTGAAACAGCCTCAGGAGGTCTTGAGAACACGTGTCAAAGGTCGTCGGGCTACAGGTTGGTTTTACACATTTTAGGGAGACATAAGATATCAATCAATACGTGTAAGCTGTACATTGCTTTGATATGGAAAGGCAGGACAGCCCGAAGGAGGGGGGATGTTGGGGACTTCCAGGTCATAGGTGGATTCAAAGATTTCATAGGTGGTTGAAAGAGTTTATCTAATGACCTGTAATCAACACAAGGGAGTTTCTGGGTTTAGGAAAAGGGTTTTGGAGCCAAGGTTGCATCATGCAGATGAAGCCTCCAGGTAGCAGGCTTCAGAGAGAATAGATTGTAATTGTTTCTTAGTAGACTTAAAAGGTGCCAAACTCTTAGTTAAATCTCTCTGGGTCAGGAAAGAGACTTAAAAAGGAATCTCTACAGAATGTAGATTTTTCCCACAAGAACCAGCTTTGCAGAGGCATTTTTAAATACATTAAATAACAATATCTTGGGGAAAATACTTTGATTTCTCTTAGGATGTGGTATCTGTCACATTGGTATCTTATTGCTATAAAGAGTTTTGTTTGTCAGTCTCAAGGTCTCTGTCTTCATATTAAAAGCTGGTCAGTTGTGCCTGAATTTTAAAGGGAAGAGGGTAAGTTAAGGCATATCCAATCATCCGTTCTGATCATGGACTGCATTGTATTTCAGGTTGATTTTGGTGTGTCCTTGGCTGAGAGGAGGAGTTCATTCAGTTGGTTAGGGAGCTTAGAGTTTCATTTTTGGTTTACACACCTATGTCCAGGTAAGAGGGCCCCACACAGGAGAGCTTGCTCGGAACCTGGCTTGCAGGGCTGCTTACAGACCTTCTATGTCTCCTGTTGTCATGCACAAGGAAGGACACAGCCAATGACAACCCTCAGCCATCCGGGGAGAAGCTGTGTCTGCAGAGGACGGTCATGAGCTGTGAGTCTAGAGACCTGTGATTGTCTTCAGGGGCCTGTGGTCCTCGGCTTTCACAGGAGTTGTGGGGGCACTGGCTCAAATAGCATCCACCAGGATTCCAATCAGAATATCTCATTCACAGAAGGCAGTGGGTGATATGACAGCACAGAGGGACTCTGTGGGGCCAGCTGCATGGAGCACTCTGGGAGAGTCACTGGCACCCGTGCTAGGCAGAGCTTCATTCAACTTCTGGAGCACACGGATTTAGATCTCTTTACATCACTTTGAAAGACCATTTATCATTCTGAAGGAAACCACTGTAATTAACTAAGGTAACATCTTTAATAGGTAGAAAGAAAAAAGTGATTATTTTATTGCCAAGATGATTACAAGAAAAGAAACAAACAAAAATAGCATGAAGGAAAGAGCAGCACTAGACTGAGGGCTTTGGGTAAGAGGTTGAGACTTAGTAGTGAATCCCCTGGGCCATCTTCTGTCAAAAGGGAGGGACAATCAGCAAAGGGAAATATGCAGTAGAGGCAAAATCTTGGTTAGTAAAAGAATCCTAAGAGAAAACAAGTAGTCTCCTTCCTGAGCATCATGTTGGTGTCGGGAAGATGCACATAATCCCCCCATTGCATGTCTTACACTTTTCAGCAATTAGGGCTCAGCATGAATTTAGAAGACACCATTCACTTCACAGCAGATGGGGACACAGTCCAGGCAGCGGTGAGAGGCAAGGCTGGGCTTTCAGTCTCAGAGCACAGAGCAGGTTCCCCACTACTCCGCACCCTGGTGTCTCCTCCCAGATGTTCCAGATGTTCCACCTCATTCTAGCCTTAAGGGCTCCAAGTGGTTAATGGGACAGTAGCCCTCTTCCTTTCCCAGGGTTTCTAAGAATTTGGCTCTCTTTTGTGTATTGTGGGGTTTGTTTGCCATCTAGAGGCAGGTTTTTGGCATAGCAACTTATAGGCTTTTTCTACTTGTGATAGCGAAAATAAATACATAAATAAATTCATCATAAATAATAGATTGACTTAATGCATTGAATCTGTAAAAAAAAAAATAAGGTCAGTTTGAGAGCTTAAAAGGAGCCTGATGAGGTTAAAAAGACAAATTACCTTTAGTAAAGAACAGTTGGAGCAATAGATGATTCTTTCTTTAATCAATGACATTTTAGGAGTAATTATCAAATGGTAAATAAAACTTGAAATAAGCTGATAAAATATAATTTTATATGCAAAAAAATATTTCCAAGAACCATACAAATACATTTTCAGATTAAAACAAACAAAAAATGTGGGTTTATCATCAGATCCGCTAAATGGAAGATTTCTCAAATGTGTGCTTGGAGCAAAAATAACACTTATCCCTATTTGAAAGTTCAAGATTTTTGAGCTTTAGAAGAAAACAGCTTTCCCTTCACTCTGTTCCACTCACGCTTCTGAGGATGGCCATGGGGGCTGTGACTGTGAGGAAGGAGGAAAGCTGTGCACTAAGGGTGGTCGTGCCTCCTGCGGACCTGAGTGACCTCATGGAACAGAGCCAACGACACCACCAAGGCCACCCACCTGCCTCTCCACTGCCATGGCACAGACACAGAAACCTTGTCACATTTGGTCAAGTGTAACTAGAAGCTTCTTTGTAGCAGCCACTTTTGATTCTGCTTGTATCTTCTCTCAGGTTCAGGGGATGGTTCACCTTTCACCATTTTGTTTTGAGAGTGTGTAGCCCTTTGTTACATCAGCATTATATAAGTTGTTTGTTTGTTTGTTTGTTTGTTTAAGATATCTAACCATCTTGAATGGGTTGGGACTAATCTTGTGTCTCACAGCAAAGCAGAAATTCAAGGTTGCTAGAGGCTATCAATTACATGAGGGCTAAAGATGACGACATCATTGCTTAGCTCGGGGTCATACTACTTACATTTTTTTTTTTTTTTTTTTTTGACAGAGACTTGCCCTGTTAACCAGGCTGGAGTGCACTGGCACAATCTCAGCTCACTGCAACCTCCACCTCCCAGGTTCAAGTGATTCTCCTGCCTCAGCCTCCCGAGTAGCTGGAATCACAGGCACATGCCACCACACCTGGCTAATTTTTGTATTTTTAGTAGAGACAGGGTTTCACCATGTTGGCCAGGCTGGTCTTGAACTCCTGATCTCAGGGTATTAGCCCATCTTGACCTCCCAAAGTGTTGGGATTACAGGCATGAGCCACCACGCCCCGATACACTTTGTATTCCTTAACTGAATTCTGTATAATGACTCTTGAGATCAACGATTCATTTATCAGTATTTTAAAAATATATGGTGTCACTTTTTTTTTTCATTTGCAGGCTCCAGTGTGATTGATATCTATAAAAATATTGCCATACAATTTTTAAACGTAACAGAAGTGGAACTTTGGAATTTTAATTGCACTTACCATGAAATTTGTTATATTGGAATAAACAATCATCCTAGTGTACTTTCTACCCTTAGCCTGAAGCAGAACTTCTTCTGTTGATTCTGTCATTATTTTGTGTCTATCACACAGTGTAATTATATGTACCTCATGTGACTCATTATTGGGTTCAATATCATTTAGAACACTATATTTAATAAAATCTATGAAAAGCATAGATGCTCCAGGCATTTACAACTAAAACATTGAATTCAGATTCATTTTCAGGTAATGATATAATCATGTGAAAAGAATGCATTTCTGTATTTTTTGAAACCTTTTCTTTTGAAAACATAGTAATACATTTCTACTCTAAAATAGAACTTAGCCTAAATACTTTCAAAACCTTTAGAATTTGGAAAAGAAATAAAAATCTCACATAATTCTGAATGTTCCCTTTTTTACTTGAAATAAACTTTATATTTTCCATCTTTGAGTTCCTGCAGTTTATTTTCAAAGGCCACTTTTGGAATTGTGAAAACTCTGCTTTCACTTGGCAAATAATAATTAAGAGTAATCAATCTTTTAACATTAAGATCTCATACCTGCCATGAGTTTACAAAGTCTATTTGAATAATCCAACATCAAACATTTTTTCTAAGTGTTAGCTGTACTCCCCTGCACACAGCTTGTGTAGAATGCTTCTACCTGTAAGACACTGGAGAGACGGTTTGGTGGGAGTCAGAGAGCAGAATTAGGAAGATGGGAGAGTATGAATTTCCCAATATGACTAAGTGTCATCGCGTGTGAAATAAACCCCAAGATGGTCATTTCCCATATGTGTTCTACTTGTGTTGTCACTAAACTGCATCCATGGTCTGGTTATTCTGACAGTTACATGAACTTGACAAATGTGGGCAAGACAGGGAGGGTGAGGATGTGAGCTTTCATTCACTCTCCCTTCATCATAGCTGGTTGCTCCCAGGGCACGTAGCCCCCATGAATTCTCCTCCTCCTGATGCCTTCCCCAGGCTGTGACTGCTGGTGGGGCCTTAACATATGAAATCTGAGGTGCTACTGAGGCTGTCATGGACCAGCGTCCTCAGCAGCAAACCTTGCCCTGACATCCCCAACAGCCTTCTCCTCTGCAGACTCAAAGACTCTGCTCAGCTGTTCCCTCAGACAAGCAGCCCATGCGGGCAGCTGGGTCAACCCAGCAGGGAGGTTTCTGTTCGAGGATGTAGCACTGTGGGCGGAGTTTGTAGAGCTTGCATGCAGTAATAAACCCCAACATCCTAAGCCTCCACCCTACTGATTTTCAGAGTGAAATCAGTGCCTGACCCACTGCCACTGAACCTGTCTGGAACTCCAGAGGCCCGGTTGGAAACCTCATAGATCAGGAGCTGTGGAGACTGGCCTGGCTTCTGCAGGTACCAATTCAAATAGGTGTATTCATCATCAGTATCCAAGAGGCTCTCACTAGATCTGCAGGAGATGGAGGCTGGCTCTCCAGGAGTGACAGGCAGGGAGAGTGGAGTCTGGGTCATCACAATGTCCCCACTGGATCCTGAAATAATAACAGAGAAGTGCAAGGTTATATAAACACATTTTGAGCAACTTTCATGATTTTCCTTAAGATTTTGATTTAGAGTTACATATTTTTTCAAGTTTTGATTTTTATCATGAAAAGTAGACTTTCTAAAATGAACCAATTTGTTACTAGCCAGCAGGGAGCAGTTTATTTTCAAGAGCTTAATCAGAGCACTGGTCATTTTTCCTGGGAGATGATTCCTGACTATTCCTGAGACAAAAAATACGAGTAATCTTTCCCGGAGCACAGACCATGTGCCCGTAACACATGGTTGAAATAAAAATAGGAAGCTGTGGAGACCCCAGATCTCACCCTCCCACCCCATTTTCTCACCTCACTTTTGATCCTATCCTTACCAGAGACCCAGAGCATTAGCAGCCCCAGGAGCTGAGCAGGGAGCCTCATTGTGAGAAGGTGAACTGAGGAGTCCTGATCAGTCAAGGCAAGGTTAGAGCTGAGCTTTTATCTCAGACTCACAAGGGAAGGTCCTCCCTAAGGGACAACATGCAAATCACCTGGTGGGTGCAGTGGTGTGGAAAAGGTTGATGGGGCAGGGGGAATGTCTCTTCTGTGAACAATGTGACATAAAATGTTTGCTGGAGCCAAACAAATGTAGTTCAAGTCAAGTTTGCCTGTGGTCAAGGGAAGAAGGCTCTGACTGTGGAAGTTGGGACCTTGGGCAGGGACACATTGTGCAGTGCATGCCACACTGAGAACGCACAAGGACCCTGACAACGTGGAAATGTGTTTCTAGGATGCATCTTTGGGAGGTGAATGCCATCCTGCAGGCCTCCCTCCCAATCAATCTAGAGAAAGAAAACAGCCCCATTCCCACAAGCACAGACGGGCAGAGGGCCTGCAAATGAAAAGTGCTCCTGAGCCAGTTCAAGTGTTGCCTCGTATGTGCTGTTTCCAGGATAACTGTTCAATATTATTCAGTGCAAGTGTTAGAATCTCCCCGTCCCTGGCACCTGATGAGTGAGCCCCAAAAAAGCGCTCCGTCCAAGGGCCTCACAGGGAGAATGATGTGGGTCTCTACATTTAGAGCCAAGAGCCCAGCATAAGTAAGAGGCAATGGGGCAAGAATGTTACACCTCAGGCAGTGAATACAAAATTCCTGGTGACCAACTGTTCAATCTGGGATAATCGCATCATAATCATCTCACATATACAAGATTAACCAGCAGGATCTCATAGGGAAGAATTTCCTTGGTTAATGATACAAAGCAAATAAGAAATAACATTGCATGATGTTTTTCTGAGTGGTGCTTACGAAAACTCTTCTCACACAGCCTCCCTGGTCATGTGGCATCAGGTCCTGTGAGGGCTTCCAGGTTATGGCCAACCCTGAGTGAGACCTGAGTCACCCCCAGCCTGGATGTGGTGCAGCCACAGCCATGAGTCTGCAGTTGAAAAGGAAATTGTCTATGTGAGAAGAGCAAGGACTGCATCTACAGTTTTATGTCTCAGGGTAACCTGGACCTGTAACTGACATTTTCATGGTTTCATGTAAAGATGCACATGGTTCAGGGGTGTGAGTCTTTCACACAGCTGATCATTACAAAGGGAAACAATCTCATGTTTCTTGATTTGTTCGTGGTGTGCTTAGTATTTAATTGAACAGCTCCTGAATAATTCTGCCAACACCAAACACTATCACAAAGACAGTCACATTTCTGGGAAAAAAAAATTCAGCTACAACTGAAAGACTAGCTTGTAGTGCTATGTAATCTTGGGTAATTTAACAAAAATTTATATTTAATTGCCCAAGAACACAAATACATGAAATTCTAGGTAAGATTCCAGAAGAAAGCTTGGTTTCAATATCTTCTGAGAAATCTACCAAAATAACCTTTTTTCCAAGATTGGAAAAGATAATTGAATAAAAATAATATTATAGACCTTTCAATGTTTAACACCATTGCAATAATGGGGGTTAAGGAGATCAAATTGTGCTTAAGAAATTTGATTAAAGGCTCACAGTAAACTGTAGAAAACTATGTCAATTTTATTTACTCTTTTCTCATTAAATTTCGTAACTTTTGTGCACTTGACTTTTTCTTATGTTATTAACCAATTCAAACCTGCTTCTTATTCTTCAAAAAGTGAGACTCCTAAATAATCATACTAGTGAACAATAGAAACATCAGAGGCTGAAGGAAAAGAAAAAGAAAACACAATCAGCCTAACTAAAGTAGAACGAGATGGTGCATCATATTGTAAGTTTTAAATAATTATTCTGAAAGGGTATTAAATGAGGAATCAGTTCTATCTATAATTAAAAACAAACTTGAATTGCAGGGAAGTGACTAACAATAAAAAAATTTGTCAGGTTTTCTTTTACTAAAGGTCAATTCTTGAAAATGTTGTTTTTGCAAAGTATTCCTTAAGAAGCTTGAATTTAAGATAGTCTTGCTATTTCCTATGAAACTTAGTAATACATCGTTAAGAAGGTTACCATTGTGATTTTTAAAAATCTCATGATCTGTTGCTGTACATAAATATAAATTGTGAAATTTTGTAGAAATCTTTTTTAGTCAGAAAAGAGCTTTGAAATTACTCTTTATTACCTATAGACTTAAAGGATAATATTACTAATTCTGATTAGAAACCTCCCTTTCTTATCTGTTGACACATTATGCCAAGGCTTTCACAACAGCAGACAAAGCTGGTCACTCCACAGTGGACACAGATCAGAAGGTGTCACAACCACCTCCATTCGGATCTAGGTGTGCGGCAGGCCTCTGCCTCTGAGTGTCTCTAACATGAACCATGGTCACCTGAATGAGGGAGGACTTATACAGGTGGGGTTTATTATGGCTGTGTCTCCTTTTCCTGATGCGGTTAGTTTGGGGTCCATAAAACTGGGAGCAACTGCATTATTCGTAAGACTTGGCAAGAGTCTTAGAAGTGGAACTGTTTGTGTTCATGACCCTGGAGTCAGTGTTTGGGGTGGACACTGTGATCCGATTTGTACGGGATTGGAATGACTTGCGGGCTCATCAAGGAAAAAGAGATGGCCACAGGGGGGCAGTCGCACACATGACTTTATTGGGTGACGTTTTGTCAGGTTTGCAGAGAGAAGCCCCTCCCAGCAGGAATCTGTGCAGAGAATAAGCTGCCAGGCTTGCTTCTCGAAACGATGGGACACTGGACAAGGGGCTGTGTGTCTAGGGGACGCCTCACAGCAGCACAGTGGGGAGTTTCTGGTTTAAGGTTTTCATAACTGGGGTTTATCTTACTGCGAGTAGATGTGGTTGAAATTTTCTGGACATGCAAAGTAAGTATTTTCTAAAAGGCTAAAAGTATTCTTCTTTGGGCTGTTGTTAAAATAATTGCATTGTAAAATTTGAGTTTGGAACAGGCCATTAGGAAGTAAACACAGTTTTGGCCGGGCCCGGTGGCTCACGCCTGTAATCCCAGCACTTTGGGAGGCCAAGGTGTGCGGATCACAAGGTCAGGAGTTGGAGACCAGCCTGACCAACATGGTGAAACCGCGTCTCTACTAAAAATACAAAAATTAGCTTGGCATGGTGGCACGTGCCTGTAGTCCCAGCTACTCGGGAGGCTGAGGCAGGAGAATTGCTTGAACCCGTGAGGCGGAGGTTGCATTGAGCCAAGATCACGCCATTGCACTCCAGCCTGGTTGACAGAGTGAGACTCCGTCTCAAAAAAAAAAGAAGTAAACACAGTTTTGAAATAAACAACATGGGGGCCAGGACCCACAGGCCATCTTTAGCTCATTTCTATGTCACTGTTTCTAATTCTGTAGACTTTGTTCTACAGACGGCATTAGTCCATATTTTCCAAACCAACACTACCATGGATGAGGTTGAGTAACACAGAGGCCTGTTCCCCACTTGGGGCACAATGAAGGTTCTTTTTGTTAAAGGGGAGAGTTTATCTTTGCATGCAAGCCACCCACTGAGCATCCCTTCGTGAAGCTGCAGGTCCTGTGACTGGATTCCTGGCTGCAAGGCACCGGGGGTTGAAGCTGTCTGCATTATCTCACTAACTGTAAATTGTCACTCACTGGAGAATATATTCACAGATAAATATTCTGGAACACAGACAGCTCAGGGAATGAAGGCTTCATGAATGTGTATCTTCTGCTTCTGAGAATTCATCTCTCCGGCACTGGAAGAAACAGGGTTGTTCATATGTTGTACCTTCAGACCGTGTTCTAGACCTGTCTAAGCTGACCCTGTTTCCAAATATTTGAGTTATTGTTCTTTACTTTTCCTTGGAAAAAATGTTTAGAAATCCTATAAAACTATATACACAGCTGTGGGAATAAGTGGTGAGTTTTTCCTCTGTGCTTGCTAATCTTTCTGCAGGGCCCACCTCACCTACCAACAAACTGCAGAAAGGGAAGCAATGATTCTCTTTCCTTCCTGAGCATTCTGTGTCCACGTCACTTCAATCTCTGTCTCTGTCTTCAAATCACCTTCTCTTCTGCAGTCTTTGTTAAATGTCTGCCTATCTATCTTATAAGGACAATCGTGATGTCCTTATAAGATAGAGATAGGCAGACATTTTAACAAAGCCTTTTTATTGACCCACCTGGACCAGGGCCCATCTGGTCAATACAGGATGATCTGCCCATTTCATAATCCTTAACTTTCATGTCCGATTAAATTCTGATGAGAAAGCAAAATGGGCTAAAAACTTCATCCTGAAGGAAACATTCATGTTTAATGCACAGGAACTGCAGATGAAGCCTGAGTTCTCCCTCCTCACCAGAGAGTTGGAAAAGCAGGAGGAAGAGGAGCAAAGCTGGGTCCCCGCCTCCATGAGGGCCTCCTAAGGCTGCTCCTGCTCACAGAGGGTGGGGAAGGTGGATAGTCAGCTTGCGCTGCCACACCAAAAACACTGATCTGGATGACATAAACCACAGAATTTAATTTTCATGTTTCACATTTTTGGTGCCCAGATCAATGTCCAGCAGGGTTCGCTTTCTGGTAAAGACCTTCTTCCGGGTTTGCAGATGCCACCTGGGCTATGACCTGATAAATATCTATATACATTTTGCCATGCAACTTTTAAACATAACAGAAATGACACATTGGAATTTTAATTGTACTTACTACGGAATCCATTATCTTTTTTTTTTTTTTTTTTTGAGACGGAGTCTCGCTCTGTCGCCCAGGCCGGACTGCGGACTGCAGTGGTGCAATCTCGGCTCACTGCAAGCTCCGCTTCCCGGGTTCACGCCATTCTCCTGCCTCAGCCTCCTGAGTAGCTGGGACTACAGGCGCCCGCCACTGCGCCCGGCTAATTTTTTGTATTTTTAGTAGGGACGGGGTTTCACCTTGTTAGCCAGGATGGTCTCGATCTCCTGACCTCATGATCCACCCGCCTCGGCCTCCCAAAGTGCTGGGATTACAGGCGTGAGCCACCGCGCCCGGCCGAATCCATTATCTTAAAATAAATCATCTCAAGTATAATTTAAGCCCTTAGCCTGCATCGGGATCTTGTTCTATTAATTCAATCAGTCTTATGTGTCTCTGCACCGTATTATCACAGGTAACAGACATCACTCATTACTCGGAGTCATACAAATGGATTTGGCAGAAAAATCGGATCATGGATGCAGACTAGTGGCAACACAAGTGAAATACATGTTAGAAATGACTCGTTTGGAAATAGTTTTCTACATGTTAGCACTTGGTCATATTGGGAAATTGCCATCTTCCTAGTTTGGAAACTTTCTCTCTCATTTACCACTCACATGAAACTGCCCGCTCTAGCATTATGGTGGAGAAAGCACTATTGCTTTTGTAACAGAAAGCATTTCTGTTAGGTTTTAAAGTTGCATGGCAAAATGTATATAGATATTTATCACACTGCAGCCCTCAAATTAAAAAAGCAGATAAATTTAGTGCACTATTGTCAATGAAATCTATTAAAAGAGACGATTCAAATACATTTTCAGGAAAAAATAGTGTCATGTAAAAATAATGCATTTTTTCATTTTTTAAATCATTTTCTTATGACAGCATAGAACTAAATATTTCTTCTCTAAAATACTATGTCTGTAAAATAATTTTAAAATTCTAAGAATTTGAGAAGGAAATAAAAATCGCATGTAATTCTACATTTTTCCTGTGGTACATCACATAAACTTTATGTTTTACATCTGAATTGTGTTGTTTATTTTCAAAGTCCACTTTTGGAATTGCAAGACCTCCATTTTTCTGTCAGCAAAAGGTAACTGAGGCATGTCAAACTATTTTGGTATTATTATCTTACATTTGACATGGATTTTAAAAATCCGTAAGTGGAAAAAAAATCAAATAGGTTATCTATTTATTCTGAGCCATACTTCCCTGACAGCTGGTGTACAATGCTTTCTCCATCATAATACTAGGGAGGGCAGGTTCATGTGAGTGGTGAAGGAGACAGAAAGTTTGGAAAGTGGGAAGATAGCAATTTCCCAGCATGACCAAATGTTATCATGTGTAAAACTATTCCCAAACCAGTCGTTTCTAACATGTATTTCACTTGAGTTACCACTAACCTGCTTCCATGATCTGATTGTTCTGCCAAATAAATGGACTCGAAAAATGTGGGCAAGAGAGGGAGGATGAGGATGAGTTTTCATTCGCTCTCCCTTCATTAGAGCTGGTTGTTCCCAGAGCACGTGGCCACATGTGACAACTGATGGAGCCTTAACATGTGGGACTGAGGTGCAACTGAGTCTCTCATGGGCCATAGTCCTCAGCAGCAAACTCTGCCCTGAATTCTCCAAGAACCTCCTGTTCTGCAGACCCAGAGACCCTGCTGAGCTGCTCCCCAGACAAGCAGTGCATGTGAGCAGCTGGGATGCCACAGGAGGGAGGTTTCTTTTGGGGGCTGTACCACTGTGGGAGGAGTTTGTAGAGCTTGCATGCAGTGATAAACCCCAACATCTTCAGCCTCCACCCGGCTGATTTTCAGTGTGAAATCAGTGCCTGACCCACTGCCACTGAGCCTGTCTGGGACTGCAGAGGCCCGGTTCAAAACCAAATAGATCAGGAGCTGTAGAGACTGGCCTGGCTTCTGCAGGTACCAAATAGGTTTATTCCCCCCTGTATACAAGGCTGTGACTAGACCTGCAGAAGGAGATGGAGGCCAGCTATCCAGGGGTGACGAGCAGGGAGAGTGGAGTTTGGGTCATCATAATATCCCCACTGGACCCTGAAATAACATGAAAGAAGTGTAAGGTTATATAGACACACTATGAGCAACTTTCATGATTTCCCTTATGATATTCATTTACAGTTACGTATTTTTTCAAGTTTAGATTTATATCATCAAAAGTAGACTTTCTAAAATGAATGCACAATTTACTAGCCAGTACGAAACTCTATTTTCAAGATCTTAACCAGAGCACTGGTCATAGTTCCTTGGAGAATCCTGGTTATTCATAAGGCAAGAATATGAATTCTCTTTCCTGGAGCATAGACCATGTGCCTCTAACACGTTTGAAATAAATATAGGAAGCTGTGGAGCCCCCAGATCTCACCCTCCCACCCCATTTTCCCACCTCATCTTATTTCTATCCTTACCAGGGACCCATAGCATTAGCAGCCCCAGGAGCTGAGCAGGGAGCCTCATTGTGAGAAGGTGAACTGAGGAGTCCCGATCAGTCAAGGCAAGGTTAGAGCTAAGCTTTTATCTCAGACTCACAAGGGAAGGTCCTCCCTAAGGGACAACATGTAAATCACCTGGTGGGTGCAGTGGAGTGGAAAGAGTCAAGGGAAGGGTGAAGGGGCCTCTCTTGTGAGAAAAGTTCCTTAAATGTCTTCTCTGTTTGGAGGGAAACCAACAGAGATAAAATCTATGCTGCATGAGTAGGATAAATTCCCTGACCCTTTCGTCTCCTCTCTTAGATTTCCTGTTTCTTAGCACTTCCCAGGGGCACTTTTCACTTCTCCTTACTAAGGTTGAGATTCCATAAGTAACTGATAATTCTTCTTTCTTTTTTTGTATTTGTTTGAGTCCAGAATTGGCTTTTTCAGTTTTTTATCTTGAGGTAATACACACGCCCAGTAAACAACTGAAATGTTAAATATGCAACTAAGTTTTCTGTATGTTCTCCATCCCAATGAATCTCTAGAATATTTCAAATTCTCCAGATTCATCCCTCATGCACCTTCCCAGGCAACAGCTGCTCCCCAATTTCAGTCAAGGTAACTGGAATTCAGATACTCATCACAATAGCTTGGTTTCCCCTGGCCTAGAATTTCATATAAATTGAAGGAAACACTTTTTTGTTTTTTCCTTGCTTCTTCCTCTTTTCTTTACTGTTTCTGAAATCTTCATTTATTTCTGTGCATTCAGATTACCATCTGCTGTCATTTCCTGTGATTCTGAAAAGTTTCCTCTTGAATATCTTATAGAATATATCTGCAAGTAATCATTTCTCTTCATTTTGTTCATAAAGAAGTGTTTTTACTTTACCTTTATTTTTGAAGCATATCTTCACTCGATATTGAATCCTTGGGTGAGTCCCTTCCACCCAGTATGTAAATATGTAATCTCACTGTCTTCTGCCTCTATTGGTCCCATGAACAGTTCACCAAGTGTTTTATTACTGTTTCTCTGGTATAAGAAACCAGTATTTTCTTGATACATTTGAGATTTTCACTTTGTATGTGATTCTGCATTTTAACTACAATCTGTATAATGATGCATGTCTTGATGTTTATCCTGGATAAGTTTCCATTTTTTTGATCTCATAGACTAATGTGTTTCATTACCCTTGACACATTTCGCAGAATTTCTCAGGTCTCTCAGGTGTGCCACCTCCCAGAGATGCTCTCTGTGTGGTTATTCTCTGCAATTCACTCTACTGTGTTGCTGTACATTCTCTTTTTATGTTATGTCCTAGGTAATTTCCGGAGCAGCCTCAGGCCAGTCTCTGGAGTGTGGGTGCACTTGTAGTGACAGCAGCTCTGGGCTTGGGCCTGGGCTGGTCCACATGGAAGTGGCTCAGGGTCTGAGTTGCCAACACAGGATGAGGTCCCGGAGCCTGGGTTGGGATGATGCAGAGTTGGGGCTGGGAGGCAGCCCCATCCCAGGCCGCACAACAGTGGCTGCTTCTTGGGAGGATGTGGAGGGAAGGTCGCAGAATCTTCCTCTCTGCGGTGATGTACATGCCCATGGCTGCAGATTTTTTTAGTGCCAAAATCACCAGTGTCCTCTTTGGAGCAGGCTGTTGTGATCCTTATTAATGAACACTAAGGGGCCTTCATTAGGAAAGCTGTAGAGTGGAGCTGCCTTGGGGGATACTGAGGTCCTCAGCTGCCAAGGCTGCAGGGTCCTCCACAGAGCAGGCCATGGGGACTGCAGTGGCCCTGCCTCCTAGCTGGTAACACTTGCCTCCTGCTTCTTTGCCCCTGGCTGTCTCAAAACTCTCAGATGTGCCATCTCCCAGCCATCCTTCCTGCATGGTTACTCTGCGCTTTTCTCCCGTTGTGTTCCTGCACTTCTTTAATTGGATTCTGGAGCACTCCAAGGGCTGTTTTCTTTCTTGGATAGCTGTCTAATTGTTGGTTTTGCTATTTTGTGTGTGTTTATGTGTTTTTTTGGGGGGGAGTCCAGATGAAGGCTGGAATCAATGTGAAGCCACTTTTCTTAGGCATTATTAATCTTATTAATCTTATCATGAGTGCAGAGCCCTCATGAGCTAATCACCAAAGAATCCAATGTCTAATACTGTTGTCTTGAAAATTCAGTTTCAACAGGAACTTTGGAGGGGACACAATCAGACCATAGCAGTGATTTAGTAGAAAAAAATATGATAACTGAATTATATTGGATCAATTGGATATCCATATGATGTCAAAATGAATCTTATCCTGCACATTTTACCTCTATATTGATACGCACATTAATTGTAAATCATAACCTGAAATGTAAAGTCAAAAGTATAAAGCTTTTAAACAATACCATAAAAAGATATTTCATGACTATACATGTGAAAAAAGATTTTGTATAGAAGATACACAAAGCACTAAGCACAAAAAAATTAATCAATTAGTTCTCCACTGAAAACTCAAAAAGCCAGAATGGTTTCTTTCTGCCAAATGACTACATCACCTCTCCATCAAGGGTTCACATCCAGGCTGAACCTGAGATGGCTGAAATGACAGAAGTAGAATTTATAATAGGAATAGGAATAAAATTCATTGAGTTGCAGGAGTATGTTGTAACCCAATTCAAGAAAGCTAAAAATAATGAAAAAAATTTTCAGCAGATGACAGACAAAATAGCCAGTACAGAGAAGCACATAACCAGCATGTTAGATCTGAAAAACACACTACAGGAATTTCATAGTGCAATCACAAGTATTAATAGCACAACATACCATGTGGGGAAAAGAATCTCAGAGCTTGAACACTGACTAAGATAAGGTGGGCAGGCAGGAATATAGAAAAAATAATGAAAAGGAATAAACAAAACCTCCAAGAGATATTGGATTATGTAAAGAGACCCATTCTACAGCTGATTGGTATACCTGAAAGGGATGGGGCAAATGAAACAAACCTGGAGAATATATTTCAGGATATCATCTATGAAAAATTCCCCCACCTATCTAAAGAGGCCAACATTCAAATTCAGGAAATTTGGAGAACACAAAAGTAAGATAATCTACAAGAAGATCATTTCCAAGACACATAATTGTCAGATTCTCCAAGGTGAGAAGGAAAGCAAAAATTTTAAAGGCAGCTGGAGAGAAAGGCCAGCTCACCTACAAACAAAAGCCCATCAGACTAACGTGGATCTCTAAGCAGAAATCCTACAAACTGGAAGAAATTGTGGGTCAATATTCAACATCCTAAAGGAAAAGAAACTCCAACCCAGGATGTTATGTCCAGCCAAACTAAGCTTCATAAGTGAAGAGAAATAAGATCCTTTTAAGACAAGCAAATGCTGAGGGAATACGTCACCACCAAACCTGCCTTACAAGAGCTCCTGAAGGAAGCACTAAGTATGGAAAGGAAAGACCATTACCAGCCACTACAAAAACACACTGAAGTACTCAAACAAGTGATGCAATAAAGCAATCACATAAACAAGTCTGTGAAATAACCAGCTGACATCATGATGACACGATCAAACCCACACATATTCATGCTCACCTTAGAAGTAAATGGGCTAAGTGCTTCAATTAAAAGACACGGAATGGAAAGTTGGAAAAAGAACTAAGACTCATTGGTATGCTGTTTTCAAGAGCCCCATCTCACATGCAATGATACACATATGCTCAAAATAAAGGGATGGAGAAAAACCTACCAAGGAAATGGAAAACAGAAAAAAGAAGGGGTTACCGTTTCTGACAAAACAGACTTTAAACAAACAAAGATTAAAAAAAAAGACAAAGAAGTGAAAAATCTTAGGCTTCAGGCAGCTGATGGTGATAGTAAAGTCTGTCTCCAATCCATGACCACTAAACCCCAGGATGCTAGTGGCCCTGTTGGATGTGCCTTAGATGAGGAACCAGGGAGCTTTTCCAGGTTTCTGCTGATACCAGGCTAAGGAGCTGCCAATGCTCTGACTGCACACACAGATGAGAGAGTCTCTTTTCCCTGAAGACAAAGACAAGGAGTCAAGAGACTGCATCAACATAACTTCTCTGGAGGGACATGAGATTAGAATAAAACAGGAAAATCACTCATATAAACTGCATCAAGCCCACAATCTTCATAGTATAACCACAGTCACTAATCTACACTGAATTATAATTACTGTTCTTGCTCAGCAGGGATGCCAGGTCAGAGGAACCAACAAGGTTGAGAGAGTTTCAGTGTAGAGCCATCTCCTCTTCCCCTCACCTGGGAGCTAGAGTACAGGAGGCAGAGAAGCTGAGATGGGGCTTCCATGAGTCTCTCTTGTCCTAACTGAGCAGTGCTTGCCCTGAGTTCTGACCCAGGTATTGATATGGGCTCTGAACAGCAGCATGGCTGGGAGGAACATGCAAAGAAGCATTGGACTTGCTGTGCTTCTAGCTGCAGAGACCACCTGCCTCCTCTTTTTTTCATTGAGAAGCCCCTGCCCAAGTGGTCAGGTCAGAAAGGCTATTGGCTCAGCATGAGGGTAGACCTTCTCCCTTCCGGACTCCCAATTTAATCCCCGTCCTACCTCACCAGTTACCTAGGCTCAGACAGATGGTGTTTAGTACAAACCTCTTGAAAGAAAAAATAAAAATCTATGGTTTCTTTTTCTCTTTCTTCCCCTAACATGCCCAGTCATCTTCCTGGCTGCATGATTGTACCTGGCTGAAGTCATTGATCAGAAATTCATCTTCTATACACACTTTTCCTTTGCAGCTTAGACATCATTTCTATGAGCCCTGAACATTTTCCATTATTTGGAAGAACCAGTAAAGGACATCACTTTGTTAGGCCAAGCACTGTGGGTGCATGAGTGACCACAGCTACAAAGATAAGCAGACTCCAGGCTCAGACTCATCATTGTGTGATTCCACTCTCTGCAGACAGACGATGGTGCTGTCCAGCTGGCCAGGAAAAATTGGGGGTGGTATCTTCTCTTCTCTAAAGCACTCCATTCTGCACAACACAACCATTCACCCACGCTCAGACTCTTTTCCCTTTAACAGTTTTGAAAACCTCTGTTCACACCACTGATGGAAACAAGAATCTTGTCTGGGGTTTTCTTGTGTTCCTCAGAATTGTGAACATGTAGTGGTGAGCGAGGTTCCCCTGAACAGGCTGAGAAGCTCTTTAAATTACATTCCATTTAAAATTATTAATCACAATTGTGGAAATTTGTTTTCTTTCTTATCTAAACATCTAAGTAATGTACTCAGTTTTCTTTCTTAGCTAACAAAACTGAAGTATCAATTATTTTACTCCTGATATAATCTGATATGTTTTGTCTTTTAAATGGAAAGTCAATTTTACTGTAGTTATGACTTGTGTAGTACATAGATCATTATATATGTAATATAATCAATTGAGTACAATAATGTTATATTGCTATTATATGTTTTCAGGAAATAGAACCTAAAATATCACTTGAGAAAAGGATATAAGTTCTGAGAATTATAATTTTCCTTATTTCCTAAAGACTGAGTACGAAAAAGGAATAAAAAAAGGAAAAGGAAACATTTCCATATAACAAGCAGTTTAATCCACTCTTTACAATCTTCCCAGAATTCTAGACATACAGACTGCTGGGAAGAGTGCCCCCCACTGAGCACCTACTGTTTGCCAGGTACTCCCAATACACTGGGATACAGCAATGCAAATAATAGACAATGGCCCCGATCCCATGAAGCTTAAATTCATCTAAAGGGAGTCAGCATATAAAGTGTAAAATCATAAAGAAATAAATTATATATATATATAAGGTAGAATGTGAAAAACGCCTCCAGCAAAAGCATGGAGTAGGGTGTCCTATGAACACATTCAGAGAGATCATTAAGATGGGAAGTTCTAGGTTGTCTTTGGGAGTCAGGGAGGGAGCCCAAGAGGGGTCTGGAGAAAAGCATCACTGCTGAGGGACCAGTGAGTAGAGCTCCAAGCGTGGGACTGTGTGAGCCTTGTTTAGGGCAGAACCAGGAAACCAGAGAGTCAAGTCTGGAGTCCAGTGAGTCAGAGGACAGAACCATGAAAGCGGTTGCATAAGTAACAGGGAGGGTTCAAGGAAGATGGGGCCAGGTAGGAATTGGCCTTTTACTCTGTGTGATGTGGAAACTTTTGTGAGATTTTGACCCTGGAGGAGCACTATTCATCTATTTAAAAGATCACCCTGGCTACTGAATTGGGAGTAGACTGCTGGTGGGTGAGGGGAGAAGCTGGGTGATCTGAGGAGAGCCTGGCCATGGTCTAAGATGAAGATGATGTTGGTTTCACTAGTGTGGAGCAGTGGGGGTGAAGGTGGGGAAATGGTGAGATTTGGGAAACATTTGAGTTCTGAGATTATTGGCTCCCCCTCTGCTGGTTGCAAGGTGTTTTGTGGGATGTGTTGAGCATGCAATTCCTCTAACTTCTCTTGTTTGTTTTTTTTCATGGAGAATTTTTTCTCTGCCTTCTGGTGCTCAGGAAGAAGACTTCTCATTTCCTCTTAGGCTTCTTGTGAGTAACCAAGATTTTGTTCTAGCTCACATTTCCTTTCCCTGCTTGTTCACATCTCCTGAAAGAAGATACCCACGTGCTCTCCACTACGAGGAGTCTCAACCTGCTATCCAAAGGCCTCAGTCTAATGTTTTCTTTTTTGCCTTCATATTATTTTCTTGTTTCCTTGTCATTATCTTAGGAGTCACATAAAGTAACATTTTTCTGTGATTCTTAGCTATTGAAAATGCCATTTTAATCACACTACTTCCCTCCCTTAATGTCTATTAATGAACTTCTCGAAGGTGTTAAGAGACAAAACCATGTGCTCAAATTGTTGCACAGGGACCACTCCACTCTCTAGCAGCACTTCTGGGGCCTCTCACAGAGTGTCCCATCCAGGTAGCCCTGCAGAATCCCCGTCTTGTCACACTCCTCACTGACTTCTGTGAGTCAGATTTTCTGAGTAGAATCCTGGCTTACAATTTGGATGTAATGCGCCCCTTGGAGGCATTTCATGACCTCTCCCTGCCTCAGTATTGTCAGCTGAAGATGAGAATAAAACATACTTGTCATAAAAAGAGTTAGTTCAGTTCACGACACATAAAAACCATTCAGCTGACGGCAGCTGCATGAGAAAGCCCAGGCCAGGCAGCAGAAAAACCTCCCAACCAACCCATAGAATCACAACAAATAATAAATTGTTGTTTCACTCCTTTAAGTTTTGGAGTGCTCTTATATGCTGCAAGAAAATGGAAAAATTAATATATCAATCCAGGTAAAGCACCTGTCTAGGAAACACCTTAGCTTCACAACCCTTTGCCTCTCCCTCTTTGTAGATCAGGTGTAAACTTGAAGTAATAACTCTTCAATCTTCCCCTGTATCAACAGGCCAGAAATCACAGACTCTGAGAACAAAGACAACTATAATATGAACGCTTCACACTCTCAGATTATGGCTTCTGCAGGAAGCAAGTGTCTTTGCATCAGGGCAGAATCTTCCATCCAGAAAGGGTATTTTTGGTTGGGGACTTTTCACTGTAAGAAGCCAACTGAAGGGCTGCTGGCAGGAAAACACTCCAGCATCTTCAGCTTTCACTCCATGGATGGAGAGGGAGAAGCAAAAACCAGAAACTTCCCTGGAAACTGGAAGCGGTTCCAGCAGCCTGGGAAGAAGCCCCAAAGAGCAGCAGACTGGAAGCCTCCTGGGATCTCTGCTTGTCCTAGGTGATGGAGGTGCCTACATCTGTGCTGTTTCTGCAGGTGATAGAGACAAAGTCACCTCCAGATGCTGCTAAGGTCTCCGGAGATGGAGTTGAGATAGTCTGTCCCCTGCATCCTGCAAGGACACCCTATTCAGGAGCACAATGCATTACTTCTCTCAAAGGATTTCTAGAAACCTGTCCTGTTCCTTAGAAGACCCTGTCATGCTTAAACATGACAGAAATTAGTACTCCTGGGCCCTCACATCTTTGCATTTGATCAGAATCAAGATAGAATTGGCTGGGGAGGGGTTCTCAGGACAAGGGCACCTATGAAAGGGGATACAAGCATGGTAGAGCCCACCCTGAGGGGCTAATGGTCAGGTCCATTCTTCACAGCCTGACCAGAACCACAGTGAGCTCTGAAGAGAGGTGGACATGGGGTGTGAGCAGGGACAGAGGATCCATGGTCCTCAGGGAGGCTGGGAACAGGTTCAGGGCTGTATGCACCTCTGCCTCCTGGTTAGCCCTGGACTCTGTGCCTCAGTTTCCTAATGAGAGTTAAGGCAAATCACTTCTATATGTTACACTATAATTTCCAAAGCACATTTGAGCTCATTATCCCCATGTCAAGGGCTAAAGCCCCTGCATGGTCTGCAGTGGGAAATGCACTCACCCTGAAAGCCCATCACCAAGAGGCAGAGGAGCAGGGCCAGGAAGAGCATCTTGGAGTGTCCAGGGAACCTGCTGCTTCTAGACCTAAGGGCAAGGGGAGTGTGGATGGGCAGGTCATTCCTGTCATGGCTCTGTATAAACAGGTTGCACATCCCAAGATTTAAATAAGCACAGATTTCCTTGGAGTCAAGGCCTGATGACCTTAAGCAGAGCCCCTCTCCAGGAGTCTCCCAGGGCAGGCAGGCTCACTCCACCTGTGGCTGCCAGGAAGTGGTGGGGGTGACGTAGATGCCTCGGGTCCCATGGTGGCTGAGGCTGGACTGAGCAGGGCCAGTGATGCTGCCCCATTCCCAGGGTTCCACTCCAGAGGCTGGGACAGGGGTCACCCCAGAGCCAGCCAGATGTCTGCAGAGAGGCCTCTGGATGTTCTATTTTTATGCCACTAAATGTTTGGCAATTTGTTACAGCAGCCCTAGAAAAATAACACAAAAAGTGCTCAGGGAAAATCCAGACTAAAGATGCAATGGCCATTTCCGATCTTCTTGTTTAACTATCAACTCTATACATAAATGGATTGGTGGGGAATTTTATGGTAGAAAAACTTGGCAAATGTGATGAAGGATCTTGAGAACTGAATACTATCTTGGAGTATTTTTGGACCCCATGTAATCATAATTGTCTGCATAAGAGGGAGGAAGGAGGGTCAGATTTGGAGAGGAGATGTGACTATGAAGAAGCTGAGTGATGTGAGGGAAAGGCCATGGCCAAGGAAAGACAGCAGCCTCTAGAAGATGGAAAAGGCAAGAAAACAAACTCTTTCCCACAGGGAAGCTTGATTTTAGCCCAAAGACACCTGTGTGAGATTTCTCTCTTCCAGAATTGTGAAAGAATGATTCTATGCTATTTGAAGCCAGTAATGACATAGTGATTTGTTACAGCTGCTATAGGAAACTCACACAAGGTGAAAGAATGGCATTTGCCTCTCTGAGAAGATGTTTCTCTCTGATCTCTCAGCCTTTTCCAACTTGTTAGCCTTTGGTTTCAATTTGGACAAGAGACAGAGCACAGTTTACTATAAGGAGAGCTAGCACCAGAATTCCACGTAGGGAGAAAATCTCCTGGGTAAACCCCTAGATTGAGTTTTGTACACTGCAGGTGTCTGAGAGCCTAGGGGTCAGATCTCATTACTCCTGAGGAGGGTGGGATTTCCTAGTAGGAGGACAAATTAGATTTGCAGGACACAATCTAATTAGGAAGAAAGAGGGAAGGCTGGAGTCAGAGATGGAAACTAATGGAAGAGAGGAGGAAGGCTCAGGGCAAGGAAAGATGTGACCCTTCCCCCAAGTCTGAAATAAAGCTGTTCAGAGATTTAAAGTCTTTGAGAAAGTTGCATTTTTGCAGAAGAAACTGCAGAAGGGGCTGATTTTAAGTTCCTTTTGCCATATAAGGCTAATTTTATGGTTCCAGAGGGTAGAAGGTGAACATCTTTTCATGGGGGGATAGTAATTTACTCAGACTACCAAACCCCCTAATTGTCTGCCAGCTGCCTTCCTTAAAGAAGAATCCAAAGCCTCACGGCTGGGAGAAGGGAGAACAGGGAGCAGCCAGCAGCTTTATAAAGCAAGAGAGCTGAAGGGATCTGAGTCAGGGCCCTCTGGTCTGGGTGTTTCCTGGGCTGGAAGATTCTTCTCCTGCTGCTCTAATGTGGACCTCATAGTGTGGAGCTATTTGTTAGGGGCTCCTCTGATGTTGTGACCCAGAAGAAAGGAATTGCTATTTAATCAGAATCTATGAGAGACTGATAAAACAAATTAAATGTTTTAGACATTTTCTAAATTTCTCTATCCATTATAAGAGGAGAAGTATCAACAATTTGATGACACCTCCACTAATGAGGATTTGCCTATAGTCTTAGGTTGGGTTTCTAACGACAAGGATTCCCATGTGAGCACCATAATTACAAGCTGCAGGAAACCCTGAGACTGAAGGCAGAAAGTGAGGCAGGGAAGAGATGATGGACAGTGAAAGGCCTGTCAGCCAGCAGCTACCCATGAGGACCACAAGAGCTGAAGCCCACATGGAAACATAAGAGAATGCCTCTGGGCTATTCCACCTGAGAGGTGAGGGAGTTGGGGTATTTATACACGTCACCTGTTCTCACTGATTGAGGGCTGTTCTAGGTGATGCACATTTCAGGCCCTGAGATCTGCCACATGTGCAAGCAGAGCTGCTTCCCCAGCTTCAGAGACAGCAGGGAGGCACAGACATGGCCATGAGGGGTCAGCAGAAGTACAGTGAATGAAAAAGGCTGCGGGAAAAGTCAAAGAGGGCAACGTCCATAAAGAAAAGGTGTGGTTGTTAAATCTGGATCATCTGCATGTGCTAGTTCCCTCTGGAATAAGATGCTGGCTGTTCACTTGTAAGCAAATGCTACAGAATTCAGGCAGGCCCTCCAAGCAGAGCATCAGCAGCCCTGAACCTGGGCTTCCCAGAAATGTCTGAAGACCACACGATTGGCAATTACACCTTCTGTGGAAGATGCACTCTGGATTCTTGAGGAGATCCAAATAATCTTTCTCTTGTAGTATTTGCATCTTTGACTACTATGCCCCCAAGCCTTTTAAAAGCTGTTGTTTAGACTCTCATTCCCTATATTTAGAAAAATAATCCTACTTGGAATTTCAAGAGTGGCTTATTCTTTGAGATATTAATTACAACTGACACCATAACTCAGACTCCTCAGGTGTAATAATCACTTCTTAATGAAATCAGGAGAGACATTGCCATGTCTGTGCTACTGGGGATGAGGAGAAGGAAAGACTGTTAAGGTATACAGGAGACTTCATAGACCCTTCTACCAAAACTTTCCAATGACCTTCAAAGTTTGACTGCAATTTGAGAATTGCTCTCAGCAGATGAGGGCACCAGGAGGAGCAGCAGGGGCAGCCCAGCCTCACACATCTGCTTCCCTGTGTGGTTTATGTTATCACTTGCAACACAGTAGGAGGGTAACTGTAATGCTGTTGATAGTAATAAGTGGCCAAATCATCACGCTGCAGGCTGCAGGCTGCTGATGGTGAGAGTGAAATCTGTCCCAGATTGACTGCTACTGAACCAGGATGGGACCCCCGTCTGCAGTTTTGTTGCAGCATGAATTAGGAGAGTAGGGGCTTTCCCTGGTTTCTGCTGATACCAGACTAATTTATTACTAATGCTGTGACTCACCTGGCAAGTGATAGTGACTCTGTCTCCTACAGATGCAGACAGGGAGGATGGAGACTGGGTCATCTGGATATCACGTCTGGTACCTGAGGTTGGAAACATAAAAACAAACATCTACATAATCAATCATTTATAAGAAGCCCTCCCTGAAGAGCCAGGCTGTACTGAGCACACTGGCTGAGTAAATTCCTAGTGTTCTCCTTCCTTACCTGGCAGCCAGAGCCCCAGGAGCCCCAGGAGCTGAGTGGGGGCCCTCGCGTCCGTGCTGTGTCCTGACTGGGGCTGACTCCTGCACAGGGTGTGACCAGCCTATTAAGAAGTCTTCAGGGCAGGGGGCTGTGCTCTGGGAACATGCTAATCAGCAGGGAGTGGAGCAGGCTGGGCATAGCTGCAGGGCTGGCTCATCTCAGTAACTCAGCATAGGAACAATGTCCCTAGGGTCCCAGGTCAAACCAGGGCAGTACAGATATGTCTGTAAATAACGTGTTTCTTCCTGGGGACCACTTTGTCACAGAGCACATTTTTTGATACTTCTCAAAATTTGAAATACTGCTGAGTACCTGATGAAATAATATATTCCATTGGTGTATTGGGATTATTTAGGAGAATATTCTTCTCTGTAGGAAAATGATAGTAAAGTTTTAGAGGGTGTGATCATCGGGTATTTGATATACTCTGAAAGGGAAGGGGATACATTGTGGTATACTTACAACATTTCTGTGAGTGTGAAATTGTTTCTTCCCTTTAAAAAAATTTATCAAGATAATGCTAAATATATTTCAGTATTTAAATACTTTCAGTATTTTGGAATGACTTTAATTCATTATTATGATTATCACTATCTGTTCAAGCAATTCCCTGCAGATGCACAAAGATGATACCCTCAACCTCAAAGCATGTATTGCTCACAGATCTACCATTATCCAAACCTATGGACCTCTTTAACGCCAGGGATTTTATGGAATGCATCTTATTTTTGGTTTCAGGGCCTCCATATTCTATTCCTGTTTCTGTCATTGGTTATTTCTTCCCAGGATTCATCAGCATGAAGGGCTGAGTAGTGATGCTAGACCTGACTACTTAAAAAATAAAAAAAAAGTCACTTGTTTCTTCCTCCAATTATAGAAGCATGGATTAGGATAAACTTGAAATTATTCAGGGATCAATTGTCTCCAAAAAAAGACTAATGCCATATTCCCTGAGTAATGGTCTGGGCTGCACTGCCCACTAGCATGTTCCTGGGGACTCAGGAGGAGCTCCTCTGGAGCCTGGATTCCTGGAGATCAGGTGACGGGGAGAGCTTGGGAAAGACCAGGACAGTGAGTCTTCCCTCCTAGTGAGGGCAGCTGCTGCTCAGGGCATATCCCTGCCTTGCACTATCAATGCCACTTTCTTTCCTCTTTTACTCTTTAGCAGTGAGGGAAGGTCATCCTAACCCAGGTGCCAGCCTCCTGTCTCACATCTAGGACAGAGAGTCTCCATCTCCTTTCCAGTAAGTACCCATGTATATGGAGAAATCACTTGGATTTGGACAAAACTGAACACAGATTCGCATCCATTATATGTCACATCTTTAACAGGGGCCAAGGCATCTCAGCCTGGTGCAGTCGTAGAGGAAGTGGATTGAACTACATCAGCATCAGTGGGCTTCAGCCTGGGGTTCTGGGGAGTATTACTGATGCCTGACTAGGAGTGGTCAAATCACTTTAGTGGAGACTCTGCATACACCCTCCTGCTGCCTATTCAGGGGCCTGAACTTGGGGGAACGTACTTGTTTTGAGGGAAAAACGGAAACTTCCTACATTTATATATATATATGTATATATGTGTGTGTGTGTGTATATATATATGTGTGTCTGTGTATATATGTGTGTGTGTATGTATGTGTGTATATGTATAAATCTCCTGTTAGTTCTGTCCCTCTAGATGTCACTGGCTAATACAGGAAGTTTATTAAGTATTAACTCACACAATCACAAGGTCTCCCAATAGGATGTCTGCAGGCTGTGGAGCAAGGAGAGCCAGCCAGAGTTCCAAAACTGAAGAACTAGGAGTCCATGTTCGAGGGCAGGAAGCATCCAGCACGGGAGAAAGATGTAGGCTGGGAGGTGAGGCCCATCTCTTTTCACATTTTTCTGCCTGCTTATAGTCTAGCTGTGTTGGCAGCTGACTGGATTGTGCCCACACAGATTAAGGGCGGGTCTGCCTTTCCCAGCCCACTGACTCACATATTAATCTCCTTTGGCAACACCCTCACAAACACACCCAGGACCAATACTTTACCTCCTCAATCCAATCAAGTTGACACTCAGTATTAACCATCACAAGCCCACCCCTTGTCACCTTGAACACATACACATCTCCTGAGATCATACCTAATCTTAAAATAAAGACAATAATGTGGTCGTAATTACACCTAACATAACTATCCTTCCTACAACCGGAAACGCACCAATCGCCAACCCAAATACTATTACATAAAGTGAACAATGCTTAAATGCTGATATGAAGTCAATAACTCTTATGTCACCTGATAAAGAAAAAGGAAATGAAATCAAGATATTTTCTTAGTACAAGTGTATACATGCACAAAGATGTTTTTTAAGAAAAGAAGAAAGAAATACTCATGACAGTTCCAGTCCTCATTTCTGCAGCTGGTCACATGGTCACAGCTGGTATTGATTACTACCTTCTTCCATTATTCATTCTGTATTTCCTTTGCCTTTAGCAAGCACCTCAGCAGGTTGTGACCCCGGAGGGATCTGGACCATTTAGGTCTTACCTGGGTTGGGCTGTTGTAGTTTCCCATTGACCTTAATCAGAGTGCATGATAATCCCAAGAGACGCCCTAATGGATCTCCTGTATTCCACGCATACTCTTCCTCACTTCCATTGTGGAGTAGTGGACTGACTTCATCTTGATAGTCTGGGTCAATCACCGCAGCCAACACTGTAACTCCATTCTTATCCTGTTAACTTAAAGGTAGGAGGAGCCCAAAGTGCCCAGCTGGCCATCTTAACTTCCCATTTAATGGAATCATTATTTTGTCTCTTGGTGGCAGCATTCCTCCCTCTGGAACTAAGATGTCTAGTAAAGCAGGACGTAATGTCGCGGGAACAGAAAGCAAACATTTTGCTAGTGGATCACTAGGGGTGACAGTGAGTGGTTCCACTTTCACTTCCACCCCTTGATTCCTGGACCTGTAAATCCTGGCTATGGGAGAAACAGTACCATACATTGGGCGCTGATTCAGAGCCTACAAGGCCTTCTGGAGTACTTTGCCCCAGCCCTGCACAGTATTGTAATTTAGTTGGCATTGTAATTGTGACTTCAAAAGGCCATTCCACTGTTCTATCAATCCAGCTGTTTCAGGATGATGGGGAACATGGTAAGACCAGTGAATTCCATGAGCATGAGCCCACTGCCCCACTTCTTTACCTGTAAAGTGAGTGCTTGGTCAGAGGCAATACTGTATGGAATACTGTGATGGTGGATAAGGCATTCCGTGAGTCTGTGAATGGTAGTCTTGGCAGAAGCATTGCGTGCAGGTAGGCAAACCCATATCCGGAGTAAGTGTCTATTCCAGTGAGGACAAACCTCTGCCCTTTCCATGATGGAAGAGGTCCGATATAATCAACCTGCCACCAGGTAGCTGGCCGCTCACCACAGGGAATGGTGCCATACAAAGGGCTCAGTGTTGGTCTCTGCTGCTGCTGGCAAATTGGGCACTCAGCAGTGGCCACAGTTCAGCCTTGGTGAGTGGAAGTCCACATTGCTGAATCCATGCATAGCCTCCATCCCTGCCACCATGGCCACTATGTTCATGGGCTCATTGGATGATGACAGGGGTGTCTGGGGAAAGAGGCTGAGTGGTATCCACAGAACGGGTCATCTTATCCACTTGATTATCAAAATCCTCCTCTGCTGAGGTCACCCGTTGGTGAACACTCACATGGGATACAAATATCTTCACAGTTTTTGACGACTCAGAGAGGTCTATCTACATACCTCTTCCCCAAACTTCTTTGTCACCAATTCTCCAATCATGCTTCTTCCAAGTCCCTCACCATCCAGCCAAACCATTGTCTACAGCCAATGAATCACTATATGAAAACACATCTCGTCATTTCTCCTTCCATGCAAAGTGCACAGCCAGGTGCACTGCTCAGTGTTCTGCCCACTGGGAAGATTTCCCTTCACCACTGTCCTTCAGAGATGTCCTGGAAAGGGGCTGTAGTGCTGCAGCTGACCGCTTTTGGTGGTGCCTGAATATCATGCAGAACCATCTGTGAACCAGGCCCTAGTCTTCTCTTCCTCCCTCAACTGATCATAGGGAGCTCCCCATGAGGCCATCGGTGCAGGCTGTGGGAGAGAAGGAAGGGTGGCAGGAGTAGAGACCATCAGCATTTCAGCTACTTCCTCACGTAACTTACTTGTGCCCTCAGGACTTACTCAAGCCGAGTCACATATATACCGCTTCCATTTGATGACGGAATACTGCTATGCATGACCCACTCTATGGCTAGATGGGTCAGAAAGCACCCACTTCATGATGGGCAGTTCAGGTCGCATGGTGACTTGTTGACCCATAGTCAAATGATCAGTTTCCATCAAAGCCCAGTAACAGGCCAAGAGCTGTCTCTCAAAAGGAGAGCAGTTATCTGCAGAAGATGGCAGGGTCTTGCTCCAAAATCCTAGAGGCCCCCATGGTGATTCACATATGGGGGTCTGCCAAAGGCTCAGAACAGCATTTCTATCTGCCACGGACACCTCAAGCACCATTGGATCTGGTGGGTCATATGTCCCAAGTAGCAGAGTGGCTTGCACAGCAGCCTGGACCTATTGCAGAGCCTTCTCTTTTTCTGAACCCCAGTGAATATGGGCAACCTTTTGCGTCGCTGAATAAATGGGCGGGAGTAACACTCAAATGAGGAATGTGTTGCCTCCAAAATCTAAACAGGCCCACTAGGTGTTGTGCCTCTTTCTTGGTTGTAGGAGGAGCCAAATGTAGCAGCTTGTTCTTCACCTTAGAAGGAATATCTCAACAGACCCCACACCACTGTACTCCTAGCAAGTTTACTGAGGTAGAAGATCCCTAAATTTTAGTCAGATTTATTTCCCATCCTCTGGCACACAAATGTCTCACCAGTAAGTCTAGTGTGTTTGCTATTTCTTGCTCACAGGATCCAACCAGCATAATGTCATTAATGTAATGGACCAGTGTGATATCTTGTGGAAGCAAAAAGCGATCAAGTTCTCTTCAAATAACATTATGACACAAAGCCAGAGAATTGACACACCCATGAGGTAGGTCAGTAAAGGCATATTGCTGGCCTTTCCTGCTGGAGACAACTTGCTTCTGGTGGCCCTTATGGACAGGAATGGAGAAAAAGGCATTTGCCAAGTCAATGGCTGCATACCAGGTACAAAGAGATGTGTTAATTTCCTCAAGCAATGAAACCACACCTGGTACATCAACTGCAATTTGAGTTACCACTTATGTAAGCTTACAATAATCTGCAGTCATTCTCCATGATCCATGTGCCTTCTGCACAGTCCAAACAGGAGAGTTGAATGGGGATGTGGTGGGAATCCCCATCCCTGAATCTTTCAAGTCCTTGATGGTGGCACTAATCTCCGCAGTCCCTCAAGGGGTGTATTATTGTTTTTGATTTACTATCTTTCTAGGTAGAGGCAGCTCTAATGGCTCCCATTTGGCCTTTCCCACCATAAGAGCACTCACTCTACCAGTTAGGAAGCCAATGTGGGGGTTCTGCCAGCTGCTAAGTATGTCTATGCCAAATATGCATTCTCGAACTGGGGAAATGACCACAGGATGAGTCCAGAGACCCACTGCACCCACTATGTTGGACCTCAGCTAAAACTCCATTAATTACCTGACCTCCATAAGCCCCTACTTTAGCTGGAGGACTGCAATGACGTTGTGCGTGGAATCAACGTCAGCTCAGAGCCAGTGTCCAGGAGTCCCTGAAATATCTTATCATTTCCCTTTCCCCAATGCACAGTTACCCTGGTAAAAGGCCAGAAGTCTCTCTGGGGAAGGATGGGAGAAAGATTAACTTCATAAATGGTCAGTAATGTAGTGGGTTCCTTCCTCAAGGAGACCCGGCCTCCCCTTCATTCAAGGTGTTCTGGGTCTGTAAAACTTGGTGTTCCAAGTCTGGAAATTGATGGAGGGGCCATGAATCTCTGTTTTTATAATTCCAATTAGTCTTTTGTCTGTTTGACCTAGAAATCTTCTCCTTATATAAATTAAGTAGGACTGCATTAGACTTCCTATCAATTTCACTTCTAGGAACACAATGATTAATTAGCCAATGCCAGAGCTCTACATGAGTCAGACTATTCTGATTGCTGCTTTATCTCTCCTGTCCATTACTGTAGCTATGTTCACCATGCCTTTGAGGGTTGAGTGCCACCACTTGGCCCCTGCCACCTCAGGGTCCAATTATTCCCAATTGTATTTAAATTTTGTAATTGAGTGACTGCAGTTCTCTCCATTAGATTTGACATACAGAGAAGAGCCATTATAGGGCTCTTCAAAGATGCAGGTGCTTCCTCACAAATCTATTTTGCAAAGTGTTTGTCAAGGGTATTAAGTATAGAGTCACTAAACTCCTTGCCTGTCATCAGTGATGATTCAGGAGTGTCAAATGTATTTATTTTGCGTAACTCTCTAAACCGTTCATGTCAAGGACTATCAGTGTTCTCTATACTATTAGAAGTTCAATCCTTAGCATTTTGGGGTCTAATCATATTACACAGCCAACTCCAGAAACCCCACAACCAATGAAACTCCAGAAACACCAAAACTAATGAAAGAACTCCTTTCTTAATATTCTATTCCTATAGAACCACTCCTGGTACCAAAATCTGTATTACTGAGGATTCTCTAGAGGGAGAGAATAGGATGCGTGTGTGTGTGTGTGTGTGTGTGTGTGTGTGTGTGTGTGCATATATTTATATATTATATATATGACATACATATGTAAGTTAATATGTAATATAACCAATACATAATAAATTCATATGATATATGTGAGTCTACATATAACTCATATTATATATATGGATTTATATAGAACTCACATATATGAGTTTATTACTTATTACTTTACAGGATCACAAGGCCCCACAATAGGCTGTCTGCAGGCTTGAGGAACAAGGAGAGACAGTTTGAGTCTCCAAATTGAAGAACTTGGAGTCCAATGTTCGAGGGCAGGAAGCATCCAGCACAGGAGAAAGATGTAGAAAAGCTAGCCAGCCTCACTTTTTCATCTTTTTCTGCCTCCTTTATATTCACTGTCAGCTGAATAGATGATGCCCATCAGATTAATCGGGGGGTCTGCCTTCCCCAGCCTACTGACTCAAATAATAATCTCCTTTGGCAACACCCTCACAGACACAGCCAGGAACAATACTTAACATCCTTCGATCTAATCAAGTTGACACTGTACTAACTATCACAGGATTACAGGCCTGAGCCATCATATACAGCTTTGTTGTATATTTCATACAATTTCCTGATTTTCCCATTTTATCTATGACTTAATAAAGTTTTCTTGCTATGACCCCAAACATGCTGGTAATAGTTGAAAGCACATTCAAACATATTCTGGGATAAATCGTAACTGGCAAAATTTTGAGCCTTGTGGAAAAAATCACCTTACTTGCCTGTGAGCTGTCAATTCCCCATCATTACTATCACTTCTAGGAGCACATTTTCCAAAACCCCTTTTCTCTCTATGGTTTCTTTAGTGTTGTTCAACGAGAGGCGCTCCCATGAGATTGGGAAGTCAGAGTGGTGGATTCATGTACACTGACACCTGAAGTAAAACACGTGGAGTTACCGATCCCACAGAAATACAAACTATCATCAGAGAATAATATAAACACTTCTACGCAAATAAACTGGAAAATCTAGAAGAAATGGATAAATTCCTAGACACATACACCCTCCCAAGACTAAACCAGGAAGAAGCTGAATCTCTGAATAGGCCAATAACAGGTTCTGAAATTGAGGCAATTATTAATTGCATACCAACCAAAAAAAAGTCCAGGACCAGATGGATTCACAGCCAAATTCTACCAGAGGTACAAAGAGGAGCTGGTACCATTCCTTCTGAAACTATTCCGGGTCAACAGAAAAAGAAGGAATCCTCCCTAACTCATTTGATGAGGCCAGCATCATCCTGAAACCAAAGCCTAGCAGAGACATAACAAAAAAGAGAATTTTTGGCCAATATCTCTGATGAACATCAATGTAAAAATCCTCAATAAAATACTGACAAATCGAATCCAGCAGCACATCAAAAAGCTTATCCACCATGATCAAGTCAGCTTCATCCCTGGGATGCAAGGCTGGTTCAACATACACAAATCTATAAACATAATAAATCACATAAACAAAACCAATGACAAAAAACACATGATTATCTCAATAGACGCAGAAAAGGCCTTTGACAAAATTCAACAGCCTTTCATGCTAAAAACTCTCAATAAACTAGGTATCAATGGAACGTATCTCAACATAATAAGAGCTATTTATGACAAACCCACAGCCAATATCATACTGAATGTGCAAAAACTGGAAGCATTCCCTTTGAAAACTGACACGAGACAGGGATGCCCTCTCTCACCACTCCTATTCAACATAGTATTGGAAGTTCTGGCCAGGGCAGTCAGCCAAAAGAAAGAAATAAGGGGTATTCAAATAGGAAGAGAGGAAGTCAAATTGTCTCTGTTTGCAGATGATGTGATTGTATATTTAGAAAATCCCATAGTCTCAGCCCAAAATCTCCCTCAGCTGATAAGCAACTTCAGCAAAGTCTCAGGATACAAAATCAATGTGCAAAAATCACAAGCATTCCTATACACAATAATAGACAAACAGAGAACCAAATCATGAGTGAACTCCCATTCACAACTGCTACCAAGAGAATAAAATACCTAGGAATCCAACCTACAAGGGATGTGAAGGACCTCTTCAAGGAGAACTACAAACCACTGCTCAAGGAAATAAGAGAAGACACAAACAAACAGAAAAACATTCCATGCTTATGGACAGGAAGAATCAATACCGTGAAAATGGCCATATCGCACAAAGTAATTTATAGATTCAATGCAATCCCCATCAAGCCACCATTGACTTTCTTCACATAATTAGAAAAAAACTACTTTAAATTTCATATGGAACCAAAAAAGAGCCTGCATAGTCAAGAAAATCCTAAGCAAAAATAAACAAAGGTGGAAGCATCACGCTACCTGTCTTTAAACTATACTAAAAGGCAACAGTAGCCAAAACAAGATGGTACTGGTAGCAAAACAGATATATTGACAAATGGAACAGAACAGAGGCCTCAGAAATAACACCACACATCTACAACCATCTGATCATTGACAAACCTGACAAAAACAAACAATGGGGAAAGGATTCCCTAATTAATAAATGGTGTTGGGAAAACTAGCTAGCCATATGCAGAAAACTGGAACAGGACGTCTTCCTTACATGTTATACAAATTAAAGACTTAAATGTAAGACCTAAAACCATAAAAACCTGAGAAGAAAACCAAGGCAATACCATTCAGGACATAGGCATGGGCAAAGACTTTATGACTAAAACACCAAAAGCAATGGCAACAAAAGCCAAAATGGAAAAATGGGATCTAATTAAACTAAAGAGCTTCTGCACAGCAAGAGAAACTATCGTCAGAGTGAACAGGCAACCTACAGAATGGGAGAAAATTTCTGCAATCTATCCATCTGACACAGAGCTAATATGCAGAATCTACAAAGAACTTAAACAAATTTACAAGAAAAAAAACAAACAACCCCATCAAAAATAGGAGAAGGATATGAACAGACACTTCTCAAAAGAAAACATTTATGCAGCCAACAAACACATGAAAAAATGCTTATCATCACTTGTCATTAGAGAAATGCAATCAAAACCACAATGAGATACCATCTCATGCCAGTTAGAATGGCAATCATTAAAAAGTCAGGAAACAACAGATACTGGAGAGGATGTGGAGAAATAGGAACTCTTTTACACTGTTGGTGAGAGTGTAAATTAGTTCAACCATTGTGGAAGACAGAGTGGAGATTCCTCAAGGATCTACAACCAGAAATACCATTTGACCCAGCCATCCCATTACTGGGTATAAACCCAAAGGATTATAAATTATTCTACTTAAAGACACATGCACACGTATGTTTATAATGGCACTGTTCACAATAGCAAAGACTTGGAACCAATCCAAATGCCCATCAATGATAGACTGGATAAAGAAAATGTGGCACATATACACCATGGAATATGATGCAGTCATAAAAAGGTTGAGTTCATGTCCTTTGCAGGGACATGGATGAAGCTGGAAATCATCATTCTCAGCAAACTAACTCTAGAACAGAAAACCAAAACCGCAGGTTTTCACTCATAAGTGGGAGTTGAACAATGAGAACACATGGACACAGGTGACAGGAAGCAGCAGAAAGGCCCTGGGAGCTCGCTGGGTCCCCAGGCAGCCCATTCCTGCCTGGTACTACACACCAGGGCAGGTTTTCTCATTTGAAAACAAGATAAGCTAAAATGTATATTTTAAATGTATAACCAATAATTTGGCAAAGTAAAATTATAAATGCTGATTTTTACATGAATACTGAAACTTAATGTTGTGTTAATATACCTTCTCTTTAATTTTTCAATACTTTTCAGCTGCCTTCATATACAGTAATCATTAAACATTAAAGTGTATATATAATTGCCAGATTTTTCCCTTTCACCTTGGGATGTGTCTCAGCCAGGCACATCCAGTGTCCCCAAATATTTAAAGGTCCTGATATACAGTATTTTCATTTTACAGCTGTGTGTCCCCTTTGCCTGGGTCTGCTCCAGGACTGCTCCTCAGAAATAATCTTGAATCTGCAACAACCACCACAGCTAGCATTTCCAGCCTGCAATACTGGAAGTGCAGTCCTTTGATAAACTGAGTCTTGCTCAGATATTACCTGATGGGGAAAAATTAAGCCCTATGGGAATAGTCCAGAGAATGTAGGATTCTTCTCATGTGGGAAGCCTTGCTGTGGAGGCCCTCCTCAGCAGAACCGGATGGGAACTTTGCCTGGATCCTCACTTTTGCTGTATTTTCCTTCCTCTGAACAGGTGCTTCCCCAGGAATGGAACACACGCGCACACCGCAGGGCCCACGTGCCCCCTGCTTGCTGCTAAGAGCAGTGTAATTTCATTGTTTAACAGAGACCCTGATCCTGAATCACAGTCACTCACTCAACTGTCAGATTATTCAATCATATAATTTTCAAAGTTCAAGTAGAAATGGAGCACAGTATTCTGGGAGTTGATGACAGTGGATGATTATAACAAGAATGAAAGTACCATGTCAAGATACAAAAGTCAATTAATTTCTTTTGTAGTGGAAATAAAATTTAAAATAAAGGAAAGTAGCCATCAGATGGAAAAATAATTAACACAGATGCAGTTTCCACCTTACACAATTTATGAAAAATATTCCACAGATGTAAACTGCAAAACTATAACAATTCTAAAAACAATCAAAGGAGAAATCTATATAACCTTGAATTTGAGGATGAGATTTCATATGCAACATTGAAAGAATGAATCTTCAGAGAAAAAAAAATATGGTGGACTTTGTCAGAATTAAAAAATTCTACTCTGTGAAAGACACTGCTGAGAGAAGGAAAAGACAAGCCCCAGACCATAAGAAAATACTTTCCAGACACATATCTAAGAAATGACTTGTATGAAAAGGACCTGTAAAATCAATAATAAGAAAACAAACTTAAAAATATATATAAATATATAAACAGACACCTCACTAATTAAGGTACATATATAATATAGGCATAAAAAGGTGCTCAATATTACTTAACATTAGAGAAAAGGAAATTAAAACAAAAATGAGAAACGATTACTTGCACAGCAATCCCAATTGCTGATCATGTTTGAAACAGCAGGAATTCTCATTCATTGCTGTTGTTCATGCATAGTGGCACGGCAACTTTGGAGGACATTTTGGCAGTTTCTTATAAAGCTAAACACAGTCTCAAAGCAAGAGTCACCAAATATGCTCATAAATATTTACTTGTGTTTTGAAAACTAATATCAAGATAAAAGCCAGCACAAAAATATATATTGCACCTTTACTTATAATGGCCAGATAGTTGAATGAAACAAGATCATTAAGCTTGAATGATCCTGCAATAAATTGAAGTATACCTAAATGTAGTATATCCATGTAATAGAATATTATTCAGTGATAAGAATGAAAAAGGTATCAAGACATACAAAGCCATGAATGAATTGCAAATTCATATGGCTAAGTTAAAGAAGTCAGTCTAGAGAGCGTTTAATCTCATTTAAATGGCATTCTGAAGAGACAAAGCTATAAATTTGGTAAAGAGATCAGTTCAGTTTACCAGGGTTGTCAGGGGATGCTAGGGGTAGAGAGGAATGCACAAGCGAATAATTCTGTATACTTTAAGGGTGGATACTTGTCACTCTGCATTTGACAAAATCCACAGATTTTTACAGCATAGAGTAAATCATAAACCATACAAATTAAAACATTAATAATCTAGGAGATAGGTGGATCCTAGAATGGAATGCAAATATGACTAAAGAATCTGTCTTGCAAATACAAAAAACAAACTCATTGTGGTGGGGCAGAATCATGTCATCATCCAGTAACTCTGGAAATTAGTGGAATTTACAAGATTAAAGGCAAAAGGAAGAGTGAATAAGAAGATTCCACTTGATAAAAAAAAATTTTCCAGTGGGGTACTGGTTAACAACTGTGAAACCCTTGAGATCATAGACTGGGATTGAACAAATAAATAGTTGTCAGATGGCAGGAGCGATTTCTCACTACTGCAATGGGAAGTGACAGGGAAGTCAGGGGAGGATAAAAGGGCCTGTGTGATAATGCATTCAAGTTTGAAAGCAGTAGTTTGTACTCATGTTTAGCCTAATATAAAAAGGGATGTCTCCGTATAGAAATATGTATAGACTTAAATATTTATAAATTTATGTTGGTATACTAAACTTAACCTGTGTATATGCAGGCTAAATCTAGTATACCAACATATATTTATTTATACTATCATTGAGAGGGCCAGGAAGAAGGACACCTCAGCAGCAACAAACACACTTGGCTTCTGAATCTAGGTTTTCGAGGCCTTTCTCCAATAAAAGCAAGCACTGCTCCTTGGAAAAACAGCTAATTCTAGGTTTGGGCTAGAAAATGTGCACAAGGAGACTGGAGAGTCTTGTACTATTGAAAAGTAAAGAAGTGTAACATCAACAACTAAAACATGCATGCACACTATTTTTTGAATTACTTTCATGTTGCATGAAAAATTAACCATTACTAACGAATAAGATGTGTATATAGTTGCAAACATTTCCTGTCCACCCAAGGATTTGACTTGGTTCTACCAGGCACTGGCCTATTTCCATCTCATTTGACTGGAAAATCAATATTAACACAGTTAACTACACATCTTTTAAGTAACATTCTTAGGCTGAGTGTGGTGGTTCACACCTGTAATCCCAGCACTTTGGGAGGCCAAGAGGGAAGGAGTATTTGAGGCCAGGAGTTCAAGACCAGCCTGGAAAACATAGCTTTAAAAATTAATTAGCTGGGCATAGTGGTGTGTCCCTGTAGTCCCTGCTACTCAGGAGGCTGAGGTGGGAAGACTGCTAAAGCCCAGGCATACAAGACTGTAGTGAGTGAGCTATGGTCATATTGCTTTACTCTAGCCTTGGCCACAGAGCAAGACTGTTTTAAAAAATAAATAATTTTAGATTCAGTTTTTGTTTGTTTTTTTATTATACTTTAAGTTTTAGGGTACATGTGCACAATGTGCAAGTTAGTTACATATGTATACATGTGCCATGTTGGTGTGCGGAGGGATAGCATTTGGAGATATACCTAATGTTAGATTCAGTTTTAAACCTGTATCTACAAACCCTTCACTATATGTATTACATCCACTCATTGAAACAACTAAGCCTTTACAAGTATCCCTTTAACCTGCTTTGTTGGTTCTCAAGTGGTAAACACCTAAAATCAGTGAATTAACACAGTAATGATACAACTTTTCAGTAACATTTGTCGAAGTCAGAATAAAAGATGAATCTCTAAATTTAATGTTTTATTTTTGGAAGCAACAATTGCAATTCAGGGCATACAAACAAGCCAGGTGGTCTTTGGTATATCTGAAGAACAAAGAGAAGTTTGGGGGCTTTATTTTAAAAAGAAACATTATGTATTGTTTTGAAAGAAGGCTCATTGGCACTACAGAAGCTTTTGGGAGCTGCAAAGCTCTGATTGGTGAGTGATGGTGGCAGGTAAAACTAGTCTTGGTGTCAAAGCAGGAAGTTTTGTCAGTCACTAGATAAAACTAGTCTTAGGCTGACAGCAGGCCATTTCAGCAGCTGGATTGTGGAAAATAAAATTCTTGGAGCAAGTGCTATGTTCCCTTAGTGCTTTTACCCCCTAGTCCCTAGAGTCTGATTTAGTTGAGTATGACAAGAATTACACAATTCATAAACTGTCACACATTCTTTGATTCTATTTTTAAACACCTATCTAAAAACACTTCACTGCACACATTATATACATGTGTTGAAATAACTTGATAAAGCTAAGCCTTTAACCTTAATGGTAAGTCATATGTTTAAAGAAGTATATGTAAACACTTGATTGTTTAGTTTACAGTTAGGTAATCATATAATCATTAAATAGGCACTGTTAAATCATTTTTAAGCAATATTATTATAATCATCTTTTATGTATGTATGTATGTACGTATGTATGTATGCACAAACACTTCACCATACATTACAATGCTCTAAAATACCACACTTCAACACATTCAAGCTTTAAGTCCATATGGCACCCAAAATGTTTAAAGCAGTATTTTCAAACACTTCTTTACCTAGTTTACAGTTTGGTACACACTTAAGTCCACTCACATACCCTACCACCCCATTCCAGAAAAAAAGAGCATCAGTTCTGATTTACTGTTCTGGAATTCAGTTTTCTCTTCCTTTTTGGCCCCTGGTGATTCTCCCTTACTGTCTTGCAAGTTTAGCTACATACTAAAAATGAGTTTATAAAGCAAAAATTGCCAAATACACTAAGGGCCAATTCACCATGAATTGGCAGATGCAACAAACAAACAGAACATCTGGTATTTACTTGGAACTTCTCAGCTTTTCAAACTTAACATGAGACAGAGTTGTTTAATAGTCAGAGCTACTTAAAATGGAATAGGCTGCCTAGATACCTCCTGAGCTCCCTGTCACCACAGGTGGGTGAACAGAGGAGACAGGACTTCCATTTGTTGGAAATGTAACCCAAGGGTTTGGCACCAAAAAGGAGGAAAATAAAGAGCTCTGAGCTTCTGAGACTGTTACTGTTTGTTTCCTGGTAGACTGTGAGTTTCTGGTGGGCAGGGACCACATTGTTTTGAGCTCTTTGTCCTCTGTGCCCAGTATATGTCTGCAGTGAATGAGGGAATTCGCTGTAAGAGCACTGTAAGGGAATTAATGTAAGAGCATTAATGTAGTGTGGAGAATGCTATAATGTAAGTATGAACAAAGAGGAGGGAGCATGGCCCTGTACTGGGCAGAGGGAAACCCAAGATGAATGAGACACAGGCTTTGCACTCTGGGCACAGAAGGTCTGATCTAGGAGATAAGATAATCTGCAAATACCTATTACTAGCAGAAGCAGGCAGTTAAGCTTTATAATACAGGTACAGATAGCTTAGGGAGCCAACTTGAGAAGATTCTGGAAACCATCATAGAGAGGAGATCTAGGAGTTAGGCCTTGACAGATAGGAACTGGCAAGAGGAGGTCGCTCCAGATGAGTCAGAGGAAAAGGCACAGAAGTGGGAACATCCAATTTCAGTTTGGCAGTAGTGTGTTGGCAGAGCGTAGGGAAGATCAAAAAGATCAGCAGAGTGCAGTGCTTTGAAACTAGGCTGAGTCATTCTGCATCCAGCAGATCTGGGCATCTCCACGTTTCCACCAAACTACTTGATGTCAGAGAAGGGGACTTACCCAAAGCAGCCTGACATGAGCTCAGAGTCCCTCTACAACCTCATTGTACCTCAGAGACTCAGCTAAGCAAGGAGGTGAAAGATTACTTTATGGAGAATTACAAAACACTGCTGAAAGAAATCAGAAATGACACAAATAAATGGAAAAACATCACATGCTTATAGATTGGAAGAAACAACATCACTGAAATGACGATACTTCCCAAAGGAATTTACAGATTCAATGTTATTCCCATCAAACTACCAACATCATTTTTCACAGAATTAGAAAAATTATTCTAAAATCCATTTGGAACAACAACAACAAAAAAAAACCCTGAATAGTCAAAGTAAGCCTAAGCAAAAAAAAAAAAAAGAATACAAAACAGAACAGAAAGCAAAACAAAACAGTGGGAGGCATCACACTACCCAACTTCAAACTATGCTACAGGGACACAGTAACCTAATACTGACTGGTACAAAAATGGACACATAGACCAATGGAACAAAATATAAAAGCCAGAAATAAAGCTGCATACCTACAACCACCTGATCTTCAACAAAGTCAACAAAAATAAGCAATGGGGAAAGGACTCTCTACGTAATAAATGGTCCTGAGTAACTGGCTATGCATACGCAGAAGAATAAAACTGGACCCCTACTGTATTAGTCAGCATTCTCTACAGGGACAGGACTAGTAGGATAGATGTACATATGAAACGGAGTTTATTAAGGATTATTAAGTCACACAATAATGAGGTGAAGATCCACAATAAGTCATCTGCAAGCTGAGAAGCAAAAATGCCAGCCCTAGTCCCCAAACCTAAAAAGTAGGGAAGCTGATGGGGCAGCCTTCAGTCTGTGGCTGAAGGCCCGAGAGCCCCTGGCAAACAACTGGTGTAAGTCCAAGAGTCCTAAAGCTGGAGAACTTGGAGTCCAGTGTTCAAGGACAGGAAGCAGCCAGCATGGGAGACAGATGAAGGCCAGAAGACTCAGCCAGTCTAGTCCTTCCATGTTCCTCCGCCTGCTTTTATCCTAGCTGCACTGGCAGCTGATTAGATGGTGCCCACCCAGATTGAGGGTGGGCCTGCCTCTTTCAGTCCACCGACTCAAATGTTAATCTTTTTTGGCAACACTCTCACAGACACACTGAGGAACAATACTTTGCATCCTTCGATCCAGTCAAGTTGACACTCATTATTAAACATCACACCTACCTATCACCACATACAAAAATTAATTCAAGATGTATTAAAGACTTAAGTGAAAGATTGCAAACTAATCAAAATCCTATAAGAAAACCTAGGAAATATCCTTCTAAATATAAGCCTGGGCAAATAATCTGTGGCTATGTCCTCAAAAGCAATTGCTACAAAAACAAAAATTAACAAGTGAGACCTAATTAACTAAAGAGCTTCTCCACAGCAAAGGAAACTATCAAGGAAGTAAACAGACAACCTACATAATGGAAGAAAGTATTTGCAAACCATGCATTCAACAAAAGTCAAGTATCCAGAATCTATAAGTAATTTAAACAATTGAACAAGCAAAAAGCAAATAACCCCATTAAAAAGAAGGCAAAGGACATAAACAGCCACTTCTCAAAAAAAGACATACAAGAATATTTATGAAAAAAATGCTTATCATCACTAATTATCAGGGAAATGCAAATCAAAACCATAATGAGATGTCATCTCATACCAGTCAGAATGGCTATTACTAAAAAGTCAAAAAATAACACATTGATGAGGCTGTTGAAAAAGGAGTGGGTATACACTGTTGATGGGAATTTAAGTCAGTTCAACCACTGTGGAGAGCAGTGTGGAAATTTCTCAGAGAACTTAAAACAGTACTACCATTCAATGGTAGTTTTTTTTCACAAAAGCAAAGACATGGAATGAACCCAGGTGCCCATCAATTATGGGTAGAATAAATAAAACGTGGCACATATACACTATGAAGTACTACACACCTATAAAAAAAGAATGAAATTAAGCCCTTTGCTGCCATGTGGATGCAGCTGGAAACCATCATCCTAAACAAACAGATGCAGAAACAGAAAATCAAATATCACATGTTCTCACTTATAAGTGGGAGCTAAACATTGGGTATGCATGGTAATAAAAATGGGAGCAATAGACTTTTGGGAATACAAGAGCGAGGAGAGAGGGAGGGGTGTAAGGGTTGATAAAAACTACCTACGGGTTTCTAGGCTCACTACCTGGGTGATGGATTCACTCATGCTCCGAACCTCAGCACCATACAATATACCCATGTAACAAACCTACACATATATCTTGATTGTAAATTAAAGTTGGACAAAAAGACTCAGGCATGTAGTTCATAAACACTTGTTTTAACATAAATGCATATTTTTCTTTGTTGAATATTAGAGAATATAGCTCCAGGAAAAAGTGCTACATTTTTCCTGTGGCTTTGGATACCACTTGCCAACAAGCCAGTTTGAGAGTCAAGACAGAAAAGTATAGGATTTTATTGTTTATGAAATTCTTCCACATGTTCTATAAGCACATTATGGTTTGGATTTATGTTCCCTTGCACACAAGCTCTGGAAAGTGCTTGTACCAAGGCACATGCATCAGGCTACGCCAGTTTCTCTGGGAGCAGCAGACCTTGCTCAGGGAGCCATCGTATGTAAATTTCCAGAAGCATTAGGAGCTTAAGAGTAATTTGGGGAATTGTTATTTTCCTAAGAGTATGAAGTTCCATTCTTTGGGAAAAAATGGCATTCTATGTTCTTTTTTCTGTTGTGAATATTTTTCCATCTCTCTCTCTCTCCCTCTCTCTATGTGTGTGTATGTGTGTGTGCATGGTAGGTTCTGTCCATCTGTCTGCCTTTTTGCCCCTATTTGTTTATTGTGTGTGGGGCAAGGAAGACTTGGATAGGGCAGAATTGCAAGAAAAAAGAGGGACTAAGAGAGAAGATGCTGTTATCTCCCCTCTGGCAGCTCTTTTGATTTTTTTTAATCATCTGTGGGAGGTGATTGGCTAATCTGATATATTATCTAATAAATGCTCCTGGGAAATGAGTGAGTTAAACCACTGCTCAAGCAACGTCTTCTGTGGTAGTCAGAGGACATGCACTGGGGAGATGAGGGTATTGGGTGCTAAGCCAGCTCGAAGCTCTGTGGAACCTTGTACAAATCTAGGGCACTGTACTCAGGATCTAGGGACAAGAACAGGGCTAGAGTAACTGTCATAAATGCTGCTTAAATCAATTAAGAAACACTACATTGTGCTTAGGTGTTTTCTTTAAAATATATCATTATTAGAACTAGTGCTTGGTAATATTGCTGCAGGTGCAGCTGTTTAATGTGATAAAGAGTAATGAGGGGAAAGCTTGCTCGTGACCACACCACAGACCCCCAGCACCCTCCCATTGTCCTGACTGTAGGATCATGTTCCAAGGGGGTGACTAATTGTCTTGCAAGTTGACTCTGCAAATCTAAAAGTAGAAGATGAAAGCAGGAACATGATTGTGGGTAAGCACCATGGAAGTATAGAATGCCAAACTAATAGAAGGTAGACATATCCTCACCTGACAGATGAGGAAATCCAGGCCCAGGGAGGTTTACAGGTTGAGTCAGAGAGGCTCACTGACCATGGCCAGACAGCAAGTGAGGACGAGCGCTGGGCCTCACACTGAGGTCTTGATGCCACTGGATTTGGCCAATGGACCAGGGCTGTAGCTGCTGGACTCCTGTAAGAACTTATGAATCCTTCATTCACTGCCATGTGACCTGGCCAATTATTTTCTCTATCTGAATCTTAGTCATTTAATCTATAAAATGGGCATACTTTAAGGTGGTATGAAGGGAAAGGTCACATAAAAGGCCCTCACGTCAAGATGAGAAGCTGGACTGTGTTTGCAGGCAGAAGCTGTTGGCACCATTTGTAGGCAGTCTCCCAGGACTCCAGCCAGGTTGGATGTAGTGAAGACGACTTCCCAGAGGAGATGACTGTTTTCTAGCCCAGTTACTGGGCTGATTCTGGTGCCCACTGCCTTGCCTTGTTTCCTCCTCAGGACTTTCATGCTCCCAGTGAGGATTACACTAAGCAGCAATTATGGCAGGAGGCCTGGATCTCACAGGAGAGCAAGCTGACTGGTTTCTGCCCTGAGCTCATGGCCAAGTCAGTTACGGGCAACACTGTTTTTAATCAATGTGGGTGCCCCATGCTGCGTGAACAGCATCCCTCAGGCCTTGCTCGTGGCTTTTGAATAGATGCTGATTTTGCACTTCCTGTCTGCCCTTGGTTCTCTGCATTATGGTCAATGATAGATGGTAGAAAGGAGTGAGAATGTAGGCTGGAGAGAGTGGGTCTTGCTTTGCATTGCTGACATGATCCCGAGGTCTGTGGGCACATGAAGGCCCCAGACGGCCTCAAGCCATTGCCAAGGCAGTAGGTAGCAACGGGATGAGAACTCAAGATGGGCACAAGGGACGGGGCTGCAGTGGGAGGAGGGGTCCTCACTGGGCTGGTTGATATCACTGACTTTTCTCCATGAGTCCATGGTGGTGGATTGTGTCTTCCTGTGTGGAGCTCCCATTCATTCTGGTTTCAGACATATTTTTGTTTAATGCAACAAATGCAGTATTTATTGTCTATGGCTACCTATTCACTTTATGGCTTGCTTAAAAATCACTCAAAATTTCAGCTTTGATTCTGTGAAAGTAAGCTTTGATCCAGGTTTATAGTATGACTTCAAGTCAGTTTCTCCTCTCTGAGCTTCAGGTTCAGCAGAGGAGGTTGGATGTGATCTCCAAGCTGCTGCTACTTGTTCTTCTCAAACTTCCTGGTGAAGGACTTGTTTTTTTCTAATTTTGGTCTGCTGCAGACCATTACTTTTGTAAAATACAATAAAATGACTTACCAAAAAAAAAATGATCCTGTGCTTATATGGCCATGGTAATATCACAATGCTTTACAGGTTTCTAAATGCTTCCTCCATTTCTTGCCTTGCATTGCCTTGGACCAGCTAAGTGGCCCACACTTTGAGAAGTGCTATTCTATGCAGTGGGCTGTTTGGAGAAATGCATGAGTGATCTTTCCAGATTGTCTAGTGAGAAGAGAAACAAAGCTGGGATCTGGAAATCAGCTTGTTCCAGGGAATATGGGCATGAAGAGGATCTCCTTCCTGTCTGCCACAGGGCCACACCTCTGCCATCAGGAGCCAGTCTACACCACCGTGTCCTCTTCTGTCAGGATAATTCTCATACTGATGCCTGCCTTTCTCATTTGAAGGCAGGGGGATAACTTTGGGTGACTCTAGGGCCAGGGTGCTGAGCAGGGACTGCAGGAGTGAACTGGGGCCGTGTGTTGGAGCCAGATGCACTGCCCTGCATAGGTCTGAATGCCCTGTCCCGGGGAAGCAGGGAGAAAGCGGTGTGGGTAGAATAACTCATGGTGGTTCTAGGGCCAGGACCCCGAACAGGGGCTGCAGCAGTGGACTGGGACAGAGGTGGAGCTTGCTGCTTTGCAGGGGTCTGTATGTTCTTTCCTGGGGAACCACGGAGAAAGGGGTGTGGGGGCTGCTGTGGGTGGGATGATGTTGACATGAACTCTGTGGCAGACCAGAGCCCCAGCCTTAGAACCCTGGCATCACAAGATGTTAGGACACACTAATTTTTGGCTCCTGGGGCTATGGGATGTCAGAGCTAGAAGGGACTTCGGGGGTTACCTTGCTATACCGCTTATTTTCCAAACCAAGGTCATTGCTGTGTTTCTGATCCCAAACACTCTGGGCCAAGTGTTCACCTTCTCTTCCTCCAGGTCCCATGCCTCCAGCCTCACCTTGAACTAGAAATGCCTGTTCTGCCTTCGGCCTGGAGGCCATGGGTGAGGAG